>NC_000017.11:24751133-25062356 GCF_000001405.40 Homo sapiens | reverse complement strand
AGACCGTTTCAAACCTGAACTATCAAAGAAAGGTTCAACACTGTGAGTTGAATGCAAACATCACGAAGAAGGTTCTGAGAATGCTTCTGTTTAGGTCTGTGCAGTTTATCCCGTTTCCAACGAAATGCTCAGAGAGGACCAAATATCCACTTGCAGTTTCTACAAAAAGAGTGTTTCAAAGCTGAACTATCAAAGAAAGGTTCAGCACTGTGAGTTGAATGCAAACATCACGAAGAGGGTTCTGAGAATGCTTCTGTCTTCTTTTTATAGGAAGTTATTTCCTTTACTACGGTACTCCTCAAAGAGTGCAATGATCCCCTTGCAGTTTCTACAGAAAGAGTGTTTCAAACCTGAACTATCAAAGAAAGGTTCCACACTGTGAGTTGAATGCAGACATCACGAAGAAGGTTCTGAGAATGCTTCTGTTTAGTCAGCTGAAATTATCCCGTTTCCAACGAATTCCTCACAGAGGTCCAAATATGCACTTGCAGATTCTGCAGAAAGTGTGTTTCTAAACTGCTACATCGCAAGGAATGCTCAGCTCTGTGAGTTCAACTCAATCATCCCAAAGAATTTTCTGAGAAAGCTTCTGTCTAGATGTCATGTGAAGATATACCCGTTTCGAACGAAGGACACAGAGTGGTCCAAATATCCACTTGTAGATCCTGCAAAAAGAGTGTTTCAAACGTGAACTTTGAAAGGAAAGTTCAACTCGGGGATTTGAATGCAAACATCACAAAGAAGATTCTGAGACTGCTTCTGTATAGTTTTTATGTGAAGATGATTCCGTTTCCAACGAAATCTTCAAAGAGGTCTACATGTCCCCTTGCAGATGCCACAGAAAGAGAGTTTCAAAACTGCGCTCTCAAAAGGAGTGTTCAACTCCGTGAGTTGAATGCAGTCATCACAGAGAAGCTTCTGAGGATGCTTCTATCTAGTATTTAGGTGAAGATATTTCCTTTTCCACCACAAACCACAAAGCCCTCCAAACGTCCACTTGCAGATTCTAGAAAAACAGTGTTTCATAGCTGCTCTTTCCAAAGGAAAGTTCAACTCTGGGAGTTGAATACAAACATCACCAAAAAGTTCCTGAGAATGCATCTGTCTAGTTTTTCTATGAAGCTATTCCCTTTACTACCATAGGCCTCAAAGCGCTCCAAATCTCCACTTGCACATTCCACAACAAGAGTGTTTCCAAACTGCTCTATCAATAGGAATGTTCAACTCTGTGAGGTGAATGCAATCATCACAAAGCAGTTTCTGAGAATGCTTCCGTTTAGTTAGGTGCAGTTATCCCGTTTCCAACGAAATCCTCAGAGAGGTCCAAATATCCACTTGTAGATTCTACAAAAAGTGTGTCTCAAACCTGCTCCATCCAAAGGAATGTTCAGCTCTGTGAGTTAAACTCAATCATCACAAAGTATTTTCTGAGAATGCTTCTGTCTAGATTTTATGCGAAGATATACCCGTTTCGAACGAAGGCCACAGAGTGGTCCAAATATCCACTTGCAGATCCTACAAAAAGAGTGTTTCAAACCTGAACTATCAAAGGAAGGTTCAACTCTGGGATTTGAATGCAAACATCACCAAGAAGTTTCTGAGAATGCTTCTGTTTAGTTTTTATGTGAAGATATTCCCGTTTCCAAAGACATCTTCGGAGAGGTCCACGTATCCACTTGCAGATTCCACAAAAAGAGAGTTTCAACACTGCTCTATCCATAGGAGGGTTCAACTCTGTGAGTTGAATGCAATCATCACAGAGAAGTTTCTGAGAAGGCTTCTCTCCAGTTTTTATGTGACCATAATTCGTTTTCCACCACAGGCCTGAAAGCGCTCCAAATGTCCACTTGTAGACACTACGAAAAGCATGTTTCAGAACTACTCTATGAAAAGCAATGTGAAACTCTGGGAGTTGAACACAAACATCACAGAGAAGTTTCTGAGAATGCTTCTGTTTAGCTTTCCTGTGAAGATTCTCCCGTTTCCAACGAAATCTTCAAAATAGGTCCAAATATCCACTTGCAGATTCCACACAAAGAGTGATTGGAAACTGCTCTTTGAAAAGGAAGCTTCAACTCTGTGAGTTGAATGCAATCATCACAAAGAAGTTTCTGACAATGCTTCTATCTAGCTTTTACGGGAAGATAATTCCTTTTCCACCACAGGCCTCAAAGCCCTCCAAATGTCCACTTGCAGATTCTGGAAAAAGAGTGTTTCAAAGCTTCTCTCTCGAAAGGAAAGTTCAACTCTGTGAGTTGAATGCAAGCATCACAAAGAAGTTTCTGAGAATGCTACTGTCTAGCTTTTATATGAAGCTATTTCCTTTACTACCATAGGCCTCAAAGCGGTCCATATCTCCACTTGCAGATTCTACACAAAGAGAGTTTCCAAACTGCTCTGTCAAAGGGAATGTTCAACTCTGTGACTTGAATGCAATCATCACAAAGTAGTTTCTGAGAATGCTTCTGTTTAGTTCTGTGCGGTTTATCCCGTTTCCAACGAAATCCTCAGAGAGGCCTAAATATCCACTTGCACATTCTACAAATAGTGTGTTTCGAAACTGCTCCATCCAAAGGAATGTTCAGCTCTGTGAGTTAAACTCAGTCGTCACCAAGAGTTTTCTGTGAATGCTTCTGTTTTAGTTCTGTGCGGGTTATCCCGTTTCCAACGAAATCCTCAGAGAGGTCCAAATATCTACTTGCAGTTTCTACAGAAAGACCGTTTCAAACCTGAACTATCAAAGAAAGGTTCAACACTGTGAGTTGAATGCAAACATCACGAAGAAGGTTCTGAGAATGCTTCTGTTTAGTTCTGTGCAGTTTATCCCGTTTCCAACGAAATGCTCAGAGAGGACCAAATATCCACTTGCAGTTTCTACAAAAAGAGTGTTTCAAAGCTGAACTATCAAAGAAAGGTTCAGCACTGTGAGTTGAATGCAAACATCACGAAGAGGGTTCTGAGAATGCTTCTGTCTTCTTTTTATAGGAAGTTATTTCCTTTACTACGGTACTCCTCAAAGAGTGCAATTATCCCCTTGCAGTTTCTACAGAAAGAGTGTTTCAAACCTGAACTATCAAAGAAAGGTTCCACACTGTGAGTTGAATGCAGACATCACGAAGAAGGTTCTGAGAATGCTTCTGTTTAGTCAGCTGAAATTATCCCGTTTCCAACGAATTCCTCAAAGAGGTCCACATATGCACTTGCAGATTCTGCAGAAAGTGTGTTTCTAAACTGCTACATCGCAAGGAATGTTCAGATCTGTGAGTTCCACTCAATCATCCCAAAGAATTTTCTGAGAAAGCTTCTGTCTAGATGTCTTGTGAAGATATAACCGTTTCGAACGAAGGACACAGAGTGGTCCAAATATCCACTTGTAGATCCTGCAAAAAGAGTGTTTCAAACGTGAACTTTGAAAGGAAAGTTCAACTCTGGGATTTGAATGCAAACATCACAAAGAAGATTCTGAGACTGCTTCTGTATAGTTTTTATGTGAAGATGATTCCGTTTCCAACGAAATCTTCAAAGAGGTCTACATGTCCCCTTGCAGATGCCACAGAAAGAGAGTTTCAAAACTACGCTCTCAAAAGGAGTGTTCAACTCCGTGAGTTGAATGCAGTCATCACAGAGAAGCTTCTGAGAATGCTTCTATCTAGTATTTAGGTGAAGATATTTCCTTTTCCACCACAAACCACAAAGCCCTCCAAACGTCCACTTGCAGATTCTAGAAAAAGAGTGTTTCATAGCTGCTCTTTCCAAAGGAAAGTTCAACTCTGGGAGTTGAATACAAACATCACCAAAAGGTTCCTGAGAATGCATCTGTCTAGTTTTTCTATGAAGCTATTCCCTTTACTACCACAGGCCTCAAAGCGCTCCAAATCTCCACTTGCACATTCCACAACAAGAGTGTTTCCAAACTGCTCTATCAATAGGAATGTTCAACGCTGTGAGGTGAATGCAATCATCACAAAGCAGTTTGCTGAGAATGCTTCCGTTTAGTTAGGTGCAGTTATCCCGTTTCCAACGAAATCCTCAGAGAGGTCCAAATATCCACTTGTAGATTCTACAAAAAGTGTGTCTCAAACCTGCTCCATCCAAAGGAATGGTCAGCTCTGTGATTTAAACTCAATCATCACAAAGTATTTTCTGAGAATGCTTCTGTCTAGATTTTATGCGAAGATATACCCGTTTCGAACGAAGGCCACAGAGTGGTCCAAATAGCCACTTGCAGATCCTACAGAAAGAGTGTTTCAAACCTGAACTATCAAAGGAAGGTTCAACTCTGGGATTTGAATGCAAACATCACCAAGAAGTTTCTGAGAATGCTTCTGTTTAGTTTTTATGTGAAGATATTCCCGTTTCCAAAGACATCTTCGGAGAGGTCCACATATCCACTTGCAGATTCCACAAAAAGAGAGTTTCAACACTGCTCTATCCATAGGAGGGTTCAACTCTGTGAGTTGAATGCAATCATCACAGAGAAGTTTCTGAGAAGGCTTCTCTCCAGTTTTTATGTGACCATAATTCGTTTTCCACCACAGGCCTGAAAGCGCTCCAAATGTCCACTTGCAGACACTACGAAAAGCATGTTTCAGAACTACTCTATGAAAAGCAACGTGAAACTCTGGGAGTTGAACACAAACATCACAGAGAAGTTTCTGAGAATGCTTCTGTTTTAGTTCTGTGCGTTTTATCCCGTTTCCAACGAAATCCTCAGAGAGGCCCAAATATCCACTTGCAGATTCCACAGAAAGAGTGATTGGAAACTGCTGTTTGAAAAGGAACCTTCAACTCTGTGAGTTGAATGCAATCATCACAAAGAAGTTTCTGACAATGCTTCTGTTTTAGTTCTGTGCGGTTTATCCCGTTTCCAACGAAATCCTCAGAGAGGACCAAACATCCACTTGCAGTTTCTACAAAAAGAGTGTTTCAAAGCTGCACTATCAAAGAAAGGTTCAGCACTGTGAGTTGAATGCAAACATCACGAAGAGGGCTCTGAGAATTCTTCTGTTTAGTTCTGTGCGGTTTATCCCGTTTCCAACGAAATCCTCAGAGAGGACCAAATATCCACTTGCAGTTTCTACAAGAAGAGTGTTTCAAAGCTGAACTATCAAAGAAAGGTTCAGCACTGTGAGTTGAATGCAAACATCACGAAGAGGGTTCTGAGAATGCTTCTGTCTTCTTTCTATAGGAAGTTATTTCCTTTACTACGGTAGGCCTCAAAGAAGTGCAATTATCCCCTTGCAGTTTCTACAAAAAGAGTGTTTCAAACCTGAACTATCAAAGAAAGGTTCCACACTGTGAGTTGAATGCAGACATCACGAAGAAGGTTCTGAGAATGCTTCTGTTTAGTCAGCTGAAATTATCCCGTTTCCAACGAATTCCTCAGAGAGGTCCAAATATGCACTTGCAGATTCTGCAGAAAGTGTGTTTCTAAACTGCTACATCGCAAGGAATGTTCAGCTCTGTGAGTTCCACTCAATCATCCCAAAGAATTTTCTGAGAAAGCTTCTGTCTAGATGTCGTGTGAAGATATACCCGTTTCGAACGAAGGACACAGAGTGGTCCAAATATCCACTTGTAGATCCTGCAAAAAGAGTGTTTCAAACGTGAACTTTGAAAGGAAAGTTCAACTCTGGGATTTGAATGCAAACATCACAAAGAAGATTCTGAGACTGCTTCTGTATAGTTTTTATGTGAAGATGATTCCGTTTCCAACGAAATCTTCAAAGAGGTCTACATGTCCCCTTGCAGATGCCACAGAAAGAGAGTTTCAAAACTGCGCTCTCAAAAGGAGTGTTCAACTCCGTGAGTTGAATGCAGTCATCACAGAGAAGCTTCTGAGAATGCTTCTATCTAGTATTTAGGTGAAGATATTTCCTTTTCCACCACAAACCACAAAGCCCTCCAAACGTCCACTTGCAGATTCTAGAAAAAGAGTGTTTCATAGCTGCTCTTTCCAAAGGAAAGTTCAACTCTGGGAGTTGAATACAAACATCACCAAAAAGTTACCTGAGAATGCATCTGTCTAGTTTTTCTATGAAGCTATTCCCTTTACTACCATAGGCCTCAAAGCGCTCCAAATCTCCACTTGCACATTCCACAACAAGAGTGTTTCCAAACTGCTCTATCAATAGGAATGTTCAACTCTGTGAGGTGAATGCAATCATCACAAAGCAGTTTCTGAGAATGCTTCCGTTTAGTTAGGTGCAGTTATCCCGTTTCCAACGATATCCTCAGAGAGGTCCAAATATCCACTTGTAGATTCTACAAAAAGTGTGTCTCAAACCTGCTCCATCCAAAGGAATGTTCAGCTCTGTGAGTTCAACTCAATCATCACAAAGTATTTCCTGAGAATGCTTCTGTCTAGATTTTATGCGAAGATGTACCCGTTTCGAACGAAGGCCACAGAGTGTTCCAAATATCCACTTGCAGATCCTACAAAAACAGTGTTTCAAACCTGAACTATCAAAGGAAGGTTCAACTCTGGGATTTGAATGCAAACATCACCAAGAAGTTTCTGAGAATGCTTCTGTTTAGTTTTTATGTGAAGATATTCCCGTTTCCAAAGACATCTTCGGAGAGGTCCACATATCCGCTTGCAGATTCCACAAAAAGAGAGTTTCAACACTGCTCTATCCATAGGAGGGTTCAACTCTGTGAGTTGAATGCAATCATCACAGAGAAGTTTCTGAGAAGGCTTCTCTCCAGTTTTTATGTGACCATAATTCGTTTTCCACCACAGGCCTGAAAGCGCTCCAAATGTCCACTTGCAGACACTACGAAAAGCATGTTTCAGAACTACTCTATGAGAAGCAATGTGAAACTCTGTGAGTTGCACACAAACATCACAGAGAAGTTTCTGAGAATGCTTCTGTTTAGCTTTTCTGTGAAGATTATCCCCTTTCCAAAGAAATCTTCAAAGAGGTCCAAATATCCACTTGCAGATTCCACAGAAAGAGTGTTTGGAAACTGCTGTTTGAAAAGGAACCTTCAACTCTGTGAGTTGAATGCAATCATCACAAAGAAGTTTCTGACAATGCTTCTATCTAGCTTTTACGGGAAGATAATTCCTTTTCCACCACAGGCCTCAAAGCCCTCCAAATGTCCACTTGCAGATTCTGGAAAAAGAGTGTTTCAAAGCTTCTCTCTCGAAAGGAATGTTCAACTCTGTGAGTTGAATGCAAGCATCACAAAGAAGTTTCTGAGAATGCTACTGTCTAGCGTTTATATGAAGCTATTCCCTTTACTACCATAGTCCTCAAAGCATTCCATATCTCCACTTGCAGATTCTACACAAAGAGAGTTTCCAAACTGCTCCGTCAAAGGGAATGTTCAGCTCTGTGACTTGAATGCAATCATCACAAAGTAGTTTCTGAGAATGCTTCTGTTTAGTTCTGTGCGGTTTATCCCGTTTCCAAGGAAATCCTCAGAGAGGCCCAAATATCCACTTGCACATTCTACAAATAGTGTGTTTCGAAACTGCTCCATCCAAAGGAATGTTCAGCTCTGTGAGTTAAACTCAGTCGTCACCAAGAGTTTTCTGTGAATGCTTCTGTTTTAGTTCTGTGCGGTTTATCCCGTTTCCAACGAAATCCTCAGAGAGGTCCAAATATCTACTTGCAGTTTCTACAGAAAGACCGTTTCAAACCTGAACTATCAAAGAAAGGTTCAACACTGTGAGTTGAATGCAAACATCACGAAGAAGGTTCTGAGAATGCTTCTGTTTAGTTCTGTGCGGTTTATCCCGTTTCCAAAGAAATCCTCAGAGAGGACCAAATATCCACTTGCAGTTTCTACAAAAAGAGTGTTTCAAAGCTGAACTATCAAAGAAAGGTTCAGCACTGTGAGTTGAATGCAAACATCACGAAGAGGGTTCTGAGAATGCTTCTGTCTTCTTTTTATAGGAAGTTATCTCGTTTACTACGGTAGGCCTCAAAGAAGTGCAATGATCCCCTTGCAGTTTCTACAAAAAGAGTGTTTCAAACCTGAACTATCAAAGAAAGGTTCCACACAGTGAGTTGAACGCAGACATCACGAAGAAGGTTCTGAGAATGCTTCTGTTTAGTCAGCTGAAATTATCCCGTTTCCAACGAATTCCTCAGAGAGGTCCAAATATGCACTTGCAGATTCTGCAGAAAGTGTGTTTCTAAACTGCTACATCGCAAGGAATGTTCAGCTCTGTGAGTTCCACTCAATCATCCCAAAGAATTTTCTGAGAAAGCTTCTGTCTAGATGTCGTGTGAAGATATACCCGTTTCGAACGAAGGACACAGAGTGGTCCAAATATCCACTTGTAGATCCTGCAAAAAGAGTGTTTCAAACGTGAACTTTGAAAGGAAAGTTCAACTCTGGGATTTGAATGCAAACATCACAAAGAAGATTCTGAGACTGCTTCTGTATAGTTTTTATGTGAAGATGATTCCGTTTCCAACGAAATCTTCAAAGAGGTCTACATGTCCCCTTGCAGATGCCACAGAAAGAGAGTTTCAAAACTGCGCTCTCAAAAGGAGTGTTCAACTCCGTGAGTTGAATGCAGTCATCACAGAGAAGCTTCTGAGAATGCTTCTATCTAGTATTTAGGTGAAGATATTTCCTTTTCCACCACAAACCACAAAGCCCTCCAAACGTCCACTTGCAGATTCTAGAAAAAGAGTGTTTCATAGCTGCTCTTTCCAAAGGAAAGTTCAACTCTGGGAGTTGAATACAAACATCACCAAAAAGTTCCTGAGAATGCATCTGTCTAGTTTTTCTATGAAGCTATTCCCTTTACTACCACAGGCCTCAAAGCGCTCCAAATCTCCACTTGCACATTCCACAACAAGAGTGTTTCCAAACTGCTCTATCAATAGGAATGTTCAACTCTGTGAGGTGAATGCAATCATCACAAAGCAGTTTCTGAGAATGCTTCCGTTTAGTTAGGTGCAGTTATCCCGTTTCCAACGAAATCCTCAGAGAGGTCCAAATATCCACTTGTAGATTCTACAAAAAGTGTGTCTCAAACCTGCTCCATCCAAAGGAATGGTCAGCTCTGTGATTTAAACTCAATCATCACAAAGTATTTTCTGAGAATGCTTCTGTCTAGATTTTATGCGAAGATGTACCCGTTTCGAACGAAGACCACAGAGTGGTCCAAATATCCACTTGCAGATCCTACAAAAAGAGTGTTTCAAACCTGAACTCTCAAAGGAAGGTTCAACTCTGGGATTTGAATGCAAACATCACCAAGAAGTTTCTGAGAATGCTTCTGTTTAGTTTTTATGTGAAGATATTCCCGTTTCCAAAGACATCCTCGGAGAGGTCCACATATCCACTTGCAGATTCCACAAAAAGAGAGTTTCAACACTGCTCTATCCATAGGAGGGTTCAACTCCTGTGAGTTGAATGCAATCATCACAGAGAAGTTTCTGAGAAGGCTTCTCTCCAGTTTTTATGTGACCATAATTCGTTTTCCACCACAGGCCTGAAAGCGCTCCAAATGTCCACTTGCAGACACTACGAAAAGCATGTTTCAGAACTACTCTATGAAAAGCAACGTGAAACTCTGGGAGTTGAACACAAACATCACAGAGAAGTTTCTGAGAATGCTTCTGTTTTAGTTCTGTGCGTTTTATCCCGTTTCCAACGAAATCCTCAGAGAGGCCCAAATATCCACTTGCAGATTCCACAGAAAGAGTGATTGGAAACTGCTGTTTGAAAAGGAACCTTCAACTCTGTGAGTTGAATGCAATCATCACAAAGAAGTTTCTGACAATGCTTCTGTTTTAGTTCTGTGCGGTTTATCCCGTTTCCAACGAAATCCTCAGAGAGGACCAAACATCCACTTGCAGTTTCTACAAAAAGAGTGTTTCAAAGCTGCACTATCAAAGAAAGGTTCAGCACTGTGAGTTGAATGCAAACATCACGAAGAGGGCTCTGAGAATTCTTCTGTTTAGTTCTGTGCGGTTTATCCCGTTTCCAACGAAATCCTCAGAGAGGACCAAATATCCACTTGCAGTTTCTACAAGAAGAGTGTTTCAAAGCTGAACTATCAAAGAAAGGTTCAGCACTGTGAGTTGAATGCAAACATCACGAAGAGGGTTCTGAGAATGCTTCTGTCTTCTTTCTATAGGAAGTTATTTCCTTTACTACGGTAGGCCTCAAAGAAGTGCAATTATCCCCTTGCAGTTTCTACAAAAAGAGTGTTTCAAACCTGAACTATCAAAGAAAGGTTCCACACTGTGAGTTGAATGCAGACATCACGAAGAAGGTTCTGAGAATGCTTCTGTTTAGTCAGCTGAAATTATCCCGTTTCCAACGAATTCCTCAGAGAGGTCCAAATATGCACTTGCAGATTCTGCAGAAAGTGTGTTTCTAAACTGCTACATCGCAAGGAATGTTCAGCTCTGTGAGTTCCACTCAATCATCCCAAAGAATTTTCTGAGAAAGCTTCTGTCTAGATGTCGTGTGAAGATATACCCGTCTCGAACGAAGGACACAGAGTGGTCCAAATATCCACTTGTAGATCCTGCAAAAAGAGTGTTTCAAACGTGAACTTTGAAAGGAAAGTTCAACTCTGGGATTTGAATGCAAACATCACAAAGAAGATTCTGAGACTGCTTCTGTATAGTTTTTATGTGAAGATGATTCCGTTTCCAACGAAATCTTCAAAGAGGTCTACATGTCCCCCTTGCAGATGCCACAGAAAGAGAGTTTCAAAACTGCGCTCTCAAAAGGAGTGTTCAACTCCGTGAGTTGAATGCAGTCATCACAGAGAAGCTTCTGAGAATGCTTCTATCTAGTATTTAGGTGAAGATATTTCCTTTTCCACCACAAACCACAAAGCCCTCCAAACGTCCACTTGCAGATTCTAGAAAAAGAGTGTTTCATAGCTGCTCTTTCCAAAGGAAAGTTCAACTCTGGGAGTTGAATACAAACATCACCAAAAAGTTCCTGAGAATGCATCTGTCTAGTTTTTCTATGAAGCTATTCCCTTTACTACCACAGGCCTCAAAGCGCTCCAAATCTCCACTTGCACATTCCACAACAAGAGTGTTTCCAAACTGCTCTATCAATAGGAATGTTCAACTCTGTGAGGTGAATGCAATCATCACAAAGCAGTTTCTGAGAATGCTTCCGTTTAGTTAGGTGCAGTTATCCCGTTTCCAACGAAATCCTCAGAGAGGTCCAAATATCCACTTGTAGATTCTACAAAAAGTGTGTCTCAAACCTGCTCCATCCAAAGGAATGGTCAGCTCTGTGATTTAAACTCAATCATCACAAAGTATTTTCTGAGAATGCTTCTGTCTAGATTTTATGCGAAGATATACCCGTTTCGAACGAAGGCCACAGAGTGGTCCAAATAGCCACTTGCAGATCCTACAGAAAGAGTGTTTCAAACCTGAACTATCAAAGGAAGGTTCAACTCTGGGATTTGAATGCAAACATCACCAAGAAGTTTCTGAGAATGCTTCTGTTTAGTTTTTATGTGAAGATATTCCCGTTTCCAAAGACATCTTCGGAGAGGTCCACATATCCACTTGCAGATTCCACAAAAAGAGAGTTTCAACACTGCTCTATCCATAGGAGGGTTCAACTCTGTGAGTTGAATGCAATCATCACAGAGAAGTTTCTGAGAAGGCTTCTCTCCAGTTTTTATGTGACCATAATTCGTTTTCCACCACAGGCCTGAAAGCGCTCCAAATGTCCACTTGCAGACACTACGAAAAGCATGTTTCAGAACTACTCTATGAAAAGCAACGTGAAACTCTGGGAGTTGAACACAAACATCACAGAGAAGTTTCTGAGAATGCTTCTGTTTTAGTTCTGTGCGTTTTATCCCGTTTCCAACGAAATCCTCAGAGAGGCCCAAATATCCACTTGCAGATTCCACAGAAAGAGTGATTGGAAACTGCTGTTTGAAAAGGAACCTTCAACTCTGTGAGTTGAATGCAATCATCACAAAGAAGTTTCTGACAATGCTTCTGTTTTAGTTCTGTGCGGTTTATCCCGTTTCCAACGAAATCCTCAGAGAGGACCAAACATCCACTTGCAGTTTCTACAAAAAGAGTGTTTCAAAGCTGCACTATCAAAGAAAGGTTCAGCACTGTGAGTTGAATGCAAACATCACGAAGAGGGCTCTGAGAATTCTTCTGTTTAGTTCTGTGCGGTTTATCCCGTTTCCAACGAAATCCTCAGAGAGGACCAAATATCCACTTGCAGTTTCTACAAGAAGAGTGTTTCAAAGCTGAACTATCAAAGAAAGGTTCAGCACTGTGAGTTGAATGCAAACATCACGAAGAGGGTTCTGAGAATGCTTCTGTCTTCTTTTTATAGGAAGTTATTTCCTTTACTACGGTACTCCTCAAAGAGTGCAATGATCCCCTTGCAGTTTCTACAAAAAGAGTGTTTCAAACCTGAACTATCAAAGAAAGGTTCCACACTGTGAGTTGAATGCAGACATCACGAAGAAGGTTCTGAGAATGCTTCTGTTTAGTCAGCTGAAATTATCCCGTTTCCAACGAATTCCTCACAGAGGTCCAAATATGCACTTGCAGATTCTGCAGAAAGTGTGTTTCTAAACTGCTACATCGCAAGGAATGCTCAGCTCTGTGAGTTCAACTCAATCATCCCAAAGAATTTTCTGAGAAAGCTTCTGTCTAGATGTCATGTGAAGATATACCCGTTTCGATCGAAGGACACAGAGTGGTCCAAATATCCACTTGTAGATCCTGCAAAAAGAGTGTTTCAAACGTGAACTTTGAAAGGCAAGTTCAACTCTGGGATTTGAATGCAAACATCACAAAGAAGATTCTGAGACTGCTTCTGTGTAGTTTTTATGTGAAGATGATTCCGTTTCCAACGAAATCTTCAAAGAGGTCTACATGTCCCCTTGCAGATGCCACAGAAAGAGAGTTTCAAAACTGCGCTCTCAAAAGGAGTGTTCAACTCCGTGAGTTGAATGCAGTCATCACAGAGAAGCTTCTGAGGATGCTTCTATCTAGTATTTAGGTGAAGATATTTCCTTTTCCACCACAAACCACAAAGCCCTCCAAACGTCCACTTGCAGATTCTAGAAAAACAGTGTTTCATAGCTGCTCTTTCCAAAGGAAAGTTCAACTCTGGGAGTTGAATACAAACATCACCAAAAAGTTCCTGAGAATGCATCTGTCTAGTTTTTCTATGAAGCTATTCCCTTTACTACCATAGGCCTCAAAGCGCTCCAAATCTCCACTTGCACATTCCACAACAAGAGTGTTTCCAAACTGCTCTATCAATAGGAATGTTCAACTCTGTGAGGTGAATGCAATCATCACAAAGCAGTTTCTGAGAATGCTTCCGTTTAGTTAGGTGCAGTTATCCCGTTTCCAACGAAATCCTCAGAGAGGTCCAAATATCCACTTGTAGATTCTACAAAAAGTGTGTCTCAAACCTGCTCCATCCAAAGGAATGTTCAGCTCTGTGAGTTAAACTCAATCATCACAAAGTATTTTTCTGAGAATGCTTCTGTCTAGATTTTATGCGAAGATATACCCGTTTCGAACGAAGGCCACAGAGTGGTCCAAATATCCACTTGCAGATCCTACAAAAAGAGTGTTTCAAACCTGAACTATCAAAGGAAGGTTCAACTCTGGGATTTGAATGCAAACATCACCAAGAAGTTTCTGAGAATGCTTCTGTTTAGTTTTTATGTGAAGATATTCCCGTTTCCAAAGACATCTTCGGAGAGGTCCACATATCCACTTGCAGATTCCACAAAAAGAGAGTTTCAACACTGCTCTATCCATAGGAGGGTTCAACTCTGTGAGTTGAATGCAATCATCACAGAGAAGTTTCTGAGAAGGCTTCTCTCCAGTTTTTATGTGACCATAATTCGTTTTCCACCACAGGCCTGAAAGCGCTCCAAATGTCCACTTGTAGACACTACGAAAAGCATGTTTCAGAACTACTCTATGAAAAGCAATGTGAAACTCTGGGAGTTGAACACAAACATCACAGAGAAGTTTCTGAGAATGCTTCTGTTTAGCTTTCCTGTGAAGATTCTCCCGTTTCCAACGAAATCTTCAAAATAGGTCCAAATATCCACTTGCAGATTCCACACAAAGAGTGATTGGAAACTGCTCTTTGAAAAGGAACCTTCAACTCTGTGAGTTGAATGCAATCATCACAAAGAAGTTTCTGACAATGCTTCTATCTAGCTTTTACGGGAAGATAATTCCTTTTCCACCACAGGCCTCAAAGCCCTCCAAATGTCCACTTGCAGATTCTGGAAAAAGAGTGTTTCAAAGCTTCTCTCTCGAAAGGAAAGTTCAACTCTGTGAGTTGAATGCAAGCATCACAAAGAAGTTTCTGAGAATGCTACTGTCTAGCTTTTATATGAAGCTATTTCCTTTACTACCATAGGCCTCAAAGCGGTCCATATCTCCACTTGCAGATTCTACACAAAGAGAGTTTCCAAACTGCTCTGTCAAAGGGAATGTTCAACTCTGTGACTTGAATGCAATCATCACAAAGTGGTTTCTGAGAATGCTTCTGTTTTAGTTCTGTGCGGTTTATCCCGTTTCCATCGAAATCCTCAGAGAGGCCCAAATATCCACTTGCAGATTCTACAAATAGTGTGTTTCGAAACTGCTCCCTCCAAAGGAATGTTCAGCTCTGTGTGTTAAACTCAGTCGTCACCAAGTGCTTTCTGTGAATGCTTCTGTTTAGTTCTGTGCGGTTTATCCCGTTTCCCAACGAAATCCTCAGAGAGGACCAAATATCCACTTGCAGTTTCTACAAGAAGAGTGTTTCAAAGCTGAACTATCAAAGAAAGGTTCAGCACTGTGAGTTGAATGCAAACATCACGAAGAGGGTTCTGAGAATGCTTCTGTCTTCTTTTTATAGGAAGTTATTTCCTTTACTACCGTAGGCCTCAAAGAAGTGCAATTATCCCCTTGCAGTCTCTACAAAAAGAGTGTTTCAAACCTGAACTATCAAAGAAAGGTTCCACACTGTGAGTTGAATGCAGACATCACGAAGAAGGTTCTGAGAATGCTTCTGTTTAGTCAGCTGAAATTATCCCGTTTCCAACGAATTCCTCAGAGAGGTCCAAATATGCACTTGCAGATTCTGCAGAAAGTGTGTTTCTAAACTGCTACATCGCAAGGAATGTTCAGCTCTGTGAGTTCAACTCAATCATCGCAAAGAATTTTCTGAGAAAGCTTCTGTCTAGATGTCCTGTGAAGATATACCCGTTTCGAACGAAGGACACAGAGTGGTCCAAATATCCACTTGTAGATCCTGCAAAAAGAGTGTTTCAAACGTGAACTTTGAAAGGAAAGTTCAACTCTGGGATTTGAATGCAAACATCACAAAGAAGATTCTGAGACTGCTTCTGTATAGTTTTGATGTGAAGATGATTCCGTTTCCAACGAAATCTTCAAAGAGGTCTACATGTCCCCTTGCAGATGCCACAGAAAGGGAGTTTCATAACTGCGCTCTCAAAAGGAGTGTTCAACTCCGTGAGTTGAATGCAGTCATCACAGAGAAGCTTCTGAGAATGCTTCTATCTAGTATTTAGGTGAAGATATTTCCTTTTCCACCACAAACCACAAAGCCCTCCAAACGTCCACTTGCAGATTCTAGAAAAAGAGTGTTTCATAGCTGCTCTTTCCAAAGGAAAGTTCAACTCTGGGAGTTGAATACAAACATCACCAAAAAGTTCCTGAGAATGCATCTGTCTAGTTTTTCTATGAAGCTATTCCCTTTACTACCACAGGCCTCAAAGCGCTCCAAATCTCCACTTGCACATTCCACAACAAGAGTGTTTCCAAACTGCTCTATCAATAGGAATGTTCAACTCTGTGAGGTGAATGCAATCATCACAAAGCAGTTTCTGAGAATGCTTCCGTTTAGTTAGGTGCAGTTATCCCGTTTCCAACGAAATCCTCAGAGAGGTCCAAATATCCACTTGTAGATTCTACAAAAAGTGTGTCTCAAACCTGCTCCATCCAAAGGAATGGTCAGCTCTGTGATTTAAACTCAATCATCACAAAGTATTTTCTGAGAATGCTTCTGTCTAGATTTTATGCGAAGATATACCCGTTTCGAACGAAGGCCACAGAGTGGTCCAAATAGCCACTTGCAGATCCTACAGAAAGAGTGTTTCAAACCTGAACTATCAAAGGAAGGTTCAACTCTGGGATTTGAATGCAAACATCACCAAGAAGTTTCTGAGAATGCTTCTGTTTAGTTTTTATGTGAAGATATTCCCGTTTCCAAAGACATCTTCGGAGAGGTCCACATATCCACTTGCAGATTCCACAAAAAGAGAGTTTCAACACTGCTCTATCCATAGGAGGGTTCAACTCTGTGAGTTGAATGCAATCATCACAGAGAAGTTTCTGAGAAGGCTTCTCTCCAGTTTTTATGTGACCATAATTCGTTTTCCACCACAGGCCTGAAAGCGCTCCAAATGTCCACTTGCAGACACTACGAAAAGCATGTTTCAGAACTACTCTATGAAAAGCAACGTGAAACTCTGGGAGTTGAACACAAACATCACAGAGAAGTTTCTGAGAATGCTTCTGTTTTAGTTCTGTGCGTTTTATCCCGTTTCCAACGAAATCCTCAGAGAGGCCCAAATATCCACTTGCAGATTCCACAGAAAGAGTGATTGGAAACTGCTGTTTGAAAAGGAACCTTCAACTCTGTGAGTTGAATGCAATCATCACAAAGAAGTTTCTGACAATGCTTCTGTTTTAGTTCTGTGCGGTTTATCCCGTTTCCAACGAAATCCTCAGAGAGGACCAAACATCCACTTGCAGTTTCTACAAAAAGAGTGTTTCAAAGCTGCACTATCAAAGAAAGGTTCAGCACTGTGAGTTGAATGCAAACATCACGAAGAGGGCTCTGAGAATTCTTCTGTTTAGTTCTGTGCGGTTTATCCCGTTTCCAACGAAATCCTCAGAGAGGACCAAATATCCACTTGCAGTTTCTACAAGAAGAGTGTTTCAAAGCTGAACTATCAAAGAAAGGTTCAGCACTGTGAGTTGAATGCAAACATCACGAAGAGGGTTCTGAGAATGCTTCTGTCTTCTTTCTATAGGAAGTTATTTCCTTTTCTACGGTAGGCCTCAAAGAAGTGCAATTATCCCCTTGCAGTTTCAACAAAATGAGTGTTTCAAACCTGAGCTATCAAAGAAAGGTTCCACACTGTGAGTTGAATGCAGACATCACGAAGAAGGTTCTGAGAATGCTTCTGTTTAGTCAGCTGAAATTATCCCGTTTCCAACGAATTCCTCAGAGAGGTCCAAATATGCACTTGCAGATTCTGCAGAAAGTGTGTTTCTAAACTGCTATATCGCAAGGAATGTTCAGCTCTGTGAGTTCCACTCAATCATCCCAAAGAATTTTCTGAGAAAGCTTCTGTCTAGATGTCATGTGAAGATATACCCGTTTCGAACGAAGGACACAGAGTGGTCCAAATATCCACTTGTAGATCCTGCAAAAAGAGTGTTTCAAACGTGAACTTTGAAAGGAAAGTTCAACTCTGGGATTTGAATGCAAACACCACAAAGAAGATTCTGAGACTGCTTCTGTATAGTTTTTATGTGAAGATGATTATGTTTCCAACGAAATCTTCAAAGAGGTCTACATGTCCCCTTGCGGATGCCACAGAAAGAGAGTTTCAAAACTGCGCTCTCAAAAGGAGTGTTCAACTCCGTGAGTTGAATGCAGTCATCACAGAGAAGCTTCTGAGAATGCTTCTCTCTAGTATTTAGGTGAAGATATTTCCTTTTCCACCACAAACCACAAAGCCCTCCAAACGTCCACTTGCAGATTCTAGAAAAAGAGTGTTTCATAGCTGCTCTTTCCAAAGGAAAGTTCAACTCTGGGAGTTGAATACAAACATCACCAAAAAGTTCCTGAGAATGCATCTGTCTAGTTTTTCTATGAAGCTGTTCCCTTTACTACCATAGGCCTCAAAGCGCTCCAAATCTCCACTTGCACATTCCACAACAAGAGTGTGTCCAAACTGCTCTATCAATAGGAATGTTCAACTCTGTGAGGTGAATGCAATCATCACAAAGCAGTTTCTGAGAATGCTTCCGTTTAGTTAGGTGCAGTTATCCCGTTTCCAACGAAATCCTCAGAGAGGTCCAAATATCCACTTGTAGATTCTACAAAAAGTGTGTCTCAAACCTGCTCCATCCAAAGGAATGTTCAGCTCTGTGAGTTCAACTCAATCATCACAAAGTATTTTCTGAGAATGCTTCTGTCTAGATTTTATGCGAAGATGTACCCGTTTCAAACGAAGGCCACAGATTGGTCCAAATATCCACTTGCAGATCCTACAAAAAGAGTGTTTCAAACCTGAACTATCAAAGGAAGGTTCATCTCTGGGATTTGAATGCAAACATCACCAAGAAGTTTCTGAGAATGCTTCTGTTTAGTTTTTATGTGAAGATATTCCCGTTTCCAAAGACATCTTCGGAGAGGTCCACATATCCACTTGCAGATTCCACAAAAAGAGAGTTTCAACACTGCTCTATCCATAGGAGGGTTCAACTCTGTGAGTTGAATGCAATCATCACAGAGAAGTTTCTGAGAAGGCTTATCTCTCCAGTTTTTATGTGACCATAATTCGTTTTCCACCACAGGCCTGAAAGCGCTCCAAATGTCCACTTGCAGACACTACGAAAAGCATGTTTCAGAACTACTCTATGAAAAGCAACGTGAAACTCTGGGAGTTGAACACAAACATCACAGAGAAGTTTCTGAGAATGCTTCTGTTTTAGTTCTGTGCGTTTTATCCCGTTTCCAACGAAATCCTCAGAGAGGCCCAAATAT
This sequence comes from Homo sapiens, assembly GCF_000001405.40. Classification (NCBI taxonomy): domain Eukaryota; kingdom Metazoa; phylum Chordata; class Mammalia; order Primates; family Hominidae; genus Homo; species Homo sapiens. The sequence continues at coordinate 25,043,546 of NC_000017.11, read as the reverse complement.
CCACTTGCAGATTCCACAGAAAGAGTGATTGGAAACTGCTGTTTGAAAAGGAACCTTCAACTCTGTGAGTTGAATGCAATCATCACAAAGAAGTTTCTGACAATGCTTCTGTTTTAGTTCTGTGCGGTTTATCCCGTTTCCAACGAAATCCTCAGAGAGGACCAAACATCCACTTGCAGTTTCTACAAAAAGAGTGTTTCAAAGCTGCACTATCAAAGAAAGGTTCAGCACTGTGAGTTGAATGCAAACATCACGAAGAGGGCTCTGAGAATTCTTCTGTTTAGTTCTGTGCGGTTTATCCCGTTTCCAACGAAATCCTCAGAGAGGACCAAATATCCACTTGCAGTTTCTACAAGAAGAGTGTTTCAAAGCTGAACTATCAAAGAAAGGTTCAGCACTGTGAGTTGAATGCAAACATCACGAAGAGGGTTCTGAGAATGCTTCTGTCTTCTTTCTATAGGAAGTTATTTCCTTTACTACGGTAGGCCTCAAAGAAGTGCAATTATCCCCTTGCAGTTTCTACAAAAAGAGTGTTTCAAACCTGAACTATCAAAGAAAGGTTCCACACTGTGAGTTGAATGCAGACATCACGAAGAAGGTTCTGAGAATGCTTCTGTTTAGTCAGCTGAAATTATCCCGTTTCCAACGAATTCCTCAGAGAGGTCCAAATATGCACTTGCAGATTCTGCAGAAAGTGTGTTTCTAAACTGCTACATCGCAAGGAATGTTCAGCTCTGTGAGTTCCACTCAATCATCCCAAAGAATTTTCTGAGAAAGCTTCTGTCTAGCATGTCGTGTGAAGATATACCCGTTTCGAACGAAGGACACAGAGTGGTCCAAATATCCACTTGTAGATCCTGCAAAAAGAGTGTTTCAAACGTGAACTTTGAAAGGAAAGTTCAACTCTGGGATTTGAATGCAAACATCACAAAGAAGATTCTGAGACTGCTTCTGTATAGATTTTATGTGAAGATGATTCCGTTTCCAACGAAATCTTCAAAGAGGTCTACATGTCCCCTTGCAGATGCCACAGAAAGAGAGTTTCAAAACTGTGCTCTCAAAAGGAGTGTTCAACTCCCGTGAGTTGAATGCAGTCATCACAGAGAAGCTTCTGAGAATGCTTCTATCTAGTATTTAGGTGAAGATATTTCCTTTTCCACCACAAACCACAAAGCCCTCCAAACGTCCACTTGCAGATTCTAGAAAAAGAGTGTTTCATAGCTGCTCTTTCCAAAGGAAAGTTCAACTCTGGGAGTTGAATACAAACATCACCAAAAAGTTCCTGAGAATGCATCTGTCTAGTTTTTCTATGAAGCTATTCCCTTTACTACCATAGGCCTCAAAGCGCTCCAAATCTCCACTTGCACATTCCACAACAAGAGTGTTTCCAAACTGCTCTATCAATAGGAATGTTCAACTCTGTGAGGTGAATGCAATCATCACAAAGCAGTTTCTGAGAATGCTTCCGTTTAGTTAGGTGCAGTTATCGCGTTTCCAACGAAATCCTCAGAGAGGTCCAAATATCCACTTGTAGATTCTACAAATGTGTGTCTCAAACCTGCTCCATCCAAAGGAACGTTCAGCTCTGTGAGTTAAACTCAATCATCACAAAGTATTTTCTGAGAGTGCTTCTGTCTAGATTTTATGCGAAGATATACCCGTTTCGAACGAAGGCCACAGAGTGGTCCAAATAGCCACTTGCAGATCCTACAGAAAGAGTGTTTCAAACCTGAACTATCAAAGGAAGGTTCAACTCTGGGATTTGAATGCAAACATCACCAAGAAGTTTCTGAGAATGTCTGTTTAGTTTTTATGTGAAGATATTCCCGTTTCCAAAGACATCTTCGGAGAGGTCCACATATCCACTTGCAGATTCCACAAAAAGAGAGTTTCAACACTGCTCTATCCATAGGAGGGTTCAACTCTGTGAGTTGAATGCAATCATCACAGAGAAGTTTCTGAGAAGGCTTCTCTCCAGTTTTTATGTGACCATAATTCGTTTTCCACCACAGGCCTGAAAGCGCTCCAAATGTCCACTTGCAGACACTACGAAAAGCATGTTTCAGAACTACTCTATGAAAAGCAACGTGAAACTCTGGGAGTTGAACACAAACATCACAGAGAAGTTTCTGAGAATGCTTCTGTTTTAGTTCTGTGCGTTTTATCCCGTTTCCAACGAAATCCTCAGAGAGGCCCAAATATCCACTTGCAGATTCCACAGAAAGAGTGATTGGAAACTGCTGTTTGAAAAGGAACCTTCAACTCTGTGAGTTGAATGCAATCATCACAAAGAAGTTTCTGACAATGCTTCTGTTTTAGTTCTGTGCGGTTTATCCCGTTTCCAACGAAATCCTCAGAGAGGACCAAACATCCACTTGCAGTTTCTACAAAAAGAGTGTTTCAAAGCTGCACTATCAAAGAAAGGTTCAGCACTGTGAGTTGAATGCAAACATCACGAAGAGGGCTCTGAGAATTCTTCTGTTTAGTTCTGTGCGGTTTATCCCGTTTCCAACGAAATCCTCAGAGAGGACCAAATATCCACTTGCAGTTTCTACAAGAAGAGTGTTTCAAAGCTGAACTATCAAAGAAAGGTTCAGCACTGTGAGTTGAATGCAAACATCACGAAGAGGGTTCTGAGAATGCTTCTGTCTTCTTTCTATAGGAAGTTATTTCCTTTACTACGGTAGGCCTCAAAGAAGTGCAATTATCCCCTTGCAGTTTCTACAAAAAGAGTGTTTCAAACCTGAACTATCAAAGAAAGGTTCCACACTGTGAGTTGAATGCAGACATCACGAAGAAGGTTCTGAGAATGCTTCTGTTTAGTCAGCTGAAATTATCCCGTTTCCAACGAATTCCTCAGAGAGGTCCAAATATGCACTTGCAGATTCTGCAGAAAGTGTGTTTCTAAACTGCTACATCGCAAGGAATGCTCAGCTCTGTGAGTTCCACTCAATCATCCCAAAGAATTTTCTGAGAAAGCTTCTGTCTAGATGTCGTGTGAAGATATACCCGTTTCGAACGAAGGACACAGAGTGGTCCAAATATCCACTTGTAGATCCTGCAAAAAGAGTGTTTCAAACGTGAACTTTGAAAGGAAAGTTCAACTCTGGGATTTGAATGCAAACATCACAAAGAAGTTTCTGAGACTGCTTCTGTATAGTTTTTATGTGAAGATGATTCCGTTTCCAACGAAATCTTCAAAGAGGTCTACATGTCCCCTTGCAGATGCCACAGAAAGAGAGTTTCAAAACTGCGCTCTCAAAAGGAGTGTTCAACTCCGTGAGTTGAATGCAGTCATCACAGAGAAGCTTCTGAGAATGCTTCTATCTAGTATTTAGGTGAAGATATTTCCTTTTCCACCACAAACCACAAAGCCCTCCAAACGTCCACTTGCAGATTCTAGAAAAAGAGTGTTTCATAGCTGCTCTTTCCAAAGGAAAGTTCAACTCTGGGAGTTGAATACAAACATCACCAAAAGGTTCCTGAGAATGCATCTGTCTAGTTTTTCTATGAAGCTATTCCCTTTACTACCATAGGCCTCAAAGCGCTCCAAATCTCCACTTGCACATTCCACAACAAGAGTGTTTCCAAACTGCTCTATCAATAGGAATGTTCAACTCTGTGAGGTGAATGCAATCATCACAAAGCAGTTTCTGAGAATGCTTCCGTTTAGTTAGGTGCAGTTATCCCGTTTCCAACGAAATCCTCAGAGAGGTCCAAATATCCACTTGTAGATTCTACAAAAAGTGTGTCTCAAACCTGCTCCATCCAAAGGAATGGTCAGCTCTGTGATTTAAACTCAATCATCACAAAGTATTTTCTGAGAATGCTTCTGTCTAGATTTTATGCGAAGATATACCCGTTTCGAACGAAGGCCACAGAGTGGTCCAAATAGCCACTTGCAGATCCTACAGAAAGAGTGTTTCAAACCTGAACTATCAAAGGAAGGTTCAACTCTGGGATTTGAATGCAAACATCACCAAGAAGTTTCTGAGAATGCTTCTGTTTAGTTTTTATGTGAAGATATTCCCGTTTCCAAAGACATCTTCGGAGAGGTCCACATATCCACTTGCAGATTCCACAAAAAGAGAGTTTCAACACTGCTCTATCCATAGGAGGGTTCAACTCTGTGAGTTGAATGCAATCATCACAGAGAAGTTTCTGAGAAGGCTTCTCTCCAGTTTTTATGTGACCATAATTCGTTTTCCACCACAGGCCTGAAAGCGCTCCAAATGTCCACTTGCAGACACTACGAAAAGCATGTTTCAGAACTACTCTATGAAAAGCAACGTGAAACTCTGGGAGTTGAACACAAACATCACAGAGAAGTTTCTGAGAATGCTTCTGTTTAGCTTTTCTGTGAAGATTCTCCCGTTTCCAACGAAATCTTCAAAGAGGTCGAAATATCCACTTGCAGATTCCACAGAAAGAGTGATTGGAAACTGCTGTTTGAAAAGGAACCTTCAACTCTGTGAGTTGAATGCAGTCATCACAAAGAAGTTTCTGACAATGCTTCTATCTAGCTTTTACGGGAAGATAATTCCTTTTCCACCACAGGCCTCAAAGCTCCCCAAATGTCCACTTGCACATTCTGGAAAAAGAGTGTTTCAAAGCTTCTCTCTCGAAAGGAAAGTTCAACTCTGTGAGTTGAATGCAAGCATCACAAAGAAGTTTCTGAGAATGCTACTGTCTAGCTTTTATATGAAGCTATTTCCTTTACTACCATAGGCCTCAAAGCGGTCCATATCTCCACTTCCAGATTCTACACAAAGAGAGTTTCCAAACTGCTCTGTCAAAGGGAATGTTCAACTCTGTGACTTGAATGCAATCATCACAAAGTAGTTTCTGAGAATGCTTCTGTTTAGTTCTGTGCGGTTTATCCCGTTTCCAACGAAATCCTCAGAGAGGCCCAAATATCCACTTGCACATTCTACAAATAGTGTGTTTCGAATCTGCTCCATCCAAAGGAATGTTCAGCTCTGTGAGTTAAACTCAGTCGTCACCAAGAGTTTTCTGTGAATGCTTCTGTTTTAGTTCTGTGCGGGTTATCCCGTTTCCAACGAAATCCTCAGAGAGGTCCAAATATCTACTTGCAGTTTCTACAGAAAGACCGTTTCAAACCTGAACTATCAAAGAAAGGTTCCACACTGTGAGTTGAATGCAAACATCACGAAGAAGGTTCTGAGAATGCTTCCGTTTTAGTTCCGTGCGGTTTATCCCGTTTCCAACGAAATCCTCAGAGAGGACCAAATATCCACTTGCAGTTTCTACAAAAAGAGTGTTTCAAAGCTGCACTATCAAAGAAAGGTTCAGCACTGTGAGTTGAATGCAAACATCACGAAGAGGGTTCTGAGAACGCTTCTGTTTAGTTCTGTGCGGTTTATCCCGTTTCCAACGAAATCCTCAGAGAGGACCAAATATCCACTTGCAGTTTCTACAAGAAGAGTGTTTCAAAGCTGAACTATCAAAGAAAGGTTCAGCACTTGTGAGTTGAATGCAAACATCACGAAGAGGGTTCTGAGAATGCTTCTGTCTTCTTTCTATAGGAAGTTATTTCCTTTACTACGGTAGGCCTCAAAGAAGTGCAATTATCCCCTTGCAGTTTCTACAAAAAGAGTGTTTCAAACCTGAACTATCAAAGAAAGGTTCCACACTGTGAGTTGAATGCAGACATCACGAAGAAGGTTCTGAGAATGCTTCTGTTTAGTCAGCTGAAATTATCCCGTTTCCAACGAATTCCTCAGAGAGGTCCAAATATGCACTTGCAGATTCTGCAGAAAGTGTGTTTCTAAACTGCTACATCGCAAGGAATGTTCAGCTCTGTGAGTTCCACTCAATCATCCCAAAGAATTTTCTGAGAAAGCTTCTGTCTAGATGTCGTGTGAAGATATACCCGTTTCGAACGAAGGACACAGAGTGGTCCAAATATCCACTTGTAGATCCTGCAAAAAGAGTGTTTCAAACGTGAACTTTGAAAGGAAAGTTCAACTCTGGGATTTGAATGCAAACATCACAAAGAAGATTCTGAGACTGCTTCTGTATAGTTTTTATGTGAAGATGATTCCGTTTCCAACGAAATCTTCAAAGAGGTCTACATGTCCCCTTGCAGATGCCACAGAAAGAGAGTTTCAAAACTGCGCTCTCAAAAGGAGTGTTCAACTCCGTGAGTTGAATGCAGTCATCACAGAGAAGCTTCTGAGAATGCTTCTATCTAGTATTTAGGTGAAGATATTTCCTTTTCCACCACAAACCACAAAGCCCTCCAAACGTCCACTTGCAGATTCTAGAAAAAGAGTGTTTCATAGCTGCTCTTTCCAAAGGAAAGTTCAACTCTGGGAGTTGAATACAAACATCACCAAAAAGTTCCTGAGAATGCATCTGTCTAGTTTTTCTATGAAGCTATTCCCTTTACTACCATAGGCCTCAAAGCGCTCCAAATCTCCACTTGCACATTCCACAACAAGAGTGTTTCCAAACTGCTCTATCAATAGGAATGTTCAACTCTGTGAGGTGAATGCAATCATCACAAAGCAGTTTCTGAGAATGCTTCCGTTTAGTTAGGTGCAGTTATCCCGTTTCCAACGAAATCCTCAGAGAGGTCCAAATATCCACTTGTAGATTCTACAAAAGGTGTGTCTCAAACCTGCTCCATCCAAAGGAATGTTCAGCTCTGTGAGTTAAACTCAATCATCACAAAGTATTTTCTGAGAATGCTTCTGTCTAGATTTTATGCGAAGATGTACCCGTTTCGAACGAAGGCCACAGAGTGGTCCAAATATCCACTTGCAGATCCTACAAAAAGAGTGTTTCAAACCTGAACTATCAAAGGAAGGTTCAACTCTGGGATTTGAATGCAAACATCACCAAGAAGTTTCTGAGAATGCTTCTGTTTAGTTTTTATGTGAAGATATTCCCGTTTCCAAAGACATCTTCGGAGAGGTCCACATATCCACTTGCAGATTCCACAAAAAGAGAGTTTCAACACTGCTCTATCCATAGGAGGGTTCAACTCTGTGAGTTGAATGCAATCATCACAGAGAAGTTTCTGAGAAGGCTTCTCTCCAGTTTTTATGTGACCATAATTCGTTTTCCACCACAGGCCTGAAAGCGCTCCAAATGTCCACTTGTAGACACTACGAAAAGCATGTTTCAGAACTACTCTATGAAAAGCAATGTGAAACTCTGGGAGTTGAACACAAACATCACAGAGAAGTTTCTGAGAATGCTTCTGTTTAGCTTTCCTGTGAAGATTCTCCCGTTTCCAACGAAATCTTCAAAATAGGTCCAAATATCCACTTGCAGATTCCACAGAAAGAGTGATTGGAAACTGCTCTTTGAAAAGGAACCTTCAACTCTGTGAGTTGAATGCAATCATCACAAAGAAGTTTCTGACAATGCTTCTATCTAGCTTTTACGGGAAGATAATTCCTTTTCCACCACAGGCCTCAAAGCCCTCCAAATGTCCACTTGCAGATTCTGGAAAAAGAGTGTTTCAAAGCTTCTCTCTCGAAAGGAAAGTTCAACTCTGTGAGTTGAATGCAAGCATCACAAAGAAGTTTCTGAGAATGCTACTGTCTAGCTTTTATATGAAGCTATTTCCTTTACTACCATAGGCCTCAAAGCGGTCCATATCTCCACTTGCAGATTCTACACAAAGAGAGTTTCCAAACTGCTCTGTCAAAGGGAATGTTCAACTCTGTGACTTGAATGCAATCATCACAAAGTAGTTTCTGAGAATGCTTCTGTTTACTTCTGTGCGGTTTATCCCGTTTCCAACGAAATCCTCAGAGAGGCCCAAATATCCACTTGCAGATTCTACAAATAGTGTGTTTCGAAACTGCTCCATCCAAAGGAATGTTCAGCTCTGTGAGTTAAACTCAGTCGTCACCAAGAGTTTTCTGTGAATGCTTCTGTTGTAGTTCTGTGCGGTTTATCCCGTTTCCAACGAAATCCTCAGAGAGGTCCAAATATCTACTTGCAGTTTCTACAGAAAGACCGTTTCAAACCTGAACTATCAAAGAAAGGTTCAACACTGTGAGTTGAATGCAAACATCACGAAGAAGGTTCTGAGAATGCTTCTGTTTAGTTCTGTGCGGTTTATCCCGTTTCCAACGAAATCCTCAGAGAGGACCAAATATCCACTTGCAGTTTCTACAAAAAGAGTGTTTCAAAGCTGAACTATCAAAGAAAGGTTCAGCACCGTGAGTTGAATGCAAACATCACGAAGAGGGTTCTGAGAATGCTTCTGTCTTCTTTTTATAGGAAGTTATTTCCTTTACTACGGTAGGCCTCAAAGAAGTGCAATGATCCCCTTGCAGTTTCTACAAAAAGAGTGATTCAAACCTGAACTATCAAAGAAAGGTTCCACACTGTGAGTTGAATGCAGACATCACGAAGAAGGTTCTGAGAATGCTTCTGTTTAGTCAGCTGAAATTATCCCGTTTCCAACGAATTCCTCAGAGAGGTCCACATATGCACTTGCAGATTCTGCAGAAAGTGTGTTTCTAAACTGCTACATCGCAAGGAGTGTTCAGCTCTGTTTGCTCAACTCAATCATCACAAAGAATTTTCTGAGAAAGCTTCTGTCTAGATGTCATGTGAAGATATACCCGTTTCGAACGAAGGACACAGAGTGGTCCAAATATCCACTTGTAGATCCTGCAAAAAGAGTGTTTCAAACGTGAACTTTGAAAGGAAAGTTCAACTCTGGGATTTGAATGCAAACATCACAAAGAAGATTCTGAGACTGCTTCTGTATAGTTTTTATGTGAAGATGATTCCGTTTCCAACGAAATCTTCAAAGAGGTCTACATGTCCCCTTGCAGATGCCACAGAAAGAGAGTTTCAAAACTGCGCTCTCAAAAGGAGTGTTCAACTCCGTGAGTTGAATGCAGTCATCACAGAGAAGCTTCTGAGAATGCTTCTCTCTAGTATTTAGGTGAAGATATTTCCTTTTCCACCACAAACCACAAAGCCCTCCAAACGTCCACTTGCAGATTCTAGAAAAAGAGTGTTTCATAGCTGCTCTTTCCAAAGGAAAGTTCAACTCTGGGAGTTGAATACAAACATCACCAAAAAGTTCCTGAGAATGCATCTGTCTAGTTTTTCTATGAAGCTATTCCCTTTACTACCATAGGCCCCAAAGCGCTCCAAATCTCCACTTGCACATTCCACAAGAAGAGTGTTTCCAAACTGCTCTATCAATACGAATGTTCAACTCTGTGAGGTGAATGCAATCATCACAAAGCAGTTTCTGAGAATGCTTCCGTTTAGTTAGGTGCAGTTATCCCGTTTCCAACGAAATCCTCAGAGAGGTCCAAATATCCACTTGTAGATTCTACAAAAAGTGTGTCTCAAACGTGCTCCATCCAAAGGAATGTTCAGCTCTGTGAGTTAAACTCAATCATCACAAAGTATTTTCTGAGAATGCTTCTGTCTAGATTTTATGCGAAGATGTACCCGTTTCGAACGAAGGCCACAGAGTGGTCCAAATATCCACTTGCAGATCCTACAAAAAGAGTGTTTCAAACCTGAACTATCAAAGGAAGGTTCAACTCTGGGATTTGAATGCAAACATCACCAAGAAGTTTCTGAGAATGCTTCCGTTTAGTTTTTATGTGAAGATATTCCCGTTTCCAAAGACATCTTCGGAGAGGTCCACATATCCACTTGCAGATTCCACAAAAAGAGCGTTTCAACACTGCTCTATCCATAGGAGGGTTCAACTCTGTGAGTTGAATGCAATCATCACAGAGAAGTTTCTGAGAAGGCTTCTCTCCAGTTTTTATGTGACCATAATTCGTTTTCCACCACAGGCCTGAAAGCGCTCCAAATGTCCACTTGCAGACACTACGAAAAGCATGTTTCAGAACTACTCTATGAAAAGCAATGTGAAACTCTGGGAGTTGAACACAAACATCACAGAGAAGTTTCTGAGAATGCTTCTGTTTAGCTTTTCTGTGAAGATTCTCCCGTTTCCAACGAAATCTTCAAAGAGGTCCAAATATCCACTTGCAGATTCCACAGAAAGAGTGATTGGAAACTGCTCTTTGAAAAGGAACCTTCAACTCTGTGAGTTGAATGCAATCATCACAAAGAAGTTTCTGACAATGCTTCTATCTAGCTTTTACGGGAAGTTAATTCCTTTTCCACCACAGGCCTCAAAGCCCTCCAAATGTCCACTTGCAGATTCTGGAAAAAGAGTGTTTCAAAGCTTCTCTCTCGAAAGGAAAGTTCAACTCTGTGAGTTGAATGCAAGCATCACAAAGAAGTTTCTGAGAATGCTACTGTCTAGCTTTTATATGAAGCTATTTCCTTTACTACCATAGTCCTCAAAGCATTCCATATCTCCACTTGCAGATTCTACACAAAGAGAGTTTCCAAACTCCTCTATCAATAGGAATGTTCAACTCTGTGAGGTGAATGCAATCATCACAAAGCAGTTTCTGAGAATGCTTCTGTTTAGTTCTGTGCGGTTTATCCCGTTTCCAACGAAATCCTCAGAGAGGCCCAAATATCCACTTGCACATTCTACAAATAGTGTGTTTCGAAACTGCTCCATCTAAAGGAATGTTCAGCTCTGTGAGTTAAACTCAGTCGTCAGCAAGAGTTTTCTGTGAATGCTTCTGTTTTAGTTCTGTGCGGTTTATCCCGTTTCCAACGAAATCCTCAGAGAGGTCCAAATATCTACTTGCAGTTTCTACAGAAAGACCGTTTCAAACCTGAACTATCAAAGAAAGGTTCAACACTGTGAGTTGAATGCAAACATCACGAAGAAGGTTCTGAGAATGCTTCTGTTTAGTTCTGTGCGGTTTATCACGTTTCCAACGAAATCCTCAGAGAGGACCAAATATCCACTTGCAGTTTCTCCAAGAAGAGTGTTTCAAAGCTGAACTATCAAAGAAAGTTTCAGCACTGTGAGTTGAATGCAAACATCACGAAGAGGGTTCTGAGAATGCTTCTGTCTTCTTTCTATAGGAAGTTATTTCCTTTACTACAGTAGGCCTCAAAGAAGTGCAATTATCCCCTTGCAGTTTCTACAAAAAGAGTGTTTCAAACCTGAACTATCAGAGAAAGGTTCCACACTATGAGTTGAATGCAGACATCACGAAGAAGGTTCTGAGAATGCTTCTGTTTAGTCAGCTGAAATTATCCCGTTTCCAACGAATTCCTCAGGGAGGTCCACATATGCACTTGCAGATTCTGCAGAAAGTGTGTTTCTAAACTGCTACATCGCAAGGAGTGTTCAGCTCTGTTTGCTCAACTCAATCATCCCAAAGAATTTTCTGAGGAAGCTTCTGTCTAGATGTCGTGTGAAGATATACCCGTTTCGAACGAAGGACACAGAGTGGTCCAAATATCCACTTGTAGATCCTGCAAAAAGAGTGTTTCAAACGTGAACTTTGAAAGGAAAGTTCAACTCTGGGATTTGAATGCAAACATCACAAAGAAGATTCTGAGACTGCTTCTGTATAGTTTTTATGTGAAGATGATTCCGTTTCCAACGAAATCTTCAAAGAGGTCTACATGTCCCCTTGCAGATGCCACAGAAAGAGAGTTTCAAAACTGCGCTCTCAAAAGGAGTGTTCAACTCCGTGAGTTGAATGCAGTCATCACAGAGAAGCTTCTGAGAATGCTTCTGTCTAGTATTTAGGTGAAGATATTTCCTTTTCCACCACAAACCACAAAGCCCTCCAAACGTCCACTTGCAGATTCTAGAAAAAGAGTGTTTCATAGCTGCTCTTTCCAAAGGAAAGTTCAACTCTGGGAGTTGAATACAAACATCACCAAAAAGTTCCTGAGAATGCATCTGTCTAGTTTTTCTATGAAGCTATTCCCTTTACTACCATAGGCCTCAAAGCGCTCCAAATCTCCACTTGCACATTCCACAACAAGAGTGTTTCCAAACTGCTCTATCAATAGGAATGTTCAACTCTGTGAGGTGAATGCAATCATCACAAAGCAGTTTCTGAGAATGCTTCCGTTTAGTTAGGTGCAGTTATCCCGTTTCCAACGAAATCCTCAGAGAGGTCCAAATATCCACTTGTAGATTCTACAAAAAGTGTGTCTCAAACCTGCTCCATCCAAAGGAATGGTCAGCTCTGTGATTTAAACTCAATCATCACAAAGTATTTTCTGAGAATGCTTCTGTCTAGATTTTATGCGAAGATATACCCGTTTCGAACGAAGGCCACAGAGTGGTCCAAATAGCCACTTGCAGATCCTACAGAAAGAGTGTTTCAAACCTGAACTATCAAAGGAAGGTTCAACTCTGGGATTTGAATGCAAACATCACCAAGAAGTTTTCTGAGAATGCTTCTGTTTAGTTTTTATGTGAAGATATTCCCGTTTCCAAAGACATCTTCGGAGAGGTCCACATATCCACTTGCAGATTCCACAAAAAGAGAGTTTCAACACTGCTCTATCCATAGGAGGGTTCAACTCTGTGAGTTGAATGCAATCATCACAGAGAAGTTTCTGAGAAGGCTTCTCTCCAGTTTTTATGTGACCATAATTCGTTTTCCACCACAGGCCTGAAAGCGCTCCAAATGTCCACTTGCAGACACTACGAAAAGCATGTTTCAGAACTACTCTATGAAAAGCAACGTGAAACTCTGGGAGTTGAACACAAACATCACAGAGAAGTTTCTGAGAATGCTTCTGTTTAGCTTTTCTGTGAAGATTCTCCCGTTTCCAACGAAATCTTCAAAGAGGTCGAAATATCCACTTGCAGATTCCACAGAAAGAGTGATTGGAAACTGTTGTTTGAAAAGGAACCTTCAACTCTGTGAGTTGAATGCAATCATCACAAAGAAGTTTCTGACAATGCTTCTATCTAGCTTTTACGGGAAGATAATTCCTTTTCCACCACAGGCCTCAAAGCTCCCCAAATGTCCACTTGCACATTCTGGAAAAAGAGTGTTTCAAAGCTTCTCTCTCGAAAGGAAAGTTCAACTCTGTGAGTTGAATGCAAGCATCACAAAGAAGTTTCTGAGAATGCTACTGTCTAGCTTTTATATGAAGCTATTTCCTTTACTACCATAGGCCTCAAAGCGGTCCATATCTCCACTTGCAGATTCTACACAAAGAGAGTTTCCAAACTGCTCTGTCAAAGGGAATGTTCAACTCTGTGACTTGAATGCAATCATCACAAAGTAGTTTCTGAGAATGCTTCTGTTTTAGTTCTGTGCGTTTTATCCCGTTTCCAACGAAATCCTCAGAGAGGCCCAAATATCCACTTGCAGATTCTACAAATAGTGTGTTTCGAAACTGCTCCATCCAAAGGAATGTTCAGCTCTGTGAGTTAAACTCAGTCGTCACCAAGAGTTTTCTGTGAATGCTTCTGTTTTAGTTCTGTGCGGTTTATCCCGTTTCCAACAAAATCCTCAGAGAGGACCAAATATCCACTTGCAGTTTCTACAAAAAGAGTGTTTCAAAGCTGCACTATCAAAGAAAGGTTCAGCACTGTGAGTTGAATGCAAACATCACGAAGAGGGCTCTGAGAATTCTTCTGTTTAGTTCTGTGCGGTTTATCCCGTTTCCAACGAAATCCTCAGAGAGGACCAAATATCCACTTGCAGTTTCTACAAGAAGAGTGTTTCAAAGCTGAACTATCAAAGAAAGGTTCAGCACTGTGAGTTGAATGCAAACATCACGAAGAGGGTTCTGAGAATGCTTCTGTCTTCTTTTTATAGGAAGTTATTTCCTTTACTACGGTAGGCCTCAAAGAAGTGCAATTATCCCCTTGCAGTTTCTACAAAAAGAGTGTTTCAAACCTGAACTATCAAAGAAAGGTTCCACACTGTGAGTTGAATGCAGACATCACGAAGAAGGTTCTGAGAATGCTTCTGTTTAGTCAGCTGAAATTATCCCGTTTCCAACGAATTCCTCAGAGAGGTCCAAATATGCACTTGCAGATTCTGCAGAAAGTGTGTTTCTAAACTGCTACATCGCAAGGAATGTTCAGCTCTGTGAGTTCAACTCAATCATCGCAAAGAATTTTCTGAGAAAGCTTCTGTCTAGATGTCATGTGAAGATATACCCGTTTCGAACGAAGGACACAGAGTGGTCCAAATATCCACTTGTAGATCCTGCAAAAAGAGTGTTTCAAACGTGAACTTTGAAAGGAAAGTTCAACTCTGGGATTTGAATGCAAACATCACAAAGAAGATTCTGAGACTGCTTCTGTATAGTTTTGATGTGAAGATGATTCCGTTTCCAACGAAATCTTCAAAGAGGTCTACATGTCCCCTTGCAGATGCCACAGAAAGAGAGTTTCAAAACTGCGCTCTCAAAAGGAGTGTTCAACTCCGTGAGTTGAATGCAGTCATCACAGAGAAGCTTCTGAGAATGCTTCTATCTAGTATTTAGGTGAAGATATTTCCTTTTCCACCACAAACCACAAAGCCCTCCAAACGTCCACTTGCAGATTCTAGAAAAAGAGTGTTTCATAGCTGCTCTTTCCAAAGGAAAGTTCAACTCTGGGAGTTGAATACAAACATCACCAAAAAGTTCCTGAGAATGCATCTGTCTAGTTTTTCTATGAAGCTATTCCCTTTACTACCATAGGCCTCAAAGCGCTCCAAATCTCCACTTGCACATTCCACAACAAGAGTGTTTCCAAACTGCTCTATCAATAGAGAATGTTCAACTCTGTGAGGTGAATGCAATCATCACAAAGCAGTTTCTGAGAATGCTTCCGTTTAGTTAGGTGCAGTTATCCCGTTTCCAACGAAATCCTCAGAGAGGTCCAAATATCCACTTGTAGATTCTACAAAAAGTGTGTCTCAAACCTGCTCCATCCAAAGGAATGGTCAGCTCTGTGATTTAAACTCAATCATCACAAAGTATTTTCTGAGAATGCTTCTGTCTAGATTTTATGCGAAGATATACCCGTTTCGAACGAAGGCCACAGAGTGGTCCAAATAGCCACTTGCAGATCCTACAAAAAGAGTGTTTCAAACCTGAACTATCAAAGGAAGGTTCAACTCTGGGATTTGAATGCAAACATCACCAAGAAGTTTCTGAGAATGCTTCTGTTTAGTTTTTATGTGAAGATATTCCCGTTTCCAAAGACATCTTCGGAGAGGTCCACATATCCAATTGCAGATTCCACAAAAAGAGAGTTTCAACACTGCTCTATCCATAGGAGGGTTCAACTCTGTGAGTTGAATGCAATCATCACAGAGAAGTTTCTGAGAAGGCTTCTCTCCAGTTTTTATGTGACCATAATTCGTTTTCCACCACAGGCCTGAAAGCGCTCCAAATGTCCACTTGCAGACACTACGAAAAGCATGTTTCAGAACTACTCTATGAAAAGCAACGTGAAACTCTGGGAGTTGAACACAAACATCACAGAGAAGTTTCTGAGAATGCTTCTGTTTTAGTTCTGTGCGTTTTATCCCGTTTCCAACGAAATCCTCAGAGAGGCCCAAATATCCACTTGCAGATTCCACAGAAAGAGTGATTGGAAACTGCTGTTTGAAAAGGAACCTTCAACTCTGTGAGTTGAATGCAATCATCACAAAGAAGTTTCTGACAATGCTTCTGTTTTAGTTCTGTGCGGTTTATCCCGTTTCCAACGAAATCCTCAGAGAGGACCAAACATCCACTTGCAGTTTCTACAAAAAGAGTGTTTCAAAGCTGCACTATCAAAGAAAGGTTCAGCACTGTGAGTTGAATGCAAACATCACGAAGAGGGCTCTGAGAATTCTTCTGTTTAGTTCTGTGCGGTTTATCCCGTTTCCAACGAAATCCTCAGAGAGGACCAAATATCCACTTGCAGTTTCTACAAGAAGAGTGTTTCAAAGCTGAACTATCAAAGAAAGGTTCAGCACTGTGAGTTGAATGCAAACATCACGAAGAGGGTTCTGAGAATGCTTCTGTCTTCTTTCTATAGGAAGTTATTTCCTTTACTACGGTAGGCCTCAAAGAAGTGCAATTATCCCCTTGCAGTTTCTACAAAAAGAGTGTTTCAAACCTGAACTATCAAAGAAAGGTTCCACACTGTGAGTTGAATGCAGACATCACGAAGAAGGTTCTGAGAATGCTTCTGTTTAGTCAGCTGAAATTATCCCGTTTCCAACGAATTCCTCAGAGAGGTCCAAATATGCACTTGCAGATTCTGCAGAAAGTGTGTTTCTAAACTGCTACATCGCAAGGAATGTTCAGCTCTGTGAGTTCCACTCAATCATCCCAAAGAATTTTCTGAGAAAGCTTCTGTCTAGATGTCGTGTGAAGATATACCCGTTTCGAACGAAGGACACAGAGTGGTCCAAATATCCACTTGTAGATCCTGCAAAAAGAGTGTTTCAAACGTGAACTTTGAAAGGAAAGTTCAACTCTGGGATTTGAATGCAAACATCACAAAGAAGATTCTGAGACTGCTTCTGTATAGTTTTTATGTGAAGATGATTCCGTTTCCAACGAAATCTTCAAAGAGGTCTACATGTCCCCTTGCAGATGCCACAGAAAGAGAGTTTCAAAACTGCGCTCTCAAAAGGAGTGTTCAACTCCGTGAGTTGAATGCAGTCATCACAGAGAAGCTTCTGAGAATGCTTCTATCTAGTATTTAGGTGAAGATATTTCCTTTTCCACCACAAACCACAAAGCCCTCCAAACGTCCACTTGCAGATTCTAGAAAAAGAGTGTTTCATAGCTGCTCTTTCCAAAGGAAAGTTCAACTCTGGGAGTTGAATACAAACATCACCAAAAAGTTCCTGAGAATGCATCTGTCTAGTTTTTCTATGAAGCTATTCCCTTTACTACCACAGGCCTCAAAGCGCTCCAAATCTCCACTTGCACATTCCACAACAAGAGTGTTTCCAAACTGCTCTATCAATAGGAATGTTCAACTCTGTGAGGTGAATGCAATCATCACAAAGCAGTTTCTGAGAATGCTTCCGTTTAGTTAGGTGCAGTTATCCCGTTTCCAACGAAATCCTCAGAGAGGTCCAAATATCCACTTGTAGATTCTACAAAAAGTGTGTCTCAAACCTGCTCCATCCAAAGGAATGGTCAGCTCTGTGATTTAAACTCAATCATCACAAAGTATTTTCTGAGAATGCTTCTGTCTAGATTTTATGCGAAGATATACCCGTTTCGAACGAAGGCCACAGAGTGGTCCAAATAGCCACTTGCAGATCCTACAGAAAGAGTGTTTCAAACCTGAACTATCAAAGGAAGGTTCAACTCTGGGATTTGAATGCAAACATCACCAAGAAGTTTCTGAGAATGCTTCTGTTTAGTTTTTATGTGAAGATATTCCCGTTTCCAAAGACATCTTCGGAGAGGTCCACATATCCACTTGCAGATTCCACAAAAAGAGAGTTTCAACACTGCTCTATCCATAGGAGGGTTCAACTCTGTGAGTTGAATGCAATCATCACAGAGAAGTTTCTGAGAAGGCTTCTCTCCAGTTTTTATGTGACCATAATTCGTTTTCCACCACAGGCCTGAAAGCGCTCCAAATGTCCACTTGCAGACACTACGAAAAGCATGTTTCAGAACTACTCTATGAAAAGCAACGTGAAACTCTGGGAGTTGAACACAAACATCACAGAGAAGTTTCTGAGAATGCTTCTGTTTTAGTTCTGTGCGTTTTATCCCGTTTCCAACGAAATCCTCAGAGAGGCCCAAATATCCACTTGCAGATTCCACAGAAAGAGTGATTGGAAACTGCTGTTTGAAAAGGAACCTTCAACTCTGTGAGTTGAATGCAATCATCACAAAGAAGTTTCTGACAATGCTTCTGTTTTAGTTCTGTGCGGTTTATCCCGTTTCCAACGAAATCCTCAGAGAGGACCAAACATCCACTTGCAGTTTCTACAAAAAGAGTGTTTCAAAGCTGCACTATCAAAGAAAGGTTCAGCACTGTGAGTTGAATGCAAACATCACGAAGAGGGCTCTGAGAATTCTTCTGTTTAGTTCTGTGCGGTTTATCCCGTTTCCAACGAAATCCTCAGAGAGGACCAAATATCCACTTGCAGTTTCTACAAGAAGAGTGTTTCAAAGCTGAACTATCAAAGAAAGGTTCAGCACTGTGAGTTGAATGCAAACATCACGAAGAGGGTTCTGAGAATGCTTCTGTCTTCTTTCTATAGGAAGTTATTTCCTTTACTACGGTAGGCCTCAAAGAAGTGCAATTATCCCCTTGCAGTTTCTACAAAAAGAGTGTTTCAAACCTGAACTATCAAAGAAAGGTTCCACACTGTGAGTTGAATGCAGACATCACGAAGAAGGTTCTGAGAATGCTTCTGTTTAGTCAGCTGAAATTATCCCGTTTCCAACGAATTCCTCAGAGAGGTCCAAATATGCACTTGCAGATTCTGCAGAAAGTGTGTTTCTAAACTGCTCCATCGCAAGGAATGTTCAGCTCTGTGAGTTCCACTCAATCATCCCAAAGAATTTTCTGAGAAAGCTTCTGTCTAGATGTCATGTGAAGATATACCCGTTTCGAACGAAGGACACAGAGTGGTCCAAATATCCACTTGTAGATCCTGCAAAAAGAGTGTTTCAAACGTGAACTTTGAAAGGAAAGTTCAACTCTGGGATTTGAATGCAAACATCACAAAGAAGATTCTGAGACTGCTTCTGTATAGTTTTTATGTGAAGATGATTCCGTTTCCAACGAAATCTTCAAAGAGGTCTACATGTCCCCTTGCAGATGCCACAGAAACAGAGTTTCAAAACTGCGCTCTCAAAAGGAGTGTTCAACTCCGTGAGTTGAATGCAGTCATCACAGAGAAGCTTCTGAGAATGCTTCTATCTAGTATTTAGGTGAAGATATTTCCTTTTCCACCACAAACCACAAAGCCCTCCAAACGTCCACTTGCAGATTCTAGAAAAAGAGTGTTTCATAGCTGCTCTTTCCAAAGGAAAGTTCAACTCTGGGAGTTGAATACAAACATCACCAAAAAGTTCCTGAGAATGCATCTGTCTAGTTTTTCTATGAAGCTATTTCCTTTACTACCATAGGCCTCAAAGCGCTCCAAATCTCCACTTGCACATTCCACAACAAGAGGGTTTCCAAACTGCTCTATCAATAGGAATGGTCAACTCTGTGAGGTGAATGCAATCATCACAAAGCAGTTTCTGAGAATGCTTCCGTTTAGTTAGGTGCAGTTATCCCGTTTCCAACGAAATCCTCAGAGAGGTCCAAATATCCACTTGTAGATTCTACAAAAAGTGTGTCTCAAACCTGCTCCATCCAAAGGAATGTTCAGCTCTGTGAGTTAAACTCAATCATCACAAAGTATTTTCTGAGAATGCTTCTGTCTAGATTTTATGCGAAGATATACCCGTTTCGAACGAAGGCCACAGAGTGGTCCAAATAGCCACTTGCAGATCCTACAAAAAGAGTGTTTCAAACCTGAACTATCAAAGGAAGGTTCAAGTCTGGGATTTGAATGCAAACATCACCAAGAAGTTTCTGAGAATGCTTCTGTTTAGTTTTTATGTGAAGATATTCCCGTTTCCAAAGACATCTTCGGAGAGGTCCACATATCCACTTGCAGATTCCACAAAAAGAGAGTTTCAACACTGCTCTATCCATAGGAGGGTTCAACTCTGTGAGTTGAATGCAATCATCACAGAGAAGTTTCTGAGAAGGCTTCTCTCCAGTTTTTATGTGACCATAATTCGTTTTCCACCACAGGCCTGAAAGCGCTCCAAATGTCCACTTGCAGACACTACGAAAAGCATGTTTCAGAACTACTCTATGAAAAGCAACGTGAAACTCTGGGAGTTGAACACAAACATCACAGAGAAGTTTCTGAGAATGCTTCTGTTTTAGTTCTGTGCGTTTTATCCCGTTTCCAACGAAATCCTCAGAGAGGCCCAAATATCCACTTGCAGATTCCACAGAAAGAGTGATTGGAAACTGCTGTTTGAAAAGGAACCTTCAACTCTGTGAGTTGAATGCAATCATCACAAAGAAGTTTCTGACAATGCTTCTGTTTTAGTTCTGTGCGGTTTATCCCGTTTCCAACGAAATCCTCAGAGAGGACCAAACATCCACTTGCAGTTTCTACAAAAAGAGTGTTTCAAAGCTGCACTATCAAAGAAAGGTTCAGCACTGTGAGTTGAATGCAAACATCACGAAGAGGGCTCTGAGAATTCTTCTGTTTAGTTCTGTGCGGTTTATCCCGTTTCCAACGAAATCCTCAGAGAGGACCAAATATCCACTTGCAGTTTCTACAAGAAGAGTGTTTCAAAGCTGAACTATCAAAGAAAGGTTCAGCACTGTGAGTTGAATGCAAACATCACGAAGAGGGTTCTGAGAATGCTTCTGTCTTCTTTCTATAGGAAGTTATTTCCTTTACTACGGTAGGCCTCAAAGAAGTGCAATTATCCCCTTGCAGTTTCTACAAAAAGAGTGTTTCAAACCTGAACTATCAAAGAAAGGTTCCACACTGTGAGTTGAATGCAGACATCACGAAGAAGGTTCTGAGAATGCTTCTGTTTAGTCAGCTGAAATTATCCCGTTTCCAACGAATTCCTCAGAGAGGTCCAAATATGCACTTGCAGATTCTGCAGAAAGTGTGTTTCTAAACTGCTACATCGCAAGGAATGTTCAGCTCTGTGAGTTCCACTCAATCATCCCAAAGAATTTTCTGAGAAAGCTTCTGTCTAGATGTCATGTGAAGATATACCCGTTTCGAACGAAGGACACAGAGTGGTCCAAATATCCACTTGTAGATCCTGCAAAAAGAGTGTTTCAAACGTGAACTTTGAAAGGAAAGTTCAACTCTGGGATTTGAATGCAAACATCACAAAGAAGATTCTGAGACTGCTTCTGTATAGTTTTTATGTGAAGATGATTCCGTTTCCAACGAAATCTTCAAAGAGGTCTACATGTCCCCTTGCAGATGCCACAGAAAGAGAGTTTCAAAACTGCGCTCTCAAAAGGAGTGTTCAACTCCGTGAGTTGAATGCAGTCATCACAGAGAAGCTTCTGAGAATGCTTCTGTCTAGTATTTAGGTGAAGATATTTCCTTTTCCACCACAAACCACAAAGCCCTCCAAACGTCCACTTGCAGATTCTAGAAAAAGAGTGTTTCATAGCTGCTCTTTCCAAAGGAAAGTTCAACTCTGGGAGTTGAATACAAACATCACCAAAAAGTTCCTGAGAATGCATCTGTCTAGTTTTTCTATGAAGCTATTCCCTTTACTACCATAGACCTCAAAGCGCTCCAAATCTCCACTTGCACATTCCACAACAAGAGTGTTTCCAAACTGCTCTATCAATAGGAATGTTCAACTCTGTGAGGTGAATGCAATCATCACAAAGCAGTTTCTGAGAATGCTTCCGTTTAGTTAGGTGCAGTTATCCCGTTTCCAACGAAATCCTCAGAGAGGTCCAAATATCCACTTGTAGATTCTACAAAAAGTGTGTCTCAAACCTGCTCCATCCAAAGGAATGGTCAGCTCTGTGATTTAAACTCAATCATCACAAAGTATTTTCTGAGAATGCTTCTGTCTAGATTTTATGCGAAGATATACCCGTTTCGAACGAAGGCCACAGAGTGGTCCAAATAGCCACTTGCAGATCCTACAGAAAGAGTGTTTCAAACCTGAACTATCAAAGGAAGGTTCAACTCTGGGATTTGAATGCAAACATCACCAAGAAGTTTCTGAGAATGCTTCTGTTTAGTTTTTATGTGAAGATATTCCCGTTTCCAAAGACATCTTCGGAGAGGTCCACATATCCACTTGCAGATTCCACAAAAAGAGAGTTTCAACACTGCTCTATCCATAGGAGGGTTCAACTCTGTGAGTTGAATGCAATCATCACAGAGAAGTTTCTGAGAAGGCTTCTCTCCAGTTTTTATGTGACCATAATTCGTTTTCCACCACAGGCCTGAAAGCGCTCCAAATGTCCACTTGCAGACACTACGAAAAGCATGTTTCAGAACTACTCTATGAAAAGCAACGTGAAACTCTGGGAGTTGAACACAAACATCACAGAGAAGTTTCTGAGAATGCTTCTGTTTAGCTTTCCTGTGAAGATTCTCCCGTTTCCAATGAAATCTTCAAAATAGGTCCAAATATCCACTTGCAGATTCCACAGAAAGAGTGATTGGAAACTGCTCTTTGAAAAGGAACCTTCAACTCTGTGAGTTGAATGCAATCATCACAAAGAAGTTTCTGACAATGCTTCTATCTAGCTTTTACGGGAAGATAATTCCTTTTCCACCACAGGCCTCAAAGCCCTCCAAATGTCCACTTGCAGATTCTGGAAAAAGAGTGTTTCAAAGCTTCTCTCTCGAAAGGAAAGTTCAACTCTGTGAGTTGAATGCAAGCATCACAAAGAAGTTTCTGAGAATGCTACTGTCTAGCTTTTATATGAAGCTATTTCCTTTACTACCATAGGCCTCAAAGCGGTCCATATCTCCACTTGCAGATTCTACACAAAGAGAGTTTCCAAACTGCTCTGTCAAAGGGAATGTTCAACTCTGTGACTTGAATGCAATCATCACAAAGTAGTTTCTGAGAATGCTTCTGTTTAGTTCTGTGCGGTTTATCCCGTTTCCAACGAAATCCTCAGAGAGGCCCAAATATCCACTTGCACATCCTACAAATAGTGTGTTTCGAAACTGCTCCATCCAAAGGAATGTTCAGCTCTGTGAGTTAAACTCAGTCGTCACCAAGAGTTTTCTGTGAATGCTTCTGTTTTAGTTCTGTGCGGGTTATCCCGTTTCCAACGAAATCCTCAGAGAGGTCCAAATATCTACTTGCAGTTTCTACAGAAAGACCGTTTCAAACCTGAACTATCAAAGAAAGGTTCAACACTGTGAGTTGAATGCAAACATCACGAAGAAGGTTCTGAGAATGCTTCTGTTTAGTTCTGTGCAGTTTATCCCGTTTCCAACGAAATCCTCAGAGAGGACCAAATATCCACTTGCAGTTTCTACAAAAAGAGTGTTTCAAAGCTGAACTATCAAAGAAAGGTTCAGCACTGTGAGTTGAATGCAAACATCACGAAGAGGGTTCTGAGAATGCTTCTGTCTTCTTTTTATAGGAAGTTATTTCCTTTACTACGGTACTCCTCAAAGAGTGCAATTATCCCCTTGCAGTTTCTACAGAAAGAGTGTTTCAAACCTGAACTATCAAAGAAAGGTTCCACACTGTGAGTTGAATGCAGACATCACGAAGAAGGTTCTGAGAATGCTTCTGTTTAGTCAGCTGAAATTATCCCGTTTCCAACGAATTCCTCACAGAGGTCCAAATATGCACTTGCAGATTCTGCAGAAAGTGTGTTTCTAAACTGCTACATCGCAAGGAATGCTCAGCTCTGTGAGTTCAACTCAATCATCCCAAAGAATTTTCTGAGAAAGCTTCTGTCTAGATGTCATGTGAAGATATACCCGTTTCGAACGAAGGACACAGAGTGGTCCAAATATCCACTTGTAGATCCTGCAAAAAGAGTGTTTCAAACGTGAACTTTGAAAGGAAAGTTCAACTCGGGGATTTGAATGCAAACATCACAAAGAAGATTCTGAGACTGCTTCTGTATAGTTTTTATGTGAAGATGATTCCGTTTCCAACGAAATCTTCAAAGAGGTCTACATGTCCCCTTGCAGATGCCACAGAAAGAGAGTTTCAAAACTGCGCTCTCAAAAGGAGTGTTCAACTCCGTGAGTTGAATGCAGTCATCACAGAGAAGCTTCTGAGAATGCTTCTATCTAGTATTTAGGTGAAGATATTTCCTTTTCCACCACAAACCACAAAGCCCTGCAAACGTCCACTTGCAGATTCTAGAAAAAGAGTGTTTCATAGCTGCTCTTTCCAAAGGAAAGTTCAACTCTGGGAGTTGAATACAAACATCACCAAAAAGTTCCTGAGAATGCATCTGTCTAGTTTTACTATGAAGCTATTCCCTTTACTACCATAGGCCTCAAAGCGCTCCAAATCTCCACTTGCACATTCCACAACAAGAGTGTTTCCAAACTGCTCTATCAATAGGAATGTTCAACTCTGTGAGGTGAATGCAATCATCACAAAGCAGTTTCTGAGAATGCTCCGTTTAGTTAGGTGCAGTTATCCCGTTTCCAACGAAATCCTCAGAGAGGTCCAAATATCCACTTGTAGATTCTACAAAAAGTGTGTCTCAAACCTGCTCCATCCAAAGGAATGTTCAGCTCTGTGAGTTAAACTCAATCATCACAAAGTATATTCTGAGAATGCTCTCTGTCTAGATTTTATGCGAAGATATACCCGTTTCGAACGAAGGCCACAGAGTGGTCCAAATAGCCACTTGCAGATCCTACAGAAAGAGTGTTTCAAACCTGAACTATCAAAGGAAGGTTCAACTCTGGGATTTGAATGCAAACATCACCAAGAAGTTTCTGAGAATGCTTCTGTTTAGTTTTTATGTGAAGATATTCCCGTTTCCAAAGACATCTTCGGAGAGGTCCACATATCCACTTGCAGATTCCACAAAAAGAGAGTTTCAACACTGCTCTATCCATAGGAGGGTTCAACTCTGTGAGTTGAATGCAATCATCACAGAGAAGTTTCTGAGAAGGCTTCTCTCCAGTTTTTATGTGACCATAATTCGTTTTCCACCACAGGCCTGAAAGCGCTCCAAATGTCCACTTGCAGACACTACGAAAAGCATGTTTCAGAACTACTCTATGAAAAGCAACGTGAAACTCTGGGAGTTGAACACAAACATCACAGAGAAGTTTCTGAGAATGCTTCTGTTTTAGTTCTGTGCGTTTTATCCCGTTTCCAACGAAATCCTCAGAGAGGCCCAAATATCCACTTGCAGATTCCACAGAAAGAGTGATTGGAAACTGCTGTTTGAAAAGGAACCTTCAACTCTGTGAGTTGAATGCAATCATCACAAAGAAGTTTCTGACAATGCTTCTGTTTTAGTTCTGTGCGGTTTATCCCGTTTCCAACGAAATCCTCAGAGAGGACCAAACATCCACTTGCAGTTTCTACAAAAAGAGTGTTTCAAAGCTGCACTATCAAAGAAAGGTTCAGCACTGTGAGTTGAATGCAAACATCACGAAGAGGGCTCTGAGAATTCTTCTGTTTAGTTCTGTGCGGTTTATCCCGTTTCCAACGAAATCCTCAGAGAGGACCAAATATCCACTTGCAGTTTCTACAAGAAGAGTGTTTCAAAGCTGAACTATCAAAGAAAGGTTCAGCACTGTGAGTTGAATGCAAACATCACGAAGAGGGTTCTGAGAATGCTTCTGTCTTCTTTCTATAGGAAGTTATTTCCTTTACTACGGTAGGCCTCAAAGAAGTGCAATTATCCCCTTGCAGTTTCTACAAAAAGAGTGTTTCAAACCTGAACTATCAAAGAAAGGTTCCACACTGTGAGTTGAATGCAGACATCACGAAGAAGGTTCTGAGAATGCTTCTGTTTAGTCAGCTGAAATTATCCCGTTTCCAACGAATTCCTCAGAGAGGTCCAAATATGCACTTGCAGATTCTGCAGAAAGTGTGTTTCTAAACTGCTACATCGCAAGGAATGTTCAGCTCTGTGAGTTCCACTCAATCATCCCAAAGAATTTTCTGAGAAAGCTTCTGTCTAGATGTCGTGTGAAGATATACCCGTTTCGAACGAAGGACACAGAGTGGTCCAAATATCCACTTGTAGATCCTGCAAAAAGAGTGTTTCAAACGTGAACTTTGAAAGGAAAGTTCAACTCTGGGATTTGAATGCAAACATCACAAAGAAGATTCTGAGACTGCTTCTGTATAGTTTTTATGTGAAGATGATTCCGTTTCCAACGAAATCTTCAAAGAGGTCTACATGTCCCCTTGCAGATGCCACAGAAAGAGAGTTTCAAAACTGCGCTCTCAAAAGGAGTGTTCAACTCCGTGAGTTGAATGCAGTCATCACAGAGAAGCTTCTGAGAATGCTTCTATCTAGTATTTAGGTGAAGATATTTCCTTTTCCACCACAAACCACAAAGCCCTCCAAACGTCCACTTGCAGATTCTAGAAAAAGAGTGTTTCATAGCTGCTCTTTCCAAAGGAAAGTTCAACTCTGGGAGTTGAATACAAACATCACCAAAAAGTTCCTGAGAATGCATCTGTCTAGTTTTTCTATGAAGCTATTCCCTTTACTACCATAGGCCTCAAAGCGCTCCAAATCTCCACTTGCACATTCCACAACAAGAGTGTTTCCAAACTGCTCTATCAATAGGAATGTTCAACTCTGTGAGGTGAATGCAATCATCACAAAGCAGTTTCTGAGAATGCTTCCGTTTAGTTAGGTGCAGTTATCCCGTTTCCAACGAATCCTCAGAGAGGTCCAAATATCCACTTGTAGATTCTACAAAAAGTGTGTCTCAAACCTGCTCCATCCAAAGGAATGGTCAGCTCTGTGATTTAAACTCAATCATCACAAAGTATTTTCTGAGAATGCTTCTGTCTAGATTTTATGCGAAGATATACCCGTTTCGAACGAAGGCCACAGAGTGGTCCAAATAGCCACTTGCAGATCCTACAAAAAGAGTGTTTCAAACCTGAACTATCAAAGGAAGGTTCAACTCTGGGATTTGAATGCAAACATCACCAAGAAGTTTCCTGAGAATGCTTCTGTTTAGTTTTTATGTGAAGATATTCCCGTTTCCAAAGACATCTTCGGAGAGGTCCACATATCCACTTGCAGATTCCACAAAAAGAGAGTTTCAACACTGCTCTATCCATAGGAGGGTTCAACTCTGTGAGTTGAATGCAATCATCACAGAGAAGTTTCTGAGAAGGCTTCTCTCCAGTTTTTATGTGACCATAATTCGTTTTCCACCACAGGCCTGAAAGCGCTCCAAATGTCCACTTGCAGACACTACGAAAAGCATGTTTCAGAACTACTCTATGAAAAGCAACGTGAAACTCTGGGAGTTGAACACAAACATCACAGAGAAGTTTCTGAGAATGCTTCTGTTTTAGTTCTGTGCGTTTTATCCCGTTTCCAACGAAATCCTCAGAGAGGCCCAAATATCCACTTGCAGATTCCACAGAAAGAGTGATTGGAAACTGCTGTTTGAAAAGGAACCTTCAACTCTGTGAGTTGAATGCAATCATCACAAAGAAGTTTCTGACAATGCTTCTGTTTTAGTTCTGTGCGGTTTATCCCGTTTCCAACGAAATCCTCAGAGAGGACCAAATATCCACTTGCAGTTTCTACAAAAAGAGTGTTTCAAAGCTGCACTATCAAAGAAAGGTTCAGCACTGTGAGTTGAATGCAAACATCACGAAGAGGGCTCTGAGAATTCTTCTGTTTAGTTCTGTGCGGTTTATCCCGTTTCCAACGAAATCCTCAGAGAGGACCAAATATCCACTTGCAGTTTCTACAAGAAGAGTGTTTCAAAGCTGAACTATCAAAGAAAGGTTCAGCACTGTGAGTTGAATGCAAACATCACGAAGAGGGTTCTGAGAATGCTTCTGTCTTCTTTCTATAGGAAGTTATTTCCTTTACTACGGTAGGCCTCAAAGAAGTGCAATTATCCCCTTGCAGTTTCTACAAAAAGAGTGTTTCAAACCTGAACTATCAAAGAAAGGTTCCACACTGTGAGTTGAATGCAGACATCACGAAGAAGGTTCTGAGAATGCTTCTGTTTAGTCAGCTGAAATTATCCCGTTTCCAACGAATTCCTCAGAGAGGTCCAAATATGCACTTGCAGATTCTGCAGAAAGTGTGTTTCTAAACTGCTACATCGCAAGGAATGTTCAGCTCTGTGAGTTCCACTCAATCATCCCAAAGAATTTTCTGAGAAAGCTTCTGTCTAGATGTCGTGTGAAGATATACCCGTTTCGAACGAAGGACACAGAGTGGTCCAAATATCCACTTGTAGATCCTGCAAAAAGAGTGTTTCAAACGTGAACTTTGAAAGGAAAGTTCAACTCTGGGATTTGAATGCAAACATCACAAAGAAGATTCTGAGACTGCTTCTGTATAGTTTTTATGTGAAGATGATTCCGTTTCCAACGAAATCTTCAAAGAGGTCCACATGTCCCCTTGCGGATGCCACAGAAAGAGAGTTTCAAAACTGCGCTCTCAAAAGGAGTGTTCAACTCCGTGAGTTGAATGCAGTCATCACAGAGAAGCTTCTGAGAATGCTTCTATCTAGTATTTAGGTGAAGATATTTCCTTTTCCACCACAAACCACAAAGCCCTCCAAACGTCCACTTGCAGATTCTAGAAAAAGAGTGTTTCATAGCTGCTCTTTCCAAAGGAAAGTTCAACTCTGGGAGTTGAATACAAACATCACCAAAAAGTTCCTGAGAATGCATCTGTCTAGTTTTTCTATGAAGCTATTCCCTTTACTACCATAGGCCTCAAAGCGCTCCAAATCTCCACTTGCACATTCCACAACAAGAGTGTTTCCAAACTGCTCTATCAATAGGAATGTTCAACTCTGTGAGGTGAATGCAATCATCACAAAGCAGTTTCTGAGAATGCTTCCGTTTAGTTAGGTGCAGTTATCCCGTTTCCAACGAAATCCTCAGAGAGGTCCAAATATCCACTTGTAGATTCTACAAAAAGTGTGTCTCAAACCTGCTCCATCCAAAGGAATGGTCAGCTCTGTGATTTAAACTCAATCATCACAAAGTATTTTCTGAGAATGCTTCTGTCTAGATTTTATGCGAAGATATACCCGTTTCGAACGAAGGCCACAGAGTGGTCCAAATAGCCACTTGCAGATCCTACAGAAAGAGTGTTTCAAACCTGAACTATCAAAGGAAGGTTCAACTCTGGGATTTGAATGCAAACATCACCAAGAAGTTTCTGAGAATGCTTCTGTTTAGTTTTTATGTGAAGATATTCCCGTTTCCAAAGACATCTTCGGAGAGGTCCACATATCCACTTGCAGATTCCACAAAAAGAGAGTTTCAACACTGCTCTATCCATAGGAGGGTTCAACTCTGTGAGTTGAATGCAATCATCACAGAGAAGTTTCTGAGAAGGCTTCTCTCCAGTTTTTATGTGACCATAATTCGTTTTCCACCACAGGCCTGAAAGCGCTCCAAATGTCCACTTGCAGACACTACGAAAAGCATGTTTCAGAACTACTCTATGAAAAGCAACGTGAAACTCTGGGAGTTGAACACAAACATCACAGAGAAGTTTCTGAGAATGCTTCTGTTTTAGTTCTGTGCGTTTTATCCCGTTTCCAACGAAATCCTCAGAGAGGCCCAAATATCCACTTGCAGATTCCACAGAAAGAGTGATTGGAAACTGCTGTTTGAAAAGGAACCTTCAACTCTGTGAGTTGAATGCAATCATCACAAAGAAGTTTCTGACAATGCTTCTGTTTTAGTTCTGTGCGGTTTATCCCGTTTCCAACGAAATCCTCAGAGAGGACCAAACATCCACTTGCAGTTTCTACAAAAAGAGTGTTTCAAAGCTGCACTATCAAAGAAAGGTTCAGCACTGTGAGTTGAATGCAAACATCACGAAGAGGGCTCTGAGAATTCTTCTGTTTAGTTCTGTGCGGTTTATCCCGTTTCCAACGAAATCCTCAGAGAGGACCAAATATCCACTTGCAGTTTCTACAAGAAGAGTGTTTCAAAGCTGAACTATCAAAGAAAGGTTCAGCACTGTGAGTTGAATGCAAACATCACGAAGAGGGTTCTGAGAATGCTTCTGTCTTCTTTCTATAGGAAGTTATTTCCTTTACTACGGTAGGCCTCAAAGAAGTGCAATTATCCCCTTGCAGTTTCTACAAAAAGAGTGTTTCAAACCTGAACTATCAAAGAAAGGTTCCACACTGTGAGTTGAATGCAGACATCACGAAGAAGGTTCTGAGAATGCTTCTGTTTAGTCAGCTGAAATTATCCCGTTTCCAACGAATTCCTCAGAGAGGTCCAAATATGCACTTGCAGATTCTGCAGAAAGTGTGTTTCTAAACTGCTACATCGCAAGGAATGTTCAGCTCTGTGAGTTCCACTCAATCATCCCAAAGAATTTTCTGAGAAAGCTTCTGTCTAGATGTCGTGTGAAGATATACCCGTTTCGAACGAAGGACACAGAGTGGTCCAAATATCCACTTGTAGATCCTGCAAAAAGAGTGTTTCAAACGTGAACTTTGAAAGGAAAGTTCAACTCTGGGATTTGAATGCAAACATCACAAAGAAGATTCTGAGACTGCTTCTGTATAGTTTTTATGTGAAGATGATTCCGTTTCCAACGAAATCTTCAAAGAGGTCTACATGTCCCCTTGCAGATGCCACAGAAAGAGAGTTTCAAAACTGCGCTCTCAAAAGGAGTGTTCAACTCCGTGAGTTGAATGCAGTCATCACAGAGAAGCTTCTGAGAATGCTTCTATCTAGTATTTAGGTGAAGATATTTCCTTTTCCACCACAAACCACAAAGCCCTCCAAACGTCCACTTGCAGATTCTAGAAAAAGAGTGTTTCATAGCTGCTCTTTCCAAAGGAAAGTTCAACTCTGGGAGTTGAATACAAACATCACCAAAAAGTTCCTGAGAATGCATCTGTCTAGTTTTTCTATGAAGCTATTCCCTTTGCTACCACAGGCCTCAAAGCGCTCCAAATCTCCACTTGCACATTCCACAACAAGAGTGTTTCCAAACTGCTCTATCAATAGGAATGTTCAACTCTGTGAGGTGAATGCAATCATCACAAAGCAGTTTCTGAGAATGCTTCCGTTTAGTTAGGTGCAGTTATCCCGTTTCCAACGAAATCCTCAGAGAGGTCCAAATATCCACTTGTAGATTCTACAAAAAGTGTGTCTCAAACCTGCTCCATCCAAAGGAATGGTCAGCTCTGTGATTTAAACTCAATCATCACAAAGTATTTTCTGAGAATGCTTCTGTCTAGATTTTATGCGAAGATATACCCGTTTCGAACGAAGGCCACAGAGTGGTCCAAATAGCCACTTGCAGATCCTACAGAAAGAGTGTTTCAAACCTGAACTATCAAAGGAAGGTTCAACTCTGGGATTTGAATGCAAACATCACCAAGAAGTTTCTGAGAATGCTTCTGTTTAGTTTTTATGTGAAGATATTCCCGTTTCCAAAGACATCTTCGGAGAGGTCCACATATCCACTTGCAGATTCCACAAAAAGAGAGTTTCAACACTGCTCTATCCATAGGAGGGTTCAACTCTGTGAGTTGAATGCAATCATCACAGAGAAGTTTCTGAGAAGGCTTCTCTCCAGTTTTTATGTGACCATAATTCGTTTTCCACCACAGGCCTGAAAGCGCTCCAAATGTCCACTTGCAGACACTACGAAAAGCATGTTTCAGAACTACTCTATGAAAAGCAACGTGAAACTCTGGGAGTTGAACACAAACATCACAGAGAAGTTTCTGAGAATGCTTCTGTTTTAGTTCTGTGCGTTTTATCCCGTTTCCAACGAAATCCTCAGAGAGGCCCAAATATCCACTTGCAGATTCCACAGAAAGAGTGATTGGAAACTGCTGTTTGAAAAGGAACCTTCAACTCTGTGAGTTGAATGCAATCATCACAAAGAAGTTTCTGACAATGCTTCTGTTTTAGTTCTGTGCGGTTTATCCCGTTTCCAACGAAATCCTCAGAGAGGACCAAATATCCACTTGCAGTTTCTACAAAAAGAGTGTTTCAAAGCTGCACTATCAAAGAAAGGTTCAGCACTGTGAGTTGAATGCAAACATCACGAAGAGGGCTCTGAGAATTCTTCTGTTTAGTTCTGTGCAGTTTATCCCGTTTCCAACGAAATGCTCAGAGAGGACCAGAATATCCACTTGCAGTTTCTACAAAAAGAGTGTTTCAAAGCTGAACTATCAAAGAAATGTTCAGCACTGTGAGTTGAATGCAAACATCACGAAGAGGGTTCTGAGAATGCTTCTGTCTTCTTTCTATAGGAAGTTATTTCCTTTACTACGGTAGGCCTCAAAGAAGTGCAATTATCCCCTTGCAGTTTCTACAAAAAGAGTGTTTCAAACCTGAACTATCAAAGAAAGGTTCCACACTGTGAGTTGAATGCAGACATCACGAAGAAGGTTCTGAGAATGCTTCTGTTTAGTCAGCTGAAATTATCCCGTTTCCAACGAATTCCTCAGAGAGGTCCAAATATGCACTTGCAGATTCTGCAGAAAGTGTGTTTCTAAACTGCTCCATCGCAAGGAATGTTCAGCTCTGTGAGTTCCACTCAATCATCCCAAAGAATTTTCTGAGAAAGCTTCTGTCTAGATGTCGTGTGAAGATATACCCGTTTCGAACGAAGGACACAGAGTGGTCCAAATATCCACTTGTAGATCCTGCAAAAAGAGTGTTTCAAACGTGAACTTTGAAAGGAAAGTTCAACTCTGGGATTTGAATGCAAACATCACAAAGAAGATTCTGAGACTGCTTCTGTATAGTTTTTATGTGAAGATGATTCCGTTTCCAACGAAATCTTCAAAGAGGTCTACATGTCCCCTTGCAGATGCCACAGAAAGAGAGTTTCAAAACTGCGCTCTCAAAAGGAGTGTTCAACTCCGTGAGTTGAATGCAGTCATCACAGAGAAGCTTCTGAGAATGCTTCTATCTAGTATTTAGGTGAAGATATTTCCTTTTCCACCACAAACCACAAAGCCCTCCAAACGTCCACTTGCAGATTCTAGAAAAAGAGGGTTTCACAGCTGCTCTTTCCAAAGGAAAGTTCAACTCTGGGAGTTGAATACAAACATGAACAAAAAGTTCCTCAGAATGCATCTGTCTAGATTTTATGGGAAGATGTACCCGTTTTGAACGAAGGCCACAGAGTGGTCCAAATATGCACTTGCAGATTCTGCAACAAGAGTGTTTACGAACTGCTCTATCAACAGGAATGTTCAACTCTGTGAGGTGAATGCAATCATCACAAAGCAGTTTCTGAGAATGCTTCTGTTTAGTTTTTATGTGAAGATATTCCCGTTTCCAAAGACATCTTCGGAGGGGTCCACATATCCACTTGCAGATTCCACAAAAAGAGAGTTTCAACACTGCTCTATCCATAGGAGGGTTCAACTCTGTGAGTTGAATGCAATCATCACAGAGAAGTTTCTGAGAAGGCTTCTCTCCAGTTTTTATGTGACCATAATTCGTTTTCCACCACAGGCCTGAAAGCGCTCCAAATGTCCACTTGCAGACAGTATGAAAAGCATGTTTCAGAACTACTCTATGAGAAGCAATGTGAAACTCTGGGAGTTGAACACAAACATCACAGAGAAGTTTCTGAGAATGCTTCTGTTTAGCTTTTCTGTGAAGATTCTCCCGTTTCCAACGAAATCTTCAAAGAGGTCCAAATATCCACTTGCAGATTCCACAGAAAGAGTGTTTGGAAACTGCTGTTTGAAAAGGAACCTTCAACTCTGTGAGTTGAATGCAATCATCACGAAGAAGTTTCTTACAATGCTTCTATCTAGCATTTACGGGAAGATAATTCCTTTTCCACCACAGGCCTCAAAGCCCTCCAAATGTCCCCTTGCAGATTCTGGAAAAAGAGTGTTTCAAAGCTTCTCTCTTGAAAGGAATGTTCAACTCTGTGAGTTGAATGCAAGCATCACAAAGAAGTTTCTGAGAATGTTACTGTCTAGCGTTTATATGAAGCTATTTCCTTTACTACCATAGTCCTCAAAGCATTCCATATCTCCACTTGTAGATTCTACACAAAGAGAGTTTCCAAACTGCTCCGTCAAAGGGAATGTTCAGCTCTGTGACTTGAATGCAATCATCACAAAGTAGTTTCTGAGAATGCTTCTGTTTAGTTCTGTGCGGTTTATCCCGTTTCCAACGAAATCCTCAGAGAGGCCTAAATATCCACTTGCACATTCTACAAATAGTGTGTTTCGAAACTGCTCCATCCAAAGGAATGTTCAGCTCTGTGAGTTAAACTCAGTCGTCACCAAGAGTTTTCTGTGAATGCTTCTGTTTTAGTTCTGTGCGGGTTATCCCGTTTCCAACGAAATCCTCAGAGAGGTCCAAATATCTACTTGCAGTTTCTACAGAAAGACCGTTTCAAACCTGAACTATCAAAGAAAGGTTCAACACTGTGAGTTGAATGCAAACATCACGAAGAAGGTTCTGAGAATGCTTCTGTTTAGTTCTGTGCAGTTTATCCCGTTTCCAACGAAATGCTCAGAGAGGACCAAATATCCACTTGCAGTTTCTACAAAAAGAGTGTTTCAAAGCTGAACTATCAAAGAAAGTTTCAGCACTGTGGGTTGAATGCAAACATCACGAAGAGGGTTCTGAGAATGCTTCTGTCTTCTTTTTATAGGAAGTTATTTCCTTTACTACGGTACTCCTCAAAGAGTGCAATTATCCCCTTGCAGTTTCTACAGAAAGAGTGTTTCAAACCTGAACTATCAAAGAAAGGTTCCACACTGTGAGTTGAATGCAGACATCACGAAGAAGGTTCTGAGAATGCTTCTGTTTAGTCAGCTGAAATTATCCCGTTTCCAACGAATTCCTCACAGAGGTCCAAATATGCACTTGCAGATTCTGCAGAAAGTGTGTTTCTAAACTGCTACATCGCAAGGAATGCTCAGCTCTGTGAGTTCAACTCAATCATCCCAAAGAATTTTCTGAGAAAGCTTCTGTCTAGATGTCATGTGAAGATATACCCGTTTCGAACGAAGGACACAGAGTGGTCCAAATATCCACTTGTAGATCCTGCAAAAAGAGTGTTTCAAACGTGAACTTTGAAAGGAAAGTTCAACTCGGGGATTTGAATGCAAACATCACAAAGAAGATTCTGAGACTGCTTCTGTATAGTTTTTATGTGAAGATGATTCCGTTTCCAACGAAATCTTCAAAGAGGTCTACATGTCCCCTTGCAGATGCCACAGAAAGAGAGTTTCAAAACTGCGCTCTCAAAAGGAGTGTTCAACTCCGTGAGTTGAATGCAGTCATCTCAGAGAAGCTTCTGAGAATGCTTCTATCTAGTATTTAGGTGAAGATATTTCCTTTTCCACCACAAACCACAAAGCCCTCCAAACGTCCACTTGCAGATTCTAGAAAAAGAGTGTTTCATAGCTGCTCTTTCCAAAGGAAAGTTCAACTCTGGGAGTTGAATACAAACATCACCAAAAAGTTCCTGAGAATGCATCTGTCTAGTTTTTCTATGAAGGTATTCCCTTTACTACCATAGGCCTCAAAGCGCTCCAAATCTCCACTTGCACATTCCACAACAAGAGTGTTTCCAAACTGCTCTATCAATAGGAATGTTCAACTCTGTGAGGTGAATGCAATCATCACAAAGCAGTTTCTGAGAATGCTTCCGTTTAGTTAGGTGCAGTTATCCCGTTTCCAACGAAATCCTCAGAGAGGTCCAAATATCCACTTGTAGATTCTACAAAAAGTGTGTCTCAAACCTGCTCCATCCAAAGGAATGGTCAGCTCTGTGATTTAAACTCAATCATCACAAAGTATTTTCTGAGAATGCTTCTGTCTAGATTTTATGCGAAGATATACCCGTTTCGAACGAAGGCCACAGAGTGGTCCAAATAGCCACTTGCAGATCCTACAGAAAGAGTGTTTCAAACCTGAACTATCAAAGGAAGGTTCAACTCTGGGATTTGAATGCAAACATCACCAAGAAGTTTCTGAGAATGCTTCTGTTTAGTTTTTATGTGAAGATATTCCCGTTTCCAAAGACATCTTCGGAGAGGTCCACATATCCACTTGCAGATTCCACAAAAAGAGAGTTTCAACACTGCTCTATCCATAGGAGGGTTCAACTCTGTGAGTTGAATGCAATCATCACAGAGAAGTTTCTGAGAAGGCTTCTCTCCAGTTTTTATGTGACCATAATTCGTTTTCCACCACAGGCCTGAAAGCGCTCCAAATGTCCACTTGCAGACACTACGAAAAGCATGTTTCAGAACTACTCTATGAAAAGCAACGTGAAACTCTGGGAGTTGAACACAAACATCACAGAGAAGTTTCTGAGAATGCTTCTGTTTTAGTTCTGTGCGTTTTATCCCGTTTCCAACGAAATCCTCAGAGAGGCCCAAATATCCACTTGCAGATTCCACAGAAAGAGTGATTGGAAACTGCTGTTTGAAAAGGAACCTTCAACTCTGTGAGTTGAATGCAATCATCACAAAGAAGTTTCTGACAATGCTTCTGTTTTAGTTCTGTGCGGTTTATCCCGTTTCCAACGAAATCCTCAGAGAGGACCAAACATCCACTTGCAGTTTCTACAAAAAGAGTGTTTCAAAGCTGCACTATCAAAGAAAGGTTCAGCACTGTGAGTTGAATGCAAACATCACGAAGAGGGCTCTGAGAATTCTTCTGTTTAGTTCTGTGCGGTTTATCCCGTTTCCAACGAAATCCTCAGAGAGGACCAAATATCCACTTGCAGTTTCTACAAGAAGAGTGTTTCAAAGCTGAACTATCAAAGAAAGGTTCAGCACTGTGAGTTGAATGCAAACATCACGAAGAGGGTTCTGAGAATGCTTCTGTCTTCTTTTTATAGGAAGTTATCTCCTTTACTACGGTAGGCCTCAAAGAAGTTCAATGATCCCCTTGCAGTTTCTACAAAAAGAGTGTTTCAAACCTGAACTATCAAAGAAAGGTTCCACACTGTGAGTTGAATGCAGACATCACGAAGAAGGTTCTGAGAATGCTTCTGTTTAGTCAGCTGAAATTATCCCGTTTCCAACGAATTCCTCAGAGAGGTCCACATATGCACTTGCAGATTCTGCAGAAAGTGTGTTTCTAAACTGCTACATCACAAGGAGTGTTCAGCTCTGTTTGCTCAACTCAATCATCCCAAAGAATTTTCTGAGAAAGCTTCTGTCTAGATGTCATGTGAAGATATACCCGTTTCGAACGAAGGACACAGAGTGGTCCAAATATCCACTTGTAGATCCTGCAAAAAGAGTGTTTCAAACGTGAACTTTGAAAGGCAAGTTCAACTCTGGGATTTGAATGCAAACATCACAAAGAAGATTCTGAGACTGCTTCTGTGTAGTTTTTATGTGAAGATGATTCCGTTTCCAACGAAATCTTCAAAGAGGTCTACATGTCCCCTTGCAGATGCCACAGAAAGAGAGTTTCAAAACTGCGCTCTCAAAAGGAGTGTTCAACTCCGTGAGTTGAATGCAGTCATCACAGAGAAGCTTCTGAGGATGCTTCTATCTAGTATTTAGGTGAAGATATTTCCTTTTCCACCACAAACCACAAAGCCCTCCAAACGTCCACTTGCAGATTCTAGAAAAACAGTGTTTCATAGCTGCTCTTTCCAAAGGAAAGTTCAACTCTGGGAGTTGAATACAAACATCACCAAAAAGTTCCTGAGAATGCATCTGTCTAGTTTTTCTATGAAGCTATTCCCTTTACTACCATAGGCCTCAAAGCGCTCCAAATCTCCACTTGCACATTCCACAACAAGAGTGTTTCCAAACTGCTCTATCAATAGGAATGTTCAACTCTGTGAGGTGAATGCAATCATCACAAAGCAGTTTCTGAGAATGCTTCCGTTTAGTTAGGTGCAGTTATCCCGTTTCCAACGAAATCCTCAGAGAGGTCCAAATATCCACTTGTAGATTCTACAAAAAGTGTGTCTCAAACCTGCTCCATCCAAAGGAATGTTCAGCTCTGTGAGTTAAACTCAATCATCACAAAGTATTTTCTGAGAATGCTTCTGTCTAGATTTTATGCGAAGATATACCCGTTTCGAACGAAGGCCACAGAGTGGTCCAAATATCCACTTGCAGATCCTACAAAAAGAGTGTTTCAAACCTGAACTATCAAAGGAAGGTTCAACTCTGGGATTTGAATGCAAACATCACCAAGAAGTTTCTGAGAATGCTTCTGTTTAGTTTTTATGTGAAGATATTCCCGTTTCCAAAGACATCTTCGGAGAGGTCCACATATCCACTTGCAGATTCCACAAAAAGAGAGTTTCAACACTGCTCTATCCATAGGAGGGTTCAACTCTGTGAGTTGAATGCAATCATCACAGAGAAGTTTCTGAGAAGGCTTCTCTCCAGTTTTTATGTGACCATAATTCGTTTTCCACCACAGGCCTGAAAGCGCTCCAAATGTCCACTTGTAGACACTACGAAAAGCATGTTTCAGAACTACTCTATGAAAAGCAATGTGAAACTCTGGGAGTTGAACACAAACATCACAGAGAAGTTTCTGAGAATGCTTCTGTTTAGCTTTCCTGTGAAGATTCTCCCGTTTCCAACGAAATCTTCAAAATAGGTCCAAATATCCACTTGCAGATTCCACACAAAGAGTGATTGGAAACTGCTCTTTGAAAAGGAACCTTCAACTCTGTGAGTTGAATGCAATCATCACAAAGAAGTTTCTGACAATGCTTCTATCTAGCTTTTACGGGAAGATAATTCCTTTTCCACCACAGGCCTCAAAGCCCTCCAAATGTCCACTTGCAGATTCTGGAAAAAGAGTGTTTCAAAGCTTCTCTCTCGAAAGGAAAGTTCAACTCTGTGA
Source organism: Homo sapiens (assembly GCF_000001405.40). Taxonomy (NCBI): domain Eukaryota; kingdom Metazoa; phylum Chordata; class Mammalia; order Primates; family Hominidae; genus Homo; species Homo sapiens. Next base: position 25,005,149 of record NC_000017.11, on the reverse strand, counting down.
GTTGAATGCAAGCATCACAAAGAAGTTTCTGAGAATGCTACTGTCTAGCTTTTATATGAAGCTATTTCCTTTACTACCATAGGCCTCAAAGCGGTCCATATCTCCACTTGCAGATTCTACACAAAGAGAGTTTCCAAACTGCTCTGTCAAAGGGAATGTTCAACTCTGTGACTTGAATGCAATCATCACAAAGTAGTTTCTGAGAATGCTTCTGTTTAGTTCTGTGCGGTTTATCCCGTTTCCAACGAAATCCTCAGAGAGGCCTAAATATCCACTTGCACATTCTACAAATAGTGTGTTTCGAAACTGCTCCATCCAAAGGAATGTTCAGCTCTGTGAGTTAAACTCAGTCGTCACCAAGAGTTTTCTGTGAATGCTTCTGTTTTAGTTCTGTGCGGGTTATCCCGTTTCCAACGAAATCCTCAGAGAGGTCCAAATATCTACTTGCAGTTTCTACAGAAAGACCGTTTCAAACCTGAACTATCAAAGAAAGGTTCAACACTGTGAGTTGAATGCAAACATCACGAAGAAGGTTCTGAGAATGCTTCTGTTTAGTTCTGTGCAGTTTATCCCGTTTCCAACGAAATGCTCAGAGAGGACCAAATATCCACTTGCAGTTTCTACAAAAAGAGTGTTTCAAAGCTGAACTATCAAAGAAAGGTTCAGCACTGTGAGTTGAATGCAAACATCACGAAGAGGGTTCTGAGAATGCTTCTGTCTTCTTTTTATAGGAAGTTATTTCCTTTACTACGGTACTCCTCAAAGAGTGCAATGATCCCCTTGCAGTTTCTACAAAAAGAGTGTTTCAAACCTGAACTATCAAAGAAAGGTTCCACACTGTGAGTTGAATGCAGACATCACGAAGAAGGTTCTGAGAATGCTTCTGTTTAGTCAGCTGAAATTATCCCGTTTCCAACGAATTCCTCACAGAGGTCCAAATATGCACTTGCAGATTCTGCAGAAAGTGTGTTTCTAAACTGCTACATCGCAAGGAATGCTCAGCTCTGTGAGTTCAACTCAATCATCCCAAAGAATTTTCTGAGAAAGCTTCTGTCTAGATGTCATGTGAAGATATACCCGTTTCGAACGAAGGACACAGAGTGGTCCAAATATCCACTTGTAGATCCTGCAAAAAGAGTGTTTCAAACGTGAACTTTGAAAGGAAAGTTCAACTCGGGGATTTGAATGCAAACATCACAAAGAAGATTCTGAGACTGCTTCTGTATAGTTTTTATGTGAAGATGATTCCGTTTCCAACGAAATCTTCAAAGAGGTCTACATGTCCCCTTGCAGATGCCACAGAAAGAGAGTTTCAAAACTGCGCTCTCAAAAGGAGTGTTCAACTCCGTGAGTTGAATGCAGTCATCACAGAGAAGCTTCTGAGGATGCTTCTATCTAGTATTTAGGTGAAGATATTTCCTTTTCCACCACAAACCACAAAGCCCTCCAAACGTCCACTTGCAGATTCTAGAAAAAGAGTGTTTCATAGCTGCTCTTTCCAAAGGAAAGTTCAACTCTGGGAGTTGAATACAAACATCACCAAAAAGTTCCTGAGAATGCATCTGTCTAGTTTTTCTATGAAGCTATTCCCTTTACTACCATAGGCCTCAAAGCGCTCCAAATCTCCACTTGCACATTCCACAACAAGAGTGTTTCCAAACTGCTCTATCAATAGGAATGTTCAACTCTGTGAGGTGAATGCAATCATCACAAAGCAGTTTCTGAGAATGCTTCCGTTTAGTTAGGTGCAGTTATCCCGTTTCCAACGAAATCCTCAGAGAGGTCCAAATATCCACTTGTAGATTCTACAAAAGGTGTGTCTCAAACCTGCTCCATCCAAAGGAATGTTCAGCTCTGTGAGTTAAACTCAATCATCACAAAGTATTTTCTGAGAATGCTTCTGTCTAGATTTTATGCGAAGATATACCCGTTTCGAACGAAGGCCACAGAGTGGTCCAAATATCCACTTGCAGATCCTACAAAAAGAGTGTTTCAAACCTGAACTATCAAAGGAAGGTTCAACTCTGGGATTTGAATGCAAACATCACCAAGAAGTTTCTGAGAATGCTTCTGTTTAGTTTTTATGTGAAGATATTCCCGTTTCCAAAGACATCTTCGGAGAGGTCCACATATCCACTTGCAGATTCCACAAAAAGAGAGTTTCAACACTGCTCTATCCATAGGAGGGTTCAACTCTGTGAGTTGAATGCAATCATCACAGAGAAGTTTCTGAGAAGGCTTCTCTCCAGTTTTTATGTGACCATAATTCGTTTTCCACCACAGGCCTGAAAGCGCTCCAAATGTCCACTTGTAGACACTACGAAAAGCATGTTTCAGAACTACTCTATGAAAAGCAATGTGAAACTCTGGGAGTTGAACACAAACATCACAGAGAAGTTTCTGAGAATGCTTCTGTTTAGCTTTCCTGTGAAGATTCTCCCGTTTCCAACGAAATCTTCAAAATAGGTCCAAATATCCACTTGCAGATTCCACAGAAAGAGTGATTGGAAACTGCTCTTTGAAAAGGAACCTTCAACTCTGTGAGTTGAATGCAATCATCACAAAGAAGTTTCTGACAATGCTTCTATCTAGCTTTTACGGGAAGATAATTCCTTTTCCACCACAGGCCTCAAAGCCCTCCAAATGTCCACTTGCAGATTCTGGAAAAAGAGTGTTTCAAAGCTTCTCTCTCGAAAGGAAAGTTCAACTCTGTGAGTTGAATGCAAGCATCACAAAGAAGTTTCTGAGAATGCTACTGTCTAGCTTTTATATGAAGCTATTTCCTTTACTACCATAGGCCTCAAAGCGGTCCATATCTCCACTTGCAGATTCTACACAAAGAGAGTTTCCAAACTGCTCTGTCAAAGGGAATGTTCAACTCTGTGACTTGAATGCAATCATCACAAAGTAGTTTCTGAGAATGCTTCTGTTTAGTTCTGTGCGGTTTATCCCGTTTCCAACGAAATCCTCAGAGAGGCCCAAATATCCACTTGCACATTCTACAAATAGTGTGTTTCGAAACTGCTCCATCCAAAGGAATGTTCAGCTCTGTGAGTTAAACTCAGTCGTCACCAAGAGTTTTCTGTGAATGCTTCTGTTTTAGTTCTGTGCGGGTTATCCCGTTTCCAACGAAATCCTCAGAGAGGTCCAAATATCTACTTGCAGTTTCTACAGAAAGACCGTTTCAAACCTGAACTATCAAAGAAAGGTTCCACACTGTGAGTTGAATGCAAACATCACGAAGAAGGTTCTGAGAATGCTTCTGTTTAGTTCTGTGCAGTTTATCCCGTTTCCAACGAAATCCTCAGAGAGGACCAAATATCCACTTGCAGTTTCTACAAAAAGAGTGTTTCAAAGCTGAACTATCAAAGAAAGGTTCAGCACTGTGAGTTGAATGCAAACATCACGAAGAGGGTTCTGAGAATGCTTCTGTCTTCTTTTTATAGGAAGTTATTTCCTTTACTACGGTACTCCTCAAAGAGTGCAATTATCCCCTTGCAGTTTCTACAGAAAGAGTGTTTCAAACCTGAACTATCAAAGAAAGGTTCCACACTGTGAGTTGAATGCAGACATCACGAAGAAGGTTCTGAGAATGCTTCTGTTTAGTCAGCTGAAATTATCCCGTTTCCAACGAATTCCTCACAGAGGTCCAAATATGCACTTGCAGATTCTGCAGAAAGTGTGTTTCTAAACTGCTACATCGCAAGGAATGCTCAGCTCTGTGAGTTCTACTCAATCATCCCAAAGAATTTTCTGAGAAAGCTTCTGTCTAGATGTCATGTGAAGATATACCCGTTTCGAACGAAGGACACAGAGTGGTCCAAATATCCACTTGTAGATCCTGCAAAAAGAGTGTTTCAAACGTGAACTTTGAAAGGAAAGTTCAACTCGGGGATTTGAATGCAAACATCACAAAGAAGATTCTGAGACTGCTTCTGTATAGTTTTTATGTGAAGATGATTCCGTTTCCAACGAAATCTTCAAAGAGGTCTACATGTCCCCTTGCAGATGCCACAGAAAGAGAGTTTCAAAACTGCGCTCTCAAAAGGAGTGTTCAACTCCGTGAGTTGAATGCAGTCATCTCAGAGAAGCTTCTGAGAATGCTTCTATCTAGTATTTAGGTGAAGATATTTCCTTTTCCACCACAAACCACAAAGCCCTCCAAACGTCCACTTGCAGATTCTAGAAAAAGAGTGTTTCATAGCTGCTCTTTCCAAAGGAAAGTTCAACTCTGGGAGTTGAATACAAACATCACCAAAAAGTTCCTGAGAATGCATCTGTCTAGTTTTTCTATGAAGCTATTCCCTTTACTACCATAGGCCTCAAAGCGCTCCAAATCTCCACTTGCACATTCCACAAGAAGAGTGTTTCCAAACTGCTCTATCAATAGGAATGTTCAACTCTGTGAGGTGAATGCAATCATCACAAAGCAGTTTCTGAGAATGCTTCCGTTTAGTTAGGTGCAGTTATCCCGTTTCCAACGAAATCCTCAGAGAGGTCCAAATATCCACTTGTAGATTCTACAAAAAGTGTGTCTCAAACCTGCTCCATCCAAAGGAATGTTCAGCTCTGTGAGTTCAACTCAATCATCACAAAGTATTTTCTGAGAATGCTTCTGTCTAGATTTTATGCGAAGATATACCCGTTTCGAACGAAGGCCACAGAGTGGTCCAAATAGCCACTTGCAGATCCTACAAAAAGAGTGTTTCAAACCTGAACTATCAAAGGAAGGTTCAACTCTGGGATTTGAATGCAAACATCCCCAAGAAGTTTCTGAGAATGCTTCTGTTTAGTTTTTATGTGAAGATATTCCCGTTTCCAAAGACATCTTCGGAGAGGTCCACATATCCACTTGCAGATTCCACAAAAAGAGAGTTTCAACACTGCTCTATCCATAGGAGGGTTCAACTCTGTGAGTTGAATGCAATCATCACAGAGAAGTTTCTGAGAAGGCTTCTCTCCAGTTTTTATGTGACCATAATTCGTTTTGCACCACAGGCCTGAGAGCGCTCCAAATGTCCACTTGCAGACACTACGAAAAGCATGTTTCAGAACTACTCTATGAAAAGCAATGTGAAACTCTGGGAGTTGAACACAAACATCACAGAGAAGTTTCTGAGAATGCTTCTGTTTAGCTTTTCTGTGAAGATTATCCCGTTTCCAACGAAATCTTCAAAATAGGTCCAAATATCCACTTGCAGATTCCACACAAAGAGTGATTGGAAACTGCTGTTTGAAAAGGAACCTTCAACTCTGTGAGTTGAATGCAATCATCACAAAGAAGTTTCTGACAATGCTTCTATCTAGCTTTTACGGGAAGATAATTCCTTTTCCACCACAGGCCTCAAAGCCCTCCAAATCTCCACTTGCACATTCTGGAAAAAGAGTGTTTCAAAGCTTCTCTCTCGAAAGGAAAGTTCAACTCTGTGAGTTGAATGCAAGCATCACAAAGAAGTTTCTGAGAATGCTACTGTCTAGCTTTTATATGAAGCTCTTTCCTTTACTACCATAGGCCTCAAAGCGGTCCATATCTCCACTTGCAGATTCTACACAAAGAGAGTTTCCAAACTGCTCTGTCAAAGGGAATGTTCAACTCTGTGACTTGAATGCAATCATCACAAAGTAGTTTCTGAGAATGCTTCTCTTTAGTTCTGTGCGGTTTATCCCGTTTCCAACGAAATCCTCAGAGAGGCCCAAATATCCACTTGCACATTCTACAAATAGTGTGTTTCGAAACTGCTCCATCCAAAGGAATGTTCAGCTCTGTGAGTTAAACTCAGTCGTCACCAAGAGTTTTCTGTGAATGCTTCTGTTTTAGTTCTGTGCGGTTTATCCCGTTTCCAACGAAATCCTCAGAGAGGTCCAAATATCTACTTGCAGTTTCTACAGAAAGACCGTTTCCAACCTGAACTATCAAAGAAAGGTTCAACACTGTGAGTTGAATGCAAACATCACGAAGAAGGTTCTGAGAATGCTTCTGTTTAGTTCTGTGCGGTTTATCCCGTTTCCAACGAAATCCTCAGAGAGGACCAAATATCCACTTGCAGTTTCTACAAGAAGAGTGTTTCAAAGCTGAACTATCAAAGAAAGGTTCAGCACTGTGAGTTGAATGCAAACATCACGAAGAGGGTTCTGAGAATGCTTCTGTCTTCTTTCTATAGGAAGTTATTTCCTTTACTACGGTAGGCCTCAAAGAAGTGCAATTATCCCCTTGCAGTTTCTACAAAAAGAGTGTTTCAAACCTGAACTATCAAAGAAAGGTTCCACACTGTGAGTTGAATGCAGACATCACGAAGAAGGTTCTGAGAATGCTTCTGTTTAGTCAGCTGAAATTATCCCGTTTCCAACGAATTCCTCAGAGAGGTCCAAATATGCACTTGCAGATTCTGCAGAAAGTGTGTTTCTAAACTGCTACATCGCAAGGAATGTTCAGCTCTGTGAGTTCCACTCAATCATCCCAAAGAATTTTCTGAGAAAGCTTCTGTCTAGATGTCATGTGAAGATATACCCGTTTCGAACGAAGGACACAGAGTGGTCCAAATATCCACTTGTAGATCCTGCAAAAAGAGTGTTTCAAACGTGAACTTTGAAAGGAAAGTTCAACTCTGGGATTTGAATGCAAACATCACAAAGAAGATTCTGAGACTGCTTCTGTATAGTTTTTATGTGAAGATGATTCCGTTTCCAACGAAATCTTCAAAGAGGTCCACATGTCCCCTTGCGGATGCCACAGAAAGAGAGTTTCAAAACTGCGCTCTCAAAAGGAGTGTTCAACTCCATGAGTTGAATGCAGTCATCACAGAGAAGCTTCTGAGAATGCTTCTATCTAGTATTTAGGTGAAGATATTTCCTTTTCCACCACAAACCACAAAGCCCTCCAAACGTCCACTTGCAGATTCTAGAAAAAGAGTGTTTCATAGCTGCTCTTTCCAAAGGAAAGTTCAACTCTGGGAGTTGAATACAAACATCACCAAAAAGTTCCTGAGAATGCATCTGTCTAGTTTTTCTATGAAGCTATTCCCTTTACTACCACAGGCCTCAAAGCGCTCCAAATCTCCACTTGCACATTCCACAACAAGAGTGTTTCCAAACTGCTCTATCAATAGGAATGTTCAACTCTGTGAGGTGAATGCAATCATCACAAAGCAGTTTCTGAGAATGCTTCCGTTTAGTTAGGTGCAGTTATCCCGTTTCCAACGAAATCCTCAGAGAGGTCCAAATATCCACTTGTAGATTCTACAAAAAGTGTGTCTCAAACCTGCTCCATCCAAAGGAATGGTCAGCTCTGTGATTTAAACTCAATCATCACAAAGTATTTTCTGAGAATGCTTCTGTCTAGATTTTATGCGAAGATATACCCGTTTCGAACGAAGGCCACAGAGTGGTCTAAATAGCCACTTGCAGATCTTACAAAAAGAGTGTTTCAAACCTGAACTATCAAAGGAAGGTTCACCTCTGGGATTTGAATGCAAACATCACCAAGAAGTTTCTGAGAATGCTTCTCGTTTAGTTTTTATGTGAAGATATTCCCGTTTCCAAAGACATCTTCGGAGAGGTCCACATATCCACTTGCAGATTCCACAAAAAGAGAGTTTCAACACTGCTCTATCCATAGGAGGGTTCAACTCTGTGAGTTGAATGCAATCATCACAGAGAAGTTTCTGAGAAGGCTTCTCTCCAGTTTTTATGTGACCATAATTCGTTTTCCAACACAGGCCTGAAAGCGCTCCAAATGTCCACTTGCAGACACTACGAAAAGCATGTTTCAGAACTACTCTATGAAAAGCAATGTGAAACTCTGGGAGTTGAACACAAACATCACAGAGAAGTTTCTGAGAATGCTTCTGTTTAGCTTTTCTGTGAAGATTCTCCCGTTTCCAACGAAATCTTCAAAGAGGTCCAAACATCCACTTGCAGATTCCACAGAAAGAGTGTTTGGAAACTGCTGTTTGAAAAGGAACCTTCAACTCTGTGAGTTGAATGCAATCATCACAAAGAAGTTTCTGACAATGCTTCTATCCAGCTTTTACGGGAAGATAATTCCTTTTCCACCACAGGCCTCAAAGCCCTCCAAATGTCCACTTGCAGATTCTGGAAAAAGAGTGTTTCAAAGCTTCTCTCTCGAAAGGAAAGTTCAACTCTGTGAGTTGAATGCAAGCATCACAAAGAAGTTTCTGAGAATGCTACTGTCTAGCTTTTATATGAAGCTATTTCCTTTACTACCATAGTCCTCAAAGCATTCCATATCTCCACTTGCAGATTCTACACAAAGAGAGTTTCCAAACTGCTCTGTCAAAGGGAATGTTCAGCTCTGTGACTTGAATGCAATCATCACAAAGTAGTTTCTGAGAATGCTTCTGTTTAGTTCTGTGCGGTTTATCCCGTTTCCAACGTAATCCTCAGAGAGGCCTAAATATCCACTTGCACATTCTACAAATAGTGTGTTTCGAAACTGCTCCATCCAAAGGAATGTTCAGCTCTGTGAGTTAAACTCAGTCGTCACCAAGAGTTTTCTGTGAATGCTTCTGTTTTAGTTCTGTGCGGGTTATCCCGTTTCCAACGAAATCCTCAGAGAGGTCCAAATATCTACTTGCAGTTTCTACAGAAAGACCGTTTCAAACCTGAACTATCAAAGAAAGGTTCAACACTGTGAGTTGAATGCAAACATCACGAAGAAGGTTCTGAGAATGCTTCTGTTTAGTTCTGTGCAGTTTATCCCGTTTCCAACGAATTCCTCAGAGAGGACCAAATATCCACTTGCAGTTTCTACAAAAAGAGTGTTTCAAAGCTGAACTATCAAAGAAAGGTTCAGCACTGTGAGTTGAATGCAAACATCACGAAGAGGGTTCTGAGAATGCTTCTGTCTTCTTTTTATAGGAAGTTATTTCCTTTACTACGGTACTCCTCAAAGAGTGCAATTATCCCCTTGCAGTTTCTACAAAAAGAGTGTTTCAAACCTGAACTATCAAAGAAAGGTTCCACACTGTGAGTTGAATGCAGACATCACGAAGAAGGTTCTGAGAATGCTTCTGTTTAGTCAGCTGAAATTATCCCGTTTCCAACGAATTCCTCACAGAGGTCCAAATATGCACTTGCAGATTCTGCAGAAAGTGTGTTTCTAAACTGCTACATCGCAAGGAATGCTCAGCTCTGTGAGTTCAACTCAATCATCCCAAAGAATTTTCTGAGAAAGCTTCTGTCTAGATGTCATGTGAAGATATACCCGTTTCGAACGAAGGACACAGAGTGGTCCAAATATCCACTTGTAGATCCTGCAAAAAGAGTGTTTCAAACGTGAACTTTGAAAGGAAAGTTCAACTCGGGGATTTGAATGCAAACATCACAAAGAAGATTCTGAGACTGCTTCTGTATAGTTTTTATGTGAAGATGATTCCGTTTCCAACGAAATCTTCAAAGAGGTCTACATGTCCCCTTGCAGATGCCACAGAAAGAGAGTTTCAAAACTGCGCTCTCAAAAGGAGTGTTCAACTCCGTGAGTTGAATGCAGTCATCACAGAGAAGCTTCTGAGGATGCTTCTATCTAGTATTTAGGTGAAGATATTTCCTTTTCCACCACAAACCACAAAGCCCTCCAAACCTCCACTTGCAGATTCTAGAAAAACAGTGTTTCATAGCTGCTCTTTCCAAAGGAAAGTTCAACTCTGGGAGTTGAATACAAACATCACCAAAAAGTTCCTGAGAATGCATCTGTCTAGTTTTTCTATGAAGCTATTCCCTTTACTACCATAGGCCTCAAAGCGCTCCAAATCTCCACTTGCACATTCCACAACAAGAGTGTTTCCAAACTGCTCTATCAATAGGAATGTTCAACTCTGTGAGGTGAATGCAATCATCACAAAGCAGTTTCTGAGAATGCTTCCGTTTAGTTAGGTGCAGTTATCCCGTTTCCAACGAAATCCTCAGAGAGGTCCAAATATCCACTTGTAGATTCTACAAAAAGTGTGTCTCAAACCTGCTCCATCCAAAGGAATGTTCAGCTCTGTGATTTAAACTCAATCATCACAAAGTATTTTCTGAGAATGCTTCTGTCTAGATTTTATGCGAAGATATACCCGTTTCGAACGAAGGCCACAGAGTGGTCCAAATATCCACTTGCAGATCCTACAAAAAGAGTGTTTCAAACCTGAACTATCAAAGGAAGGTTCAACTCTGGGATTTGAATGCAAACATCACCAAGAAGTTTCTGAGAATGCTTCTGTTTAGTTTTTATGTGAAGATATTCCCGTTTCCAAAGACATCTTCGGAGAGGTCCACATATCCACTTGCAGATTCCACAAAAAGAGAGTTTCAACACTGCTATATCCATAGGAGGGTTCAACTCTGTGAGTTGAATGCAATCATCACAGAGAAGTTTCTGAGAAAGCTTCTCTCCAGTTTTTATGTGACCATAATTCGTTTTCCACCACAGGCCTCAAAGCGCTCCAAACGTCCACTTGCAGACACTACGAAAAGCATGTTTCAGAACTACTCTATGAAATGCAATGTGAAACTCTGGGAGTTGAACACAAACATCACAGAGAAGTTTCTGAGAAAGCTTCTGTTTAGCTTTTCTGTGAAGATTCTCCCGTTTCCAACGAAATCTTCAAAGAGGTCGAAATATCCACTTGCAGATTCCACAGAAAGAGTGATTGGAAACTGCTGTTTGAAAAGGAACCTTCAACTCCGTGAGTTGAATGCAATCATCACAAAGAAGTTTCTGACAATGCTTCTATCTAGCTTTTACGGGAAGATAATTCCTTTTCCACCCCAGGCCTCAAAGCTCCCCAAATGTCCACTTGCACATTCTGGAAAAAGAGTGTTTCAAAGCTTCTCTCTCGAAAGGAAAGTTCAACTCTGTGAGTTGAATGCAAGCATCACAAAGAAGTTTCTGAGAATGCTACTGTCTAGCTTTTATATGAAGCTATTTCCTTTACTACCATAGGCCTCAAAGCGGTCCATATCTCCACTTGCAGATTCTACACAAAGAGAGTTTCCAAACTGCTCTGTCAAAGGGAATGTTCAACTCTGTGACTTGAATGCAATCATCACAAAGTAGTTTCTGAGAATGCTTCTGTTTAGTTCTGTGCGGTTTATCCCGTTTCCAACGAAATCCTCAGAGAGGCCCACATATCCACTTGCACATTCTACAAATAGTGTGTTTCGAAACTGCTCCATCCAAACGAATGTTCAGCTCTGTGAGTTAAACTCAGTCGTCACCAAGAGTTTTCTGTGAATGCTTCTGTTTTAGTTGTGTGCGGTTTATCCCGTTTCCAACGAAATCCTCAGAGAGGTCCAAATATCTACTTGCAGTTTCTACAGAAAGACCGTTTCAAACCTGAACTATCAAAGAAAGGTTCAACACTGTGAGTTGAATGCAAACATCACGAAGAAGGTTCTGAGAATGCTTCTGTTTATTTCTGTGCGGTTTATCCCGTTTCCAACGAAATCCTCAGAGAGGCCCAAATATCCACTTGCAGTTTCTACAAAAAGAGTGTTTCAAACCTGAACTATCAAAGAAAGGTTCAGCACTGTGAGTTGAATGCAAACATCACGAAGAGGGTTCTGAGAATGCTTCTGTCTTCTTTTTGTAGAAAGTTATCTCCTTTACTACGGTAGGCCTCAAAGAAGTGCAATGATCCCCTTGCAGTTTCTACAAAAAGAGTGTTTCAAACCTGAACTATCAAAGAAAGGTTCCACACTGTGAGTTGAACGCAGACATCACGAAGAAGGTTCTGAGAATGCTTCTGTTTAGTCAGCTGAAATTATCCCGTTTCCAACGAATTCCTCAGAGAGGTCCACATATGCACTTGCAGATTCTGCAGAAAGTGTGTTTCTAAACTGCTACATCACAAGGAGTGTTCAGCTCTGTTTGCTCAACTCAATCATCCCAAAGAATTTTCTGAGAAAGCTTCTGTCTAGATGTCATGTGAAGATATACCCGTTTCGAACGAAGGACACAGAGTGGTCCAAATATCCACTTGTAGATCCTGCAAAAAGAGTGTTTCAAACGTGAACTTGGAAAGGAAAGTTCAACTCAGGGATTTGAATGCAAACATCACAAAGAAGATTCTGAGACTGCTTCTGTATAGTTTTGATGTGAAGATGATTCCGTTTCCAACGAAATCTTCAAAGAGGTCTACATGTCCCCTTGCGGATGCCACAGAAAGAGAGTTTCAAAACTGCGCTCTCAAAAGGAGTGTTCAACTCCGTGAGTTGAATGCAGTCATCACAGAGAAGCTTCTGAGAATGCTTCTATCTAGTATTTAGGTGAAGATATTTCCTTTTCCACCACAAACCACAAAGCCCTCCAAACGTCCACTTGCAGATTCTAGAAAAAGAGTGTTTCATAGCTGCTCTTTCCAAAGGAAAGTTCAACTCTGGGAGTTGAATACAAACATCACCAAAAAGTTCCTGAGAATGCATCTGTCTAGTTTTTCTATGAAGCTATTCCCTTTACTACCATAGGCCTCAAAGCGCTCCGAATCTCCACTTGCACATTCCACAAGAAGAGTGTTTCCAAACTGCTCTATCAATAGGAATGTTCAACTCTGTGAGGTGAATGCAATCATCACAAAGCAGTTTCTGAGAATGCTTCCGTTTAGTTAGGTGCAGTTATCCCGTTTCCAACGAAATCCTCAGAGAGGTCCAAATATCCACTTGTAGATTCTACAAAAAGTGTGTCTCAAACCTGCTCCATCCAGAGGAATGTTCAGCTCTGTGATTTAAACTCAATCATCACAAAGTATTTTCTGAGAATGCTTCTGTCTAGATTTTATGCGAAGATATACCCGTTTCGAACGAAGGCCACAGAGTGGTCCAAATAGCCACTTGCAGATCCTACAGAAAGAGTGTTTCAAACCTGAACTATCAAAGGAAGGTTCAACTCTGGGATTTGAATGCAAACATCACCAAGAAGTTTCTGAGAATGCTTCTGTTTAGTTTTTATGTGAAGATATTCCCGTTTCCAAAGACATCTTCGGAGAGGTCCACATATCCACTTGCAGATTCCACAAAAAGAGAGTTTCAACACTGCTCTATCCATAGGAGGGTTCAACTCTGTGAGTTGAATGCAATCATCACAGAGAAGTTTCTGAGAAGGCTTCTCTCCAGTTTTTATGTGACCATAATTCGTTTTCCACCACAGGCCTGAAAGCGCTCCAAATGTCCACTTGCAGACACTACGAAAAGCATGTTTCAGAACTACTCTATGAAAAGCAACGTGAAACTCTGGGAGTTGAACACAAACATCACAGAGAAGTTTCTGAGAATGCTTCTGTTTTAGTTCTGTGCGTTTTATCCCGTTTCCAACGAAATCCTCAGAGAGGCCCAAATATCCACTTGCAGATTCCACAGAAAGAGTGATTGGAAACTGCTGTTTGAAAAGGAACCTTCAACTCTGTGAGTTGAATGCAATCATCACAAAGAAGTTTCTGACAATGCTTCTGTTTTAGTTCTGTGCGGTTTATCCCGTTTCCAACGAAATCCTCAGAGAGGACCAAACATCCACTTGCAGTTTCTACAAAAAGAGTGTTTCAAAGCTGCACTATCAAAGAAAGGTTCAGCACTGTGAGTTGAATGCAAACATCACGAAGAGGGCTCTGAGAATTCTTCTGTTTAGTTCTGTGCGGTTTATCCCGTTTCCAACGAAATCCTCAGAGAGGACCAAATATCCACTTGCAGTTTCTACAAGAAGAGTGTTTCAAAGCTGAACTATCAAAGAAAGGTTCAGCACTGTGAGTTGAATGCAAACATCACGAAGAGGGTTCTGAGAATGCTTCTGTCTTCTTTCTATAGGAAGTTATTTCCTTTACTACGGTAGGCCTCAAAGAAGTGCAATTATCCCCTTGCAGTTTCTACAAAAAGAGTGTTTCAAACCTGAACTATCAAAGAAAGGTTCCACACTGTGAGTTGAATGCAGACATCACGAAGAAGGTTCTGAGAATGCTTCTGTTTAGTCAGCTGAAATTATCCCGTTTCCAACGAATTCCTCAGAGAGGTCCAAATATGCACTTGCAGATTCTGCAGAAAGTGTGTTTCTAAACTGCTACATCGCAAGGAATGTTCAGCTCTGTGAGTTCCACTCAATCATCCCAAAGAATTTTCTGAGAAAGCTTCTGTCTAGATGTCGTGTGAAGATATACCCGTTTCGAACGAAGGACACAGAGTGGTCCAAATATCCACTTGTAGATCCTGCAAAAAGAGTGTTTCAAACGTGAACTTTGAAAGGAAAGTTCAACTCTGGGATTTGAATGCAAACATCACAAAGAAGATTCTGAGACTGCTTCTGTATAGTTTTTATGTGAAGATGATTCCGTTTCCAACGAAATCTTCAAAGAGGTCTACATGTCCCCTTGCAGATGCCACAGAAAGAGAGTTTCAAAACTACGCTCTCAAAAGGAGTGTTCAACTCCGTGAGTTGAATGCAGTCATCACAGAGAAGCTTCTGAGAATGCTTCTCTCTAGTATTTCGGTGAAGATATTTCCTTTTCCACCACAAACCACAAAGCCCTCCAAACGTCCACTTGCAGATTCTAGAAAAAGAGTGTTTCATAGCTGCTCTTTCCAAAGGAAAGTTCAACTCTGGGAGTTGAATACAAACATCACCAAAAAGTTCCTGAGAATGCATCTGTCTAGTTTTTCTATGAAGCTATTCCCTTTACTATCATAGGCCTCAAAGCGCTCCAAATCTCCACTTGCACATTCCACAACAAGAGTGTTTCCAAACTGCTCTATCAATAGGAATGTTCAACTCTGTGAGGTGAATGCAATCATCACAAAGCAGTTTCTGAGAATGCTTCCGTTTAGTTAGGTGCAGTTATCCCGTTTCCAACGAAATCCTCAGAGAGGTCCAAATATCCACTTGTAGATTCTACAAAAAGTGTGTCTCAAACCTGCTCCATCCAAAGGAATGTTCAGCTCTGTGATTTAAACTCAATCATCACAAAGTATTTTCTGAGAATGCTTTCTGTCTAGATTTTATGCGAAGATATACCCGTTTCGAACGAAGGCCACAGAGTGGTCCAAATAGCCACTTGCAGATCCTACAGAAAGAGTGTTTCAAACCTGAACTATCAAAGGAAGGTTCAACTCTGGGATTTGAATGCAAACATCACCAAGAAGTTTCTGAGAATGCTTCTGTTTAGTTTTTATGTGAAGATATTCCCGTTTCCAAAGACATCTTCGGAGAGGTCCACATATCCACTTGCAGGTTCCACAAAAAGAGAGTTTCAACACTGCTCTATCCATAGGAGGGTTCAACTCTGTGAGTTGAATGCAATCATCACAGAGAAGTTTCTGAGAAGGCTTCTCTCCAGTTTTTATGTGACCATAATTCGTTTTCCACCACAGGCCTGAAAGCGCTCCAAATGTCCACTTGCAGACACTACGAAAAGCATGTTTCAGAACTACTCTATGAAAAGCAACGTGAAACTCTGGGAGTTGAACACAAACATCACAGAGAAGTTTCTGAGAATGCTTCTGTTTTAGTTCTGTGCGTTTTATCCCGTTTCCAACGAAATCCTCAGAGAGGCCCAAATATCCACTTGCAGATTCCACAGAAAGAGTGATTGGAAACTGCTGTTTGAAAAGGAACCTTCAACTCTGTGAGTTGAATGCAATCATCACAAAGAAGTTTCTGACAATGCTTCTGTTTTAGTTCTGTGCGGTTTATCCCGTTTCCAACGAAATCCTCAGAGAGGACCAAACATCCACTTGCAGTTTCTACAAAAAGAGTGTTTCAAAGCTGCACTATCAAAGAAAGGTTCAGCACTGTGAGTTGAATGCAAACATCACGAAGAGGGCTCTGAGAATTCTTCTGTTTAGTTCTGTGCGGTTTATCCCGTTTCCAACGAAATCCTCAGAGAGGACCAAATATCCACTTGCAGTTTCTACAAGAAGAGTGTTTCAAAGCTGAACTATCAAAGAAAGGTTCAGCACTGTGAGTTGAATGCAAACATCACGAAGAGGGTTCTGAGAATGCTTCTGTCTTCTTTCTATAGGAAGTTATTTCCTTTACTACGGTAGGCCTCAAAGAAGTGCAATTATCCCCTTGCAGTTTCTACAAAAAGAGTGTTTCAAACCTGAACTATCAAAGAAAGGTTCCACACTGTGAGTTGAATGCAGACATCACGAAGAAGGTTCTGAGAATGCTTCTGTTTAGTCAGCTGAAATTATCCCGTTTCCAACGAATTCCTCGGAGAGGTCCAAATATGCACTTGCAGATTCTGCAGAAAGTGTGTTTCTAAACTGCCACATCGCAAGGAATGTTCAGCTCTGTGAGTTCCACTCAATCATCCCAAAGAATTTTCTGAGAAAGCTTCTGTCTAGATGTCATGTGAAGATATACCCGTTTCGAACGAAGGACACAGAGTGGTCCAAATATCCACTTGTAGATCCTGCAAAAAGAGTGTTTCAAACGTGAACTTTGAAAGGAAAGTTCAACTCTGGGATTTGAATGCAAACACCACAAAGAAGATTCTGAGACTGCTTCTGTATAGTTTTTATGTGAAGATGATTCCGTTTCCAACGAAATCTTCAAAGAGGTCTACATGTCCCCTTGCAGATGCCACAGAAAGAGAGTTTCAAAACTGCGCTCTCAAAAGGAGTGTTCAACTCCGTGAGTTGAATGCAGTCATCACAGAGAAGCTTCTGAGAATGCTTCTCTCTAGTATTTAGGTGAAGATATTTCCTTTTCCACCACAAACCACAAAGCCCTCCAAACGTCCACTTGCAGATTCTAGAAAAAGAGTGTTTCATAGCTGCTCTTTCCAAAGGAAAGTTCAACTCTGGGAGTTGAATACAAACATCACCAAAAAGTTCCTGAGAATGCATCTGTCTAGTTATTCTATGAAGCTATTCCCTTTACTACCATAGGCCTCAAAGCGCTCCAAATCTCCACTTGCACATTCCACAACAAGAGTGTTTCCAAACTGCTCTATCAATAGGAATGTTCAACTCTGTGAGGTGAATGCAATCATCACAAAGCAGTTTCTGAGAATGCTTCCGTTTAGTTAGGTGCAGTTATCCCGTTTCCAACGAAATCCTCAGAGAGGTCCAAATATCCACTTGTAGATTCTACAAAAAGTGTGTCTCAAACCTGCTCCATCCAAAGGAATGTTCAGCTCTGTGAGTTAAACTCAATCATCACAAAGTATTTTGTGAGAATGCTTCTGTCTAGATTTTATGCGAAGATGTACCCGTTTCGAACGAAGGCCACAGAGTGGTCCAAATATCCACTTGCAGATCCTACAAAAAGAGTGTTTCAAACCTGAACTCTCAAAGGAAGGTTCAACTCTGGGATTTGAATGCAAACATCACCAAGAAGTTTCTGAGAATGCTTCTGTTTAGTTTTTATGTGAAGATATTCCCGTTGCCAAAGACATCTTCGGAGAGGTCCACATATCCGCTTGCAGATTCCACAAAAAGAGAGTTTCAACACTGCTCTATCCATAGGAGGGTTCAACTCTGTGAGTTGAATGCAATCATCACAGAGAAGTTTCTGAGAAGGCTTCTCTCCAGTTTTTATGTGACCATAATTCGTTTTCCACCACAGGCCTGAAAGCGCTCCAAATGTCCACTTGCAGACACTACGAAAAGCATGTTTCAGAACTACTCTATGAGAAGCAATGTGAAACTCTGGGAGTTGAACACAAACATCACAGAGAAGTTTCTGAGAATGCTTCTGTTTAACTTTTCTGTGAAGATTCTCCCGTTTCCAACGAAATCTTCAAAGAGGTCCAAATATCCACTTGCAGATTCCACAGAAAGAGTGATTGGAAACTGCTCTTTGAAAAGGAACCTTCAACTCTGTGACTTGAATGCAATCATCACAAAGAAGTTTCTGACAATGCTTCTATCTAGCTTTTACAGGAAGATAATTCCTTTTCCACCACAGGCCTCAAAGCCCTCCAAATGTCCACTTGCATATTGTGGAAAAAGACTGTTTCAAAGCTTCTCTCACGAAAGGAAAGTTCAACTCTGTGAGTTGAATGCAAGCATCACAAAGAAGTTTCTGAGAATGCTACTGTCTAGCTTTTATATGAAGCTATTTCCTTTACTACCATAGACCTCAAAGCGGTCCATATCTCCACTTGCAGATTCTACACAAAGAGAGTTTCCAAACTGCTCTGTCAAAGGGAATGTTCAACTCTGTGACTTGAATGCAATCATCACAAAGTAGTTTCTGAGAATGCTTCTGTTTAGTTCTGTGCGGTTTATCCCGTTTCCAACGAAATCCTCAGAGAGGCCTAAATATCCACTTGCACATTCTACAAATAGTGTGTTTCGAAACTGCTCCATCCAAAGGAATGTTCAGCTCTGTGAGTTAAACTCAGTCGTCACCAAGAGTTTTCTGTGAATGCTTCTGTTTTAGTTCTGTGCGGGTTATCCCGTTTCCAACGAAATCCTCAGAGAGGTCCAAATATCTACTTGCAGTTTCTACAGAAAGACCGTTTCAAACCTGAACTATCAAAGAAAGGTTCAACACTGTGAGTTGAATGCAAACATCACGAAGAAGGTTCTGAGAATGCTTCTGTTTAGTTCTGTGCAGTTTATCCCGTTTCCAACGAATTCCTCAGAGAGGACCAAATATCCACTTGCAGTTTCTACAAAAAGAGTGTTTCAAAGCTGAACTATCAAAGAAAGGTTCAGCACTGTGAGTTGAATGCAAACATCACGAAGAGGGTTCTGAGAATGCTTCTGTCTTCTTTTTATAGGAAGTTATTTCCTTTACTACGGTACTCCTCAAAGAGTGCAATTATCCCCTTGCAGTTTCTACAAAAAGAGTGTTTCAAACCTGAACTATCAAAGAAAGGTTCCACACTGTGAGTTGAATGCAGACATCACGAAGAAGGTTCTGAGAATGCTTCTGTTTAGTCAGCTGAAATTATCCCGTTTCCAACGAATTCCTCACAGAGGTCCAAATATGCACTTGCAGATTCTGCAGAAAGTGTGTTTCTAAACTGCTACATCGCAAGGAATGCTCAGCTCTGTGAGTTCAACTCAATCATCCCAAAGAATTTTCTGAGAAAGCTTCTGTCTAGATGTCATGTGAAGATATACCCGTTTCGAACGAAGGACACAGAGTGGTCCAAATATCCACTTGTAGATCCTGCAAAAAGAGTGTTTCAAACGTGAACTTTGAAAGGAAAGTTCAACTCGGGGATTTGAATGCAAACATCACAAAGAAGATTCTGAGACTGCTTCTGTATAGTTTTGATGTGAAGATGATTCCGTTTCCAACGAAATCTTCAAAGAGGTCTACATGTCCCCTTGCAGATGCCACAGAAAGAGAGTTTCAAAACTGCGCTCTCAAAAGGAGTGTTCAACTCCGTGAGTTGAATGCAGTCATCACAGAGAAGCTTCTGAGAATGCTTCTATCTAGTATTTAGGTGAAGATATTTCCTTTTCCACCACAAACCACAAAGCCTTCCAAACGTCCACTTGCAGATTCTAGAAAAAGAGTGTTTCATAGCTGCTCTTTCCAAAGGAAAGTTCAACTCTGGGAGTTGAATACAAACATCACCAAAAAGTTCCTGAGAATGCATCTGTCTAGTTTTTCTATGAAGCTATTCCCTTTACTACCATAGGCCTCAAAGCGCTCCAAATCTCCACTTGCACATTCCACAAGAAGAGTGTTTCCAAACTGCTCTATCAATAGGAATGTTCAACTCTGTGAGGTGAATGCAATCATCACAAAGCAGTTTCTGAGAATGCTTCCGTTTAATTAGGTGCAGTTATCCCGTTTCCAACGAAATCCTCAGAGAGGTCCAAATATCCACTTGTAGATTCTACAAAAAGTGTGTCTCAAACCTGCTCCATCCAAAGGAATGTTCAGCTCTGTGAGTTCAACTCAATCATCACAAAGTATTTTCTGAGAATGCTTCTGTCTAGATTTTATGCGAAGATGTACCCGTTTCGAACGAAGGCCACAGAGTGGTCCAAATATCCACTTGCAGATCCTACAAAAAGAGTGTTTCAAACCTGAACTCTCAAAGGAAGGTTCAACTCTGGGATTTGAATGCAAACATCACCAAGAAGTTTCTGAGAATGCTTCTGTTTAGTTTTTATGTGAAGATATTCCCGTTTCCAAAGACATCTTCGGAGAGGTCCACATATCCACTTGCAGATTCCACAAAAAGAGAGTTTCAACACTGCTCTATCCATAGGAGGGTTCAACTCTGTGAGTTGAATGCAATCATCACAGAGAAGTTTCTGAGAAGGCTCTCTCCAGTTTTTATGTGACCATAATTCGTTTTCCACCACAGGCCTGAAAGCGCTCCAAATGTCCACTTGCAGACACTACGAAAAGCATGTTTCAGAACTACTCTATGAAAAGCAACGTGAAACTCTGGGAGTTGAACACAAACATCACAGAGAAGTTTCTGAGAATGCTTCTGTTTAGCTTTTCTGTGAAGATTCTCCCGTTTCCAACGAAATCTTCAAAGAGGTCGAAATATCCACTTGCAGATTCCACAGAAAGAGTGATTGGAAACTGCTGTTTGAAAAGGAACCTTCAACTCTGTGAGTTGAATGCAATCATCACAAAGAAGTTTCTGACAATGCTTCTATCTAGCTTTTACGGGAAGATAATTCCTTTTCCACCACAGGCCTCAAAGCTCCCCAAATGTCCACTTGCACATTCTGGAAAAAGAGTGTTTCAAAGCTTCTCTCTCGAAAGGAAAGTTCAACTCTGTGAGTTGAATGCAAGCATCACAAAGAAGTTTCTGAGAATGCTACTGTCTAGCTTTTATATGAAGCTATTTCCTTTACTACCATAGGCCTCAAAGCGGTCCATATCTCCACTTGCAGATTCTACACAAAGAGAGTTTCCAAACTGCTCTGTCAAAGGGAATGTTCAACTCTGTGACTTGAATGCAATCATCACAAAGTAGTTTCTGAGAATGCTTCTGTTTAGTTCTGTGCGGTTTATCCCGTTTCCAACGAAATCCTCAGAGAGGCCTAAATATCCACTTGCACATTCTACAAATAGTGTGTTTCGAAACTGCTCCATGCAAAGGAATGTTCAGCTCTGTGAGTTAAACTCAGTCGTCACCAAGAGTTTTCTGTGAATGCTTCTGTTTTAGTTCTGTGCGGGTTATCCCGTTTCCAACGAAATCCTCAGAGAGGTCCAAATATCTACTTGCAGTTTCTACAGAAAGACCGTTTCAAACCTGAACTATCAAAGAAAGGTTCAACACTGTGAGTTGAATGCAAACATCACGAAGAAGGTTCTGAGAATGCTTCTGTTTAGTTCTGTGCGGTTTATCCCGTTTCCAACGAAATCCTCAGAGAGGACCAAATATCCACTTGCAGTTTCTACAAGAAGAGTGTTTCAAAGCTGAACTATCAAAGAAAGGTTCAGCACTGTGTGTTGAATGCAAACATCACGAAGAGGGTTCTGAGAATGCTTCTGTCTTCTTTCTATAGGAAGTTATTTCCTTTACTACGGTAGGCCTCAAAGAAGTGCAATTATCCCCTTGCAGTTTCTACAAAAAGAGTGTTTCAAACCTGAACTATCAAAGAAAGGTTCCACACTGTGAGTTGAATGCAGACATCACGAAGAAGGTTCTGAGAATGCTTCTGTTTAGTCAGCTGAAATTATCCCGTTTCCAACGAATTCCTCACAGAGGTCCAAATATGCACTTGCAGATTCTGCAGAAAGTGTGTTTCTAAACTGCTACATCGCAAGGAATGTTCAGCTCTGTGAGTTCCACTCAATCATCCCAAAGAATTTTCTGAGAAAGCTTCTGTCTAGATGTCGTGTGAAGATATACCCGTTTCGAACGAAGGACACAGAGTGGTCCAAATATCCACTTGTAGATCCTGCAAAAAGAGTGTTTCAAACGTGAACTTTGAAAGGAAAGTTCAACTCTGGGATTTGAATGCAAACATCACAAAGAAGATTCTGAGACTGCTTCTGTATAGTTTTTATGTGAAGATGATTCCGTTTCCAACGAAATCTTCAAAGAGGTCTACATGTCCCCTTGCAGATGCCACAGAAAGAGAGTTTCAAAACTGCGCTCTCAAAAGGAGTGTTCAACTCCGTGAGTTGAATGCAGTCATCACAGAGAAGCTTCTGAGAATGCTTCTATCTAGTATTTAGGTGAAGATATTTCCTTTTCCACCACAAACCACAAAGCCCTCCAAACGTCCACTTGCAGATTCTAGAAAAAGAGTGTTTCATAGCTGCTCTTTCCAAAGGAAAGTTCAACTCTGGGAGTTGAATACAAACATCACCAAAAAGTTCCTGAGAATGCATCTGCCTAGTTTTTATATGAAGCTATTCCCTTTAGTACCATAGGCCTCAAAGCGCTCCAAATCTCCACTTGCAGATTCTCCAACAAGAGTGTTTCCAAACTGCTCTCTCAATAGGAATGTTCAACTCTGTGAGGTGAATGCAATCATCACAAAGTAGTTTCTGAGAATGCTTCTGTTTAGTTAGGTGCAGTTATCCCGTTTCCAACGAAATCCTCAGAGAGGTCCAAATATCCACTTGCAGATTCTACAAAAAGTGTGTTTCAAACCTGCTCCATCCAAAGGAATGTTCAGCTCTGTGAGTTAAACTCAATCATCACAAAGTATTTTCTGAGAATGCTTCTGTCTAGATTTTATGTGAAGATGTACCCGTTTCGAACGAAGGCCACAGAGTGGTCCAAATATCCACTTGCAGATCCTACAAAAAGAGTGTTTCAAACCTGAACTATCACAGGAAGGTTCAACTCTGGGATTTGAATGCAAACATCACCAAGAAGTTTCTGAGAATGCTTCTGTTTAGTTTTTATGTGAAGATATTCCCGTTTCCAAAGACATCTTCGGAGAGGTCCACATATCCACTTGCAGATTCCACAAAAAGAGAGTTTCAAGAATGCTCTATCCATAGGAGGGTTCAAATCTGTGAGTTGAATGCAATCATCACAGAGAAGTTTCTGAGAAGGCTTCTCTCCAGTTTTTATGTGACCATAATTCGTTTTCCACCACAGGCCTGAAAGCGCTCCAAATGTCCACTTGCAGACACTACGAAAAGCATGTTTCAGAACTACTCTATGAAAAGCAACGTGAAACTCTGGGAGTTGAACACAAACATCACAGAGAAGTTCTGAGAATGCTTCTGTTTAGCTTTTCTGTGAAGATTATCCCGTTTCCAACAAAATCTTCAAAATAGGTCCAAATATCCACTTGCAGATTCCACAGAAAGAGTGATTGGAAACTGCTGTTTGAAAAGGAACCTTCAACTCTGTGAATTGAATGCAATCATCACAAAGAAGTTTCTGACAATGCTTCCATCTAGCTTTTACGGGAAGATAATTCCTTTTCCACCACAGGCCTCAAAGCCCTCCAAATGTCCACTTGCAGATTCTGGAAAAAGAGTGTTTCAAAGCTTCTCTCTCGAAAGGAAAGTTCAACTCTGTGAGTTGAATGCAAGCATCACAAAGAAGTTTCTGAGAATGCTACTGTCTAGCTTTTATATGAAGCTATTTCCTTTACTACCATAGGCCTCAAAGCGGTCCATATCTCCACTTGCAGATTCTACACAAAGAGAGTTTCCAAACTGCTCTGTCAAAGGGAATGTTCAACTCTGTGACTTGAATGCAATCATCACAAAGTAGTTTCTGAGAATACTTCTCTTTAGTTCTGTGCGGTTTATCCCGTTTCCAACGAAATCCTCAGAGAGGCCCAAATATCCACTTGCACATTCTACAAATAGTGTGTTTCGAAACTGCTCCATCCAAAGGAATGTTCAGCTCTGTGAGTTAAACTCAGTCGTCACCAAGAGTTTTCTGTGAATGCTTCTGTTTTAGTTCTGTGCGGTTTATCCCGTTTCCAACGAAATCCTCAGAGAGGTCCAAATATCTACTTGCAGTTTCTACAGAAAGACCGTTTCCAACCTGAACTATCAAAGAAAGGTTCAACACTGTGAGTTGAATGCAAACATCACGAAGAAGGTTCTGAGAATGCTTCTGTTTAGTTCTGTGCGGTTTATCCCGTTTCCAACGAAATCCTCAGAGAGGCCCAAATATCCACTTGCAGTTTCTACAAAAAGAGTGTTTCAAAGCTGAACTATCAAAGAAAGGTTCAGCACTGTGAGTTGAATGCAAACATCACGAAGAAGGTTCTGAGAATGCTTCTGTTTTGTTCTGTGCGGTTTATCCCGTTTCCAATGAAATCCTCAGAGAGGACCAAATATCCATTTGCACTTTCTACAAAAAGAGTGTTTCAAAGCTGATCTATCAAAGAAAGGTTCAGCAGTGTGAGTTGAATGCAAACATCAAGAAGAGGGTTCTGAGAATGCTTCTGTCTTCTTTTTATAGGAAGTTATTTCCTTTACTACGGTAGGCCTCAAAGAAGTGCAATTATCCCCTTGCAGTCTCTACAAAAAGAGTGTTTCAAACCTGAACTATCAAAGAAAGTTTCCACACTGTGAGTTGAATGCAGACATCACGAAGAAGGTTCTGAGAATGCTTCTGTTTAGTCAGCTGAAATTATCCCGTTTCCAACGAATTCCTCAGAGAGGTCCAAATATGCACTTGCAGATTCTGCAGAAAGTGTGTTTCTAAACTGCTACATCGCAAGGAATGTTCAGCTCTGTGAGTTCAACTCAATCATCCCAAAGAATTTTCTGAGAAAGCTTCTGTCTAGATGTCATGTGAAGATATACCCGTTTCGAACGAAGGACACAGAGTGGTCCAAATATCCACTTGTAGATCCTGCAAAAAGAGTGTTTCAAACGTGAACTTTGAAAGGAAAGTTCAACTCTGGGATTTGAATGCAAACATCACAAAGAAGATTCTGAGACTGCTTCTGTATAGTTTTTATGTGAAGATGATTCCGTTTCCAACGAAATCTTCAAAGAGGTCTACATGTCCCCTTGCAGATGCCACAGAAAGGGAGTTTCAAAACTGCGCTCTCAAAAGGAGTGTTCAACTCCGTGAGTTGAATGCAGTCATCACAGAGAAGCTTCTGAGAATGCTTCTCTCTAGTATTTAGGTGAAGATATTTCCTTTTCCACCACAAACCACAAAGCCCTCCAAACGTCCACTTGCAGATTCTAGAAAAAGAGTGTTTCATAGCTGCTCTTTCCAAAGGAAAGTTCAACTCTGGGAGTTGAATACAAACATCACCAAAAAGTTCCTGAGAATGCATCTGTCTAGTTTTTCTATGAAGCTATTCCCTTTACTACCATAGGCCTCAAAGCGCTCCAAATCTCCACTTGCACATTCCACAACAAGAGTGTTTCCAAACTGCTCTATCAATAGGAATGTTCAACTCTGTGAGGTGAATGCAATCATCACAAAGCAGTTTCTGAGAATGCTTCCGTTTAGTTAGGTGCAGTTATCCCGTTTCCAACGAAATCCTCAGAGAGGTCCAAATATCCACTTGTAGATTCTACAAAAAGTGTGTCTCAAACCTGCTCCATCCAAAGGAATGTTCAGCTCTGTGATTTAAACTCAATCATCACAAAGTATTTTCTGAGAATGCCTCTGTCTAGATTTTATGCGAAGATATACCCGTTTCGAACGAAGGCCACAGAGTGGTCCAAATAGCCACTTGCAGATCCTACAAAAAGAGTGTTTCAAACCTGAACTATCAAAGGAAGGTTCAACTCTGGGATTTGAATGCAAACATCACCAAGAAGTTTCTGAGAATGCTTCTGTTTAGTTTTTATGTGAAGATATTCCCGTTTCCAAAGACATCTTCGGAGAGGTCCACATATCCACTTGCAGATTCCACAAAAAGAGAGTTTCAACACTGCTCTATCCATAGGAGGGTTCAACTCTGTGAGTTGAATGCAATCATCACAGAGAAGTTTCTGAGAAGGCTTCTCTCCAGTTTTTATGTGACCATAATTCGTTTTCCACCACAGGCCTGAAAGCGCTCCAAATGTCCACTTGCAGACACTACGAAAAGCATGTTTCAGAACTACTCTATGAAAAGCAACGTGAAACTCTGGGAGTTGAACACAAACATCACAGAGAAGTTTCTGAGAATGCTTCTGTTTTAGTTCTGTGCGTTTTATCCCGTTTCCAACGAAATCCTCAGAGAGGCCCAAATATCCACTTGCAGATTCCACAGAAAGAGTGATTGGAAACTGCTGTTTGAAAAGGAACCTTCAACTCTGTGAGTTGAATGCAATCATCACAAAGAAGTTTCTGACAATGCTTCTGTTTTAGTTCTGTGCGGTTTATCCCGTTTCCAACGAAATCCTCAGAGAGGACCAAACATCCACTTGCAGTTTCTACAAAAAGAGTGTTTCAAAGCTGCACTATCAAAGAAAGGTTCAGCACTGTGAGTTGAATGCAAACATCACGAAGAGGGCTCTGAGAATTCTTCTGTTTAGTTCTGTGCGGTTTATCCCGTTTCCAACGAAATCCTCAGAGAGGACCAAATATCCACTTGCAGTTTCTACAAGAAGAGTGTTTCAAAGCTGAACTATCAAAGAAAGGTTCAGCACTGTGAGTTGAATGCAAACTTCACGAAGAGGGTTCTGAGAATGCTTCTGTCTTCTTTCTATAGGAAGTTATTTCCTTTACTACGGTAGGCCTCAAAGAAGTGCAATTATCCCCTTGCAGTTTCTACAAAAAGAGTGTTTCAAACCTGAACTATCAAAGAAAGGTTCCACACTGTGAGTTGAATGCAGACATCACGAAGAAGGTTCTGAGAATGCTTCTGTTTAGTCAGCTGAAATTATCCCGTTTCCAACGAATTCCTCAGAGAGGTCCAAATATGCACTTGCAGATTCTGCAGAAAGTGTGTTTCTAAACTGCTACATTACAAGGAATGTTCAGCTCTGTGAGTTCCACTCAATCATCCCAAAGAATTTTCTGAGAAAGCTTCTGTCTAGATGTCATGTGAAGATATACCCGTTTCGAACGAAGGACACAGAGTGGTCCAAATATCCACTTGTAGATCCTGCAAAAAGAGTGTTTCAAACGTGAACTTTGAAAGGAAAGTTCAACTCTGGGATTTGAATGCAAACATCACAAAGAAGATTCTGAGACTGCTTCTGTATAGTTTTTATGTGAAGATGATTCCGTTTCCAACGAAATCTTCAAAGAGGTCTACATGTCCCCTTGCAGATGCCACAGAAAGAGAGTTTCAAAACTGCGCTCTCAAAAGGAGTGTTCAACTCCGTGAGTTGAATGCAGTCATCACAGAGAAGCTTCTGAGAATGCTTCTATCTAGTATTTAGGTGAAGATATTTCCTTTTCCACCACAAACCACAAAGCCCTCCAAACGTCCACTTGCAGATTCTAGAAAAAGAGTGTTTCATAGCTGCTCTTTCCAAAGGAAAGTTCAACTCTGGGGGTTGAATACAAACATGACCAAAAAGTTCCTGAGAATGCATCTGTCTAGTTTTTCTATGAAGCTATTCCCTTTACTACCATAGGCCTCAAAGCGCTCCAAATCTCCACTTGCACATTCCACAACAAGAGTGTTTCCAAACTGCTCTATCAATAGGAATGTTCAACTGCTGTGAGGTGAATGCAATCATCACAAAGCAGTTTCTGAGAATGCTTCCGTTTAGTTAGGTGCAGTTATCCCGTTTCCAACGAAATCCTCAGAGAGGTCCAAATATCCACTTGTAGATTCTACAAAAAGTGTGTCTCAAACCTGCTCCATCCAAAGGAATGGTCAGCTCTGTGATTTAAACTCAATCATCACAAAGTATTTTCTGAGAATGCTTCTGTCTAGATTTTATGCGAAGATATACCCGTTTCGAACGAAGGCCACAGAGTGGTCCAAATAGCCACTTGCAGATCCTACAAAAAGAGTGTTTCAAACCTGAACTATCAAAGGAAGGTTCAACTCTGGGATTTGAATGGAAACATCACCAAGAAGTTTCTGAGAATGCTTCTGTTTAGTTTTTATGTGAAGATATTCCCGTTTCCAAAGACATCTTCGGAGAGGTCCACATATCCACTTGCAGATTCCACAAAAAGAGAGTTTCAACACTGCTCTATCCATAGGAGGGTTCAACTCTGTGAGTTGAATGCAATCATCACAGAGAAGTTTCTGAGAAGGCTTCTCTCCAGTTTTTATGTGACCATAATTCGTTTTCCACCACAGGCCTGAAAGCGCTCCAAATGTCCACTTGCAGACACTACGAAAAGCATGTTTCAGAACTACTCTATGAAAAGCAACGTGAAACTCTGGGAGTTGAACACAAACATCACAGAGAAGTTTCTGAGAATGCTTCTGTTTTAGTTCTGTGCGTTTTATCCCGTTTCCAACGAAATCCTCAGAGAGGCCCAAATATCCACTTGCAGATTCCACAGAAAGAGTGATTGGAAACTGCTGTTTGAAAAGGAACCTTCAACTCTGTGAGTTGAATGCAATCATCACAAAGAAGTTTCTGACAATGCTTCTGTTTTAGTTCTGTGCGGTTTATCCCGTTTCCAACGAAATCCTCAGAGAGGACCAAACATCCACTTGCAGTTTCTACAAAAAGAGTGTTTCAAAGCTGCACTATCAAAGAAAGGTTCAGCACTGTGAGTTGAATGCAAACATCACGAAGAGGGCTCTGAGAATTCTTCTGTTTAGTTCTGTGCGGTTTATCCCGTTTCCAACGAAATCCTCAGAGAGGACCAAATATCCACTTGCAGTTTCTACAAGAAGAGTGTTTCAAAGCTGAACTATCAAAGAAAGGTTCAGCACTGTGAGTTGAATGCAAACATCACGAAGAGGGTTCTGAGAATGCTTCTGTCTTCTTTCTATAGGAAGTTATTTCCTTTACTACGGTAGGCCTCAAAGAAGTGCAATTATCCCCTTGCAGTTTCTACAAAAAGAGTGTTTCAAACCTGAACTATCAAAGAAAGGTTCCACACTGTGAGTTGAATGCAGACATCACGAAGAAGGTTCTGAGAATGCTTCTGTTTAGTCAGCTGAAATTATCCCGTTTCCAACGAATTCCTCAGAGAGGTCCAAATATGCACTTGCAGATTCTGCAGAAAGTGTGTTTCTAAACTGCTACATCGCAAGGAATGTTCAGCTCTGTGAGTTCCACTCAATCATCCCAAAGAATTTTCTGAGAAAGCTTCTGTCTAGCTGTCATGTGAAGATATACCCGTTTCGAACGAAGGACACAGAGTGGTCCAAATATCCACTTGTAGATCCTGCAAAAAGAGTGTTTCAAACGTGAACTTTGAAAGGAAAGTTCAACTCTGGGATTTGAATGCAAACATCACAAAGAAGATTCTGAGACTGCTTCTGTATAGTTTTTATATGAAGATGATTCCGTTTCCAACGAAATCTTCAAAGAGGTCTACATGTCCCCTTGCAGATGCCACATAAAGAGAGTTTCAAAACTGTGCTCTCAAAAGGAGTGTTCAACTCCGTGAGTTGAATGCAGTCATCACAGAGAAGCTTCTGAGAATGCTTCTATCTAGTATTTAGGTGAAGATATTTCCTTTTCCACCACAAACCACGAAGCCCTCCAAACGTCCACTTGCAGATTCTAGAAAAAGAGTGTTTCATAGCTGCTCTTTCCAAAGGAAAGTTCAAATCTGGGAGATGAATACAAACATCACCAAAAAGTTCCTGAGAATGCATCTGTCTAGTTTTTCTATGAAGCTATTCCCTTTACTACCATAGGCCTCAAAGCGCTCCAAATCTCCACTTGCACATTCCACAACAAGAGTGTTTCCAAACTGCTCTATCAATAGGAATGTTCAACTCTGTGAGGTGAATGCAATCATCACAAAGCAGTTTCTGAGAATGCTTCCGTTTAGTTAGGTGCAGTTATCCCGTTTCCAACGAAATCCTCAGAGAGGTCCAAATATCCACTTGTAGATTCTACAAAAAGTGTGTCTCAAACCTGCTCCATCCAAAGGAATGTTCAGCTGCTGTGAGTTAAACTCAATCATCACAAAGTATTTTCTGAGAATGCTTCTGTCTAGATTTTATGCGAAGATGTCCCCGTTTCGAACGAAGGCCACAGAGTGGTCCAAATATCCACTTGCAGATCCTACAAAAAGAGTGTTTCAAACCTGAACTATCAAAGGAAGGTTCAACTCTGGGATTTGAATGCAAACATCACCAAGAAGTTTCTGAGAATGCTTCTGTTTAGTTTTTATGTGAAGATATTCCCGTTTCCAAAGACATCTTCGGAGAGGTCCACATATCCACTTGCAGATTCCACAAAAAGAGAGTTTCAACACTGCTCTATCCATAGGAGGGTTCAACTCTGTGAGTTGAATGCAATCATCACAGAGAAGTTTCTGAGAAGGCTTCTCTCCAGTTTTTATGTGACCATAATTCGTTTTCCACCACAGGCCTGAAAGCGCTCCAAATGTCCACTTGCAGACACTACGAAAAGCATGTTTCAGAACTACTCTATGAAAAGCAACGTGAAACTCTGGGAGTTGAACACAAACATCACAGAGAAGTTTCTGAGAATGCTTCTGTTTTAGTTCTGTGCGTTTTATCCCGTTTCCAACGAAATCCTCAGAGAGGCCCAAATATCCACTTGCAGATTCCACAGAAAGAGTGATTGGAAACTGCTGTTTGAAAAGGAACCTTCAACTCTGTGAGTTGAATGCAATCATCACAAAGAAGTTTCTGACAATGCTTCTGTTTTAGTTCTGTGCGGTTTATCCCGTTTCCAACGAAATCCTCAGAGAGGACCAAACATCCACTTGCAGTTTCTACAAAAAGAGTGTTTCAAAGCTGCACTATCAAAGAAAGGTTCAGCACTGTGAGTTGAATGCAAACATCACGAAGAGGGCTCTGAGAATTCTTCTGTTTAGTTCTGTGCGGTTTATCCCGTTTCCAACGAAATCCTCAGAGAGGACCAAATATCCACTTGCAGTTTCTACAAGAAGAGTGTTTCAAAGCTGAACTATCAAAGAAAGGTTCAGCACTGTGAGTTGAATGCAAACATCACGAAGAGGGTTCTGAGAATGCTTCTGTCTTCTTTCTATAGGAAGTTATTTCCTTTACTACGGTAGGCCTCAAAGAAGTGCAATTATCCCCTTGCAGTTTCTACAAAAAGAGTGTTTCAAACCTGAACTATCAAAGAAAGGTTCCACACTGTGAGTTGAATGCAGACATCACGAAGAAGGTTCTGAGAATGCTTCTGTTTAGTCAGCTGAAATTATCCCGTTTCCAACGAATTCCTCAGAGAGGTCCAAATATGCACTTGCAGATTCTGCAGAAAGTGTGTTTCTAAACTGCTACATCGCAAGGAATGTTCAGCTCTGTGAGTTCCACTCAATCATCCCAAAGAATTTTCTGAGAAAGCTTCTGTCTAGATGTCGTGTGAAGATATACCCGTTTCGAACGAAGGACACAGAGTGGTCCAAATATCCACTTGTAGATCCTGCAAAAAGAGTGTTTCAAACGTGAACTTTGAAAGGAAAGTTCAACTCTGGGATTTGAATGCAAACATCACAAAGAAGATTCTGAGACTGCTTCTGTATAGTTTTTATGTGAAGATGATTCCGTTTCCAACGAAATCTTCAAAGAGGTCCACATGTCCCCTTGCGGATGCCACAGAAAGAGAGTTTCAAAACTGCGCTCTCAAAAGGAGTGTTCAACTCCGTGAGTTGAATGCAGTCATCACAGAGAAGCTTCTGAGAATGCTTCTATCTAGTATTTAGGTGAAGATATTTCCTTTTCCACCACAAACCACAAAGCCCTCCAAACGTCTACTTGCAGATTCTAGAAAAAGAGTGTTTCATAGCTGCTCTTTCCAAAGGAAAGTTCAACTCTGGGAGTTGAATACAAACATCACCAAAAAGTTCCTGAGAATGCATCTGTCTAGTTTTTCTATGAAGCTATTCCCTTTACTACCATAGGCCTCAAAGCGCTCCAAATCTCCACTTGCACATTCCACAACAAGAGTGTTTCCAAACTGCTCTATCAATAGGAATGTTCAACTCTGTGAGGTGAATGCAATCATCACAAAGCAGTTTCTGAGAATGCTTCCGTTTAGTTAGGTGCAGTTATCCCGTTTCCAACGAAATCCTCAGAGAGGTCCAAATATCCACTTGTAGATTCTACAAAAAGTGTGTCTCAAACCTGCTCCATCCAAAGGAATGGTCAGCTCTGTGATTTAAACTCAATCATCACAAAGTATTTTCCTGAGAATGCTTCTGTCTAGATTTTATGCGAAGATATACCCGTTTCGAACGAAGGCCACAGAGTGGTCCAAATAGCCACTTGCAGATCCTACAGAAAGAGTGTTTCAAACCTGAACTATCAAAGGAAGGTTCAACTCTGGGATTTGAATGCAAACATCACCAAGAAGTTTCTGAGAATGCTTCTGTTTAGTTTTTATGTGAAGATATTCCCGTTTCCAAAGACATCTTCGGAGAGGTCCACATATCCACTTGCAGATTCCACAAAAAGAGAGTTTCAACACTGCTCTATCCATAGGAGGGTTCAACTCTGTGAGTTGAATGCAATCATCACAGAGAAGTTTCTGAGAAGGCTTCTCTCCAGTTTTTATGTGACCATAATTCGTTTTCCACCACAGGCCTGAAAGCGCTCCAAATGTCCACTTGCAGACACTACGAAAAGCATGTTTCAGAACTACTCTATGAAAAGCAACGTGAAACTCTGGGAGTTGAACACAAACATCACAGAGAAGTTTCTGAGAATGCTTCTGTTTTAGTTCTGTGCGTTTTATCCCGTTTCCAACGAAATCCTCAGAGAGGCCCAAATATCCACTTGCAGATTCCACAGAAAGAGTGATTGGAAACTGCTGTTTGAAAAGGAACCTTCAACTCTGTGAGTTGAATGCAATCATCACAAAGAAGTTTCTGACAATGCTTCTGTTTTAGTTCTGTGCGGTTTATCCCGTTTCCAACGAAATCCTCAGAGAGGACCAAACATCCACTTGCAGTTTCTACAAAAAGAGTGTTTCAAAGCTGCACTATCAAAGAAAGGTTCAGCACTGTGAGTTGAATGCAAACATCACGAAGAGGGCTCTGAGAATTCTTCTGTTTAGTTCTGTGCGGTTTATCCCGTTTCCAACGAAATCCTCAGAGAGGACCAAATATCCACTTGCAGTTTCTACAAGAAGAGTGTTTCAAAGCTGAACTATCAAAGAAAGGTTCAGCACTGTGAGTTGAATGCAAACATCACGAAGAGGGTTCTGAGAATGCTTCTGTCTTCTTTCTATAGGAAGTTATTTCCTTTACTACGGTAGGCCTCAAAGAAGTGCAATTATCCCCTTGCAGTTTCTACAAAAAGAGTGTTTCAAACCTGAACTATCAAAGAAAGGTTCCACACTGTGAGTTGAATGCAGACATCACGAAGAAGGTTCTGAGAATGCTTCTGTTTAGTCAGCTGAAATTATCCCGTTTCCAACGAATTCCTCAGAGAGGTCCAAATATGCACTTGCAGATTCTGCAGAAAGTGTGTTTCTAAACTGCTACATCGCAAGGAATGTTCAGCTCTGTGAGTTCCACTCAATCATCCCAAAGAATTTTCTGAGAAAGCTTCTGTCTAGATGTCGTGTGAAGATATACCCGTTTCGAACGAAGGACACAGAGTGGTCCAAATATCCACTTGTAGATCCTGCAAAAAGAGTGTTTCAAACGTGAACTTTGAAAGGAAAGTTCAACTCTGGGATTTGAATGCAAACATCACAAAGAAGATTCTGAGATTGCTTCTGTATAGTTTTTATGTGAAGATGATTCCGTTTCCAACCAAATCTTCAAAGAGGTCCACATGTCCCCTTGCGGATGCCACAGAAAGAGAGTTTCAAAACTGCGCTCTCAAAAGGAGTGTTCAACTCCGTGAGTTGAATGCAGTCATCACAGAGAAGCTTCTGAGAATGCTTCTATCTAGTATTTAGGTGAAGATATTTCCTTTTCCACCACAAACCACAAAGCCCTCCAAACGTCCACTTGCAGATTCTAGAAAAAGAGTGTTTCATAGCTGCTCTTTCCAAAGGAAAGTTCAACTCTGGGAGTTGAATACAAACATCACCAAAAAGTTCCTGAGAATGCATCTGTCTAGTTTTTCTATGAAGCTATTCCCTTTACTACCATAGGCCTCAAAGCGCTCCAAATCTCCACTTGCACATTCCACAACAAGAGTGTTTCCAAACTGCTCTATCAATAGGAATGTTCAACTCTGTGAGGTGAATGCAATCATCACAAAGCAGTTTCTGAGAATGCTTCCGTTTAGTTAGGTGCAGTTATCCCGTTTCCAACGAAATCCTCAGAGAGGTCCAAATATCCACTTGTAGATTCTACAAAAAGTGTGTCTCAAACCTGCTCCATCCAAAGGAATGGTCAGCTCTGTGATTTAAACTCAATCATCACAAAGTATTTTCTGAGAATGCTTCTGTCTAGATTTTATGCGAAGATATACCCGTTTCGAACGAAGGCCACAGAGTGGTCCAAATAGCCACTTGCAGATCCTACAGAAAGAGTGTTTCAAACCTGAACTATCAAAGGAAGGTTCAACTCTGGGATTTGAATGCAAACATCACCAAGAAGTTTCTGAGAATGCTTCTGTTTAGTTTTTATGTGAAGATATTCCCGTTTCCAAAGACATCTTCGGAGAGGTCCACATATCCACTTGCAGATTCCACAAAAAGAGAGTTTCAACACTGCTCTATCCATAGGAGGGTTCAACTCTGTGAGTTGAATGCAATCATCACAGAGAAGTTTCTGAGAAGGCTTCTCTCCAGTTTTTATGTGACCATAATTCGTTTTCCACCACAGGCCTGAAAGCGCTCCAAATGTCCACTTGCAGACACTACGAAAAGCATGTTTCAGAACTACTCTATGAAAAGCAACGTGAAACTCTGGGAGTTGAACACAAACATCACAGAGAAGTTTCTGAGAATGCTTCTGTTTTAGTTCTGTGCGTTTTATCCCGTTTCCAACGAAATCCTCAGAGAGGCCCAAATATCCACTTGCAGATTCCACAGAAAGAGTGATTGGAAACTGCTGTTTGAAAAGGAACCTTCAACTCTGTGAGTTGAATGCAATCATCACAAAGAAGTTTCTGACAATGCTTCTGTTTTAGTTCTGTGCGGTTTATCCCGTTTCCAACGAAATCCTCAGAGAGGACCAAACATCCACTTGCAGTTTCTACAAAAAGAGTGTTTCAAAGCTGCACTATCAAAGAAAGGTTCAGCACTGTGAGTTGAATGCAAACATCACGAAGAGGGCTCTGAGAATTCTTCTGTTTAGTTCTGTGCGGTTTATCCCGTTTCCAACGAAATCCTCAGAGAGGACCAAATATCCACTTGCAGTTTCTACAAGAAGAGTGTTTCAAAGCTGAACTATCAAAGAAAGGTTCAGCACTGTGAGTTGAATGCAAACATCACGAAGAGGGTTCTGAGAATGCTTCTGTCTTCTTTCTATAGGAAGTTATTTCCTTTACTACGGTAGGCCTCAAAGAAGTGCAATTATCCCCTTGCAGTTTCTACAAAAAGAGTGTTTCAAACCTGAACTATCAAAGAAAGGTTCCACACTGTGAGTTGAATGCAGACATCACGAAGAAGGTTCTGAGAATGCTTCTGTTTAGTCAGCTGAAATTATCCCGTTTCCAACGAATTCCTCAGAGAGGTCCAAATATGCACTTGCAGATTCTGCAGAAAGTGTGTTTCTAAACTGCTACATCGCAAGGAATGTTCAGCTCTGTGAGTTCCACTCAATCATCCCAAAGAATTTTCTGAGAAAGCTTCTGTCTAGATGTCGTGTGAAGATATACCCGTTTCGAACGAAGGACACAGAGTGGTCCAAATATCCACTTGTAGATCCTGCAAAAAGAGTGTTTCAAACGTGAACTTTGAAAGGAAAGTTCAACTCTGGGATTTGAATGCAAACATCACAAAGAAGATTCTGAGACTGCTTCTGTATAGTTTTTATGTGAAGATGATTCCGTTTCCAACGAAATCTTCAAAGAGGTCTACATGTCCCCTTGCAGATGCCACAGAAAGAGAGTTTCAAAACTGCGCTCTCAAAAGGAGTGTTCAACTCCGTGAGTTGAATGCAGTCATCACAGAGAAGCTTCTGAGAATGCTTCTGTCTAGTATTTAGGTGAAGATATTTCCTTTTCCACCACAAACCACAAAGCCCTCCAAACGTCCACTTGCAGATTCTAGAAAAAGAGTGTTTCATAGCTGCTCTTTCCAAAGGAAAGTTCAACTCTGGGAGTTGAATACAAACATCACCAAAAAGTTCCTGAGAATGCATCTGTCTAGTTTTTCTATGAAGCTATTCCCTTTACTACCATAGGCCTCAAAGCGCTCCAAATCTCCACTTGCACATTCCACAACAAGAGTGTTTCCAAACTGCTCTATCAATAGGAATGTTCAACTCTGTGAGGTGAATGCAATCATCACAAAGCAGTTTCTGAGAATGCTTCCGTTTAGTTAGGTGCAGTTATCCCGTTTCCAACGAAATCCTCAGAGAGGTCCAAATATCCACTTGTAGATTCTACAAAAAGTGTGTCTCAAACCTGCTCCATCCAAAGGAATGGTCAGCTCTGTGATTTAAACTCAATCATCACAAAGTATTTTCTGAGAATGCTTCTGTCTAGATTTTATGCGAAGATATACCCGTTTCGAACGAAGGCCACAGAGTGGTCCAAATAGCCACTTGCAGATCCTACAGAAAGAGTGTTTCAAACCTGAACTATCAAAGGAAGGTTCAACTCTGGGATTTGAATGCAAACATCACCAAGAAGTTTCTGAGAATGCTTCTGTTTAGTTTTTATGTGAAGATATTCCCGTTTCCAAAGACATCTTCGGAGAGGTCCACATATCCACTTGCAGATTCCACAAAAAGAGAGTTTCAACACTGCTCTATCCATAGGAGGGTTCAACTCTGTGAGTTGAATGCAATCATCACAGAGAAGTTTCTGAGAAGGCTTCTCTCCAGTTTTTATGTGACCATAATTCGTTTTCCACCACAGGCCTGAAAGCGCTCCAAATGTCCACTTGCAGACACTACGAAAAGCATGTTTCAGAACTACTCTATGAAAAGCAACGTGAAACTCTGGGAGTTGAACACAAACATCACAGAGAAGTTTCTGAGAATGCTTCTGTTTTAGTTCTGTGCGTTTTATCCCGTTTCCAACGAAATCCTCAGAGAGGCCCAAATATCCACTTGCAGATTCCACAGAAAGAGTGATTGGAAACTGCTGTTTGAAAAGGAACCTTCAACTCTGTGAGTTGAATGCAATCATCACAAAGAAGTTTCTGACAATGCTTCTATCTAGCTTTTACGGGAAGATAATTCCTTTTCCACCACAGGCCTCAAAGCCCTCCAAATGTCCACTTGCAGATTCTGGAAAAAGAGTGTTTCAAAGCTTCTCTCTCGAAAGGAAAGTTCAACTCTGTGAGTTGAATGCGAGCATCACAAAGAAGTTTCTGAGAATGCTACTGTCTAGCTTTTATATGAAGCTATTTCCTTTACTACCATAGGCCTCAAAGTGGTCCATATCTCCACTTGCAGATTCTACACAAAGAGAGTTTCCAAACTGCTCTGTCAAAGGGAATGTTCAACTCTGTGACTTGAATGCAATCATCACAAAGTAGTTTCTGAGAATGCTTCTGTTTAGTTCTGTGCGGTTTATCCCGTTTCCAACGAAATCCTCAGAGAGGCCTAAATATCCACTTGCACATTCTACAAATAGTGTGTTTCGAAACTGCTCCATCCAAAGGAATGTTCAGCTCTGTGAGTTAAACTCAGTCGTCACCAAGAGTTTTCTGTGAATGCTTCTGTTTTAGTTCTGTGCGGGTTATCCCGTTTCCAACGAAATCCTCAGAGAGGTCCAAATATCTACTTGCAGTTTCTACAGAAAGACCGTTTCAAACCTGAACTATCAAAGAAAGGTTCAACACTGTGAGTTGAATGCAAACATCACGAAGAAGGTTCTGAGAATGCTTCTGTTTAGTTCTGTGCAGTTTATCCCGTTTCCAACGAAATGCTCAGAGAGGACCAAATATCCACTTGCAGTTTCTACAAAAAGAGTGTTTCAAAGCTGAACTATCAAAGAAAGGTTCAGCACTGTGAGTTGAATGCAAACATCACGAAGAGGGTTCTGAGAATGCTTCTGTCTTCTTTTTATAGGAAGTTATTTCCTTTACTACGGGTACTCCTCAAAGAGTGCAATTATCCCCTTGCAGTTTCTACAAAAAGAGTGTTTCAAACCTGAACTATCAAAGAAAGGTTCCACACTGTGAGTTGAATGCAGACATCACGAAGAAGGTTCTGAGAATGCTTCTGTTTAGTCAGCTGAAATTATCCCGTTTCCAACGAATTCCTCACAGAGGTCCAAATATGCACTTGCAGATTCTGCAGAAAGTGTGTTTCTAAACTGCTACATCGCAAGGAATGCTCAGCTCTGTGAGTTCAACTCAATCATCCCAAAGAATTTTCTGAGAAAGCTTCTGTCTAGATGTCATGTGAAGATATACCCGTTTCGAACGAAGGACACAGAGTGGTCCAAATATCCACTTGTAGATCCTGCAAAAAGAGTGTTTCAAACGTGAACTTTGAAAGGAAAGTTCAACTCGGGGATTTGAATGCAAACATCACAAAGAAGATTCTGAGACTGCTTCTGTATAGTTTTTATGTGAAGATGATTCCGTTTCCAACGAAATCTTCAAAGAGGTCTACATGTCCCCTTGCAGATGCCACAGAAAGAGAGTTTCAAAACTGCGCTCTCAAAAGGAGTGTTCAACTCCGTGAGTTGAATGCAGTCATCACAGAGAAGCTTCTGAGAATGCTTCTATCTAGTATTCAGGTGAAGATATTTCCTTTTCCACCACAAACCACAAAGCCCTCCAAACGTCCACTTGCAGATTCTAGAAAAAGAGTGTTTCATATCTGCTCTTTCCAAAGGAAAGTTCAACTCTGGGAGTTGAATACAAACATCACCAAAAAGTTCCTGAGAATGCATCTGTCTAGTTTTTCTATGAAGCTATTCCCTTTACTACCATAGGCCTCAAAGCACTCCAAATCTCCACTTGCACATTCCACAACAAGAGTGTTTCCAAACTGCTCTATCAATAGGAATGTTCAACTCTGTGAGGTGAATGCAATCATCACAAAGCAGTTTCTGGGAATGCTTCCGTTTAGTTAGGTGCAGTTATCCCGTTTCCAACGAAATCCTCAGAGAGGTCCAAATATCCTCTTGTAGATTCTACAAAAAGTGTGTCTCAAACCTGCTCCATCCAAAGGAATGTTCAGCTCTGTGAGTTCAACTCAATCATCACAAAGTATTTTCTGAGAATGCTTCTGTCTAGATTTTATGCGAAGATATACCCGTTTCGAACGAAGGCCACAGAGTGGTCCAAATATCCACTTGCAGATCCTACAAAAAGAGTGTTTCAAACCTGAACTATCAAAGGAAGGTTCAACTCTGGGATTTGAATGCAAACATCACCAAGAAGTTTCTGAGAATGCTTCTGTTTAGTTTTTATGTGAAGATATTCCCGTTTCCAAAGACATCTTCGGAGAGGTCCACATATCCACTTGCAGATTCCACAAAAAGAGAGTTTCAACACTGCTCTATCCATAGGAGGGTTCAACTCTGTGAGTTGAATGCAGTCATCACAGAGAAGTTTCTGAGAAGGCTTCTCTCCAGTTTTTATGTGACCATAATTCGTTTTCCACCACAGGCCTGAAAGCGCTCCAAATGTCCACTTGTAGACACTACGAAAAGCATGTTTCAGAACTACTCTATGAAAAGCAATGTGAAACTCTGGGAGTTGAACACAAACATCACAGAGAA
Source organism: Homo sapiens (assembly GCF_000001405.40). Classification (NCBI taxonomy): domain Eukaryota; kingdom Metazoa; phylum Chordata; class Mammalia; order Primates; family Hominidae; genus Homo; species Homo sapiens. The sequence continues at coordinate 24,965,444 of NC_000017.11, read as the reverse complement.
GTTTCTGAGAATGCTTCTGTTTAGCTTTTCTGTGAAGATTCTCCCGTTTCCAACGAAATCTTCAAAGAGGTCCAAATATCCACTTGCAGATTCCACAGAAAGAGTGTTTGGAAACTGCTGTTTGTAAAGGAACCTTCATCTCTGTGAGTTGAATGCAATCATCACAAAGAAGTTTCTGACAATGCTTCTATCTAGCTTTTACGGGAAGTTAATTCCTTTTCCACCACAGGCCTCAAAGCCCTCCAAATGTCCACTTGCAGATTCTGGAAAAAGAGTGTTTCAAAGCTTCTCTCTCGAAAGGAAAGTTCAACTCTGTGAGTTGAATGCAAGCATCACAAAGAAGTTTCTGAGAATGCTACTGTCTAGCTTTTATATGAAGCTATTTCCTTTACTACCATAGGCCTCAAAGCGGTCCATATCTCCACTTGCAGATTATACACAAAGAGAGTTTCCAAACTGCTCTGTCGAAGGGAATGTTCAACTCTGTGACTTGAATGCAATCATCACAAAGTAGTTTCTGAGAATGCTTCTGTTTAGTTCTGTGCGGTTTATCCCGTTTCCAACGAAATCCTCAGAGAGGCCCAAATATCCACTTGCACATTCTACAGATAGTGTGTTTCGAAACTGCTCCATCCAAAGGAATGTTCAGCTCTGTGAGTTAAACTCAGTCGTCACCAAGAGTTTTCTGTGAATGCTTCTGTTTTAGTTCTGTGCGGTTTATCCCGTTTCCAACGAAATCCTCAGAGAGGTCCAAATATCTACTTGCAGTTTCTACAGAAAGACCGTTTCAAACCTGAACTATCAAAGAAAGGTTCAACACTGTGAGTTGAATGCAAACATCACGAAGAAGGTTCTGAGAATGCTTCTGTTTAGTTCTGTGCGGTTTATCCCGTTTCCAACGAAATCCTCAGAGAGGACCAAATATCCACTTGCAGTTTCTACAAAAAGAGTGTTTCAAAGCTGAACTATCAAAGAAAGGTTCAGCACCGTGAGTTGAATGCAAACATCACGAAGAGGGTTCTGAGAATGCTTCTGTCTTCTTTTTATAGGAACTTATCTCCTTTACTACGGTAGGCCTCAAAGAAGTGCAATGATCCCCTTGCAGTTTCTACAAAAAGAGTGTTTCAAACCTGAACTATCAAAGAAAGGTTCCACACTGTGAGTTGAATGCAGACATCACGAAGAAGGTTCTGAGAATGCTTCTGTTTAGTCAGCTGAAATTATCCCATTTCCAACGAATTCCTCAGAGAGGTCCACATATGCACTTGCAGATTCTGCAGAAAGTGTGTTTCTAAACTGCTACATCGCAAGGAGTGTTCAGCTCTGTTTGCTCAACTCAATCATCCCAAAGAATTTTCTGAGAAAGCTTCTGTCTAGATGTCATGTGAAGATATACCCGTTTCGAACGAAGGACACAGAGTGGTCCAAATATCCACTTGTAGATCCTGCAAAAAGAGTGTTTCAAACGTGAACTTTGAAAGGAAAGTTCAACTCTGGGATTTGAATGCAAACATCACAAAGAAGATTCTGAGACTGCTTCTGTATAGTTTTTATGTGAAGATGATTCCGTTTCCAACGAAATCTTCAAAGAGGTCTACATGTCCCCTTGCAGATGCCACAGAAAGAGAGTTTCAAAACTACGCTCTCAAAAGGAGTGTTCAACTCCGTGAGTTGAATGCAGTCATCACAGAGAAGCTTCTGAGAATGCTTCTATCTAGTATTTAGGTGAAGATATTTCCTTTTCCACCACAAACCACAAAGCCCTCCAAACGTCCACTTGCAGATTCTAGAAAAAGAGTGTTTCATAGCTGCTCTTTCCAAAGGAAAGTTCAACTCTGGGAGTTGAATACAAACATCACCAAAAAGTTCCTGAGAATGCATCTGTCTAGTTTTTCTATGAAGCTATTCCCTTTACTACCACAGGCCTCAAAGCGCTCCAAATCTCCACTTGCACATTCCGCAACAAGAGTGTTTCCAAACTGCTCTATCAATAGGAATGTTCAACTCTGTGAGGTGAATGCAATCATCACAAAGCAGTTTCTGAGAATGCTTCCGTTTAGTTAGGTGCAGTTATCCCGTTTCCAACGAAATCCTCAGAGAGGTCCAAATATCCACTTGTAGATTCTACAAAAAGTGTGTCTCAAACCTGCTCCATCCAAAGGAATGGTCAGCTCTGTGATTTAAACTCAATCATCACAAAGTATTTTCTGAGAATGCTTCTGTCTAGATTTTATGCGAAGATATACCCGTTTCGAACGAAGGCCACAGAGTGGTCCAAATAGCCACTTGCAGATCCTACAGAAAGAGTGTTTCAAACCTGAACTATCAAAGGAAGGTTCAACTCTGGGATTTGAATGCAAACATCACCAAGAAGTTTCTGAGAATGCTTCTGTTTAGTTTTTATGTGAAGATATTCCCGTTTCCAAAGACATCTTCGGAGAGGTCCACATATCCACTTGCAGATTCCACAAAAAGAGAGTTTCAACACTGCTCTATCCATAGGAGGGTTCAACTCTGTGAGTTGAATGCAATCATCACAGAGAAGTTTCTGAGAAGGCTTCTCTCCAGTTTTTATGTGACCATAATTCGTTTTCCACCACAGGCCTGAAAGCGCTCCAAATGTCCACTTGCAGACACTACGAAAAGCATGTTTCAGAACTACTCTATGAAAAGCAACGTGAAACTCTGGGAGTTGAACACAAACATCACAGAGAAGTTTCTGAGAATGCTTCTGTTTTAGTTCTGTGCGTTTTATCCCGTTTCCAACGAAATCCTCAGAGAGGCCCAAATATCCACTTGCAGATTCCACAGAAAGAGTGATTGGAAACTGCTGTTTGAAAAGGAACCTTCAACTCTGTGAGTTGAATGCAATCATCACAAAGAAGTTTCTGACAATGCTTCTGTTTTAGTTCTGTGCGGTTTATCCCGTTTCCAACGAAATCCTCAGAGAGGACCAAACATCCACTTGCAGTTTCTACAAAAAGAGTGTTTCAAAGCTGCACTATCAAAGAAAGGTTCAGCACTGTGAGTTGAATGCAAACATCACGAAGAGGGCTCTGAGAATTCTTCTGTTTAGTTCTGTGCGGTTTATCCCGTTTCCAACGAAATCCTCAGAGAGGACCAAATATCCACTTGCAGTTTCTACAAGAAGAGTGTTTCAAAGCTGAACTATCAAAGAAAGGTTCAGCACTGTGAGTTGAATGCAAACATCACGAAGAGGGTTCTGAGAATGCTTCTGTCTTCTTTCTATAGGAAGTTATTTCCTTTACTACGGTAGGCCTCAAAGAAGTGCAATTATCCCCTTGCAGTTTCTACAAAAAGAGTGTTTCAAACCTGAACTATCAAAGAAAGGTTCCACACTGTGAGTTGAATGCAGACATCACGAAGAAGGTTCTGAGAATGCTTCTGTTTAGTCAGCTGAAATTATCCCGTTTCCAACGAATTCCTCAGAGAGGTCCAAATATGCACTTGCAGATTCTGCAGAAAGTGTGTTTCTAAACTGCTACATCGCAAGGAATGTTCACCTCTGTGAGTTCCACTCAATCATCCCAAAGAATTTTCTGAGAAAGCTTCTGTCTAGATGTCGTGTGAAGTTATACCCGTTTCGAACGAAGGACACAGAGTGGTCCAAATATCCACTTGTAGATCCTGCAAAAAGAGTGTTTCAAACGTGAACTTTGAAAGGAAAGTTCAACTCTGGGATTTGAATGCAAACATCACAAAGAAGATTCTGAGACTGCTTCTGTATAGTTTTTATGTGAAGATGATTCCGTTTCCAACGAAATCTTCAAAGAGGTCTACATGTCCCCTTGCAGATGCCACAGAAAGAGAGTTTCAAAACTGCGCTCTCAAAAGGAGTGTTCAACTCCGTGAGTTGAATGCAGTCATCACAGAGAAGCTTCTGAGAATGCTTCTATCTAGTATTTAGGTGAAGATATTTCCTTTTCCACCACAAACCACAAAGCCCTCCAAACGTCCACTTGCAGATTCTAGAAAAAGAGTGTTTCATAGCTGCTCTTTCCAAAGGAAAGTTCAACTCTGGGAGTTGAATACAAACATCACCAAAAAGTTCCTGAGAATGCATCCTGTCTAGTTTTTCTATGAAGCTATTCCCTTTACTACCATAGGCCTCAAAGCGCTCCAAATCTCCACTTGCACATTCCACAACAAGAGTGTTTCCAAACTGCTCTATCAATAGGAATGTTCAACTCTGTGAGGTGAATGCAATCATCACAAAGCAGTTTCTGAGAATGCTTCCGTTTAGTTAGGTGCAGTTATCCCGTTTCCAACGAAATCCTCAGAGAGGTCCAAATATCCACTTGTAGATTCTACAAAAAGTGTGTCTCAAACCTGCTCCATCCAAAGGAATGGTCAGCTCTGTGATTTAAACTCAATCATCACAAAGTATTTTCTGAGAATGCTTCTGTCTAGATTTTATGCGAAGATATACCCGTTTCGAACGAAGGCCACAGAGTGGTCCAAATATCCACTTGCAGATCCTACAAAAAGAGTGTTTCAAACCTGAACTATCAAAGGAAGGTTCAACTCTGGGATTTGAATGCAAACATCACCAAGAAGTTTCTGAGAATGCTTCTGTTTAGTTTTTATGTGAAGATATTCCCGTTTCCAAAGACATCTTCGGAGAGGTCCACATATCCACTTGCAGATTCCACAAAAAGAGAGTTTCAACACTGCTCTATCCATAGGAGGGTTCAACTCTGTGAGTTGAATGCAATCATCACAGAGAAGTTTCTGAGAAGGCTTCTCTCCAGTTTTTATGTGACCATAATTCGTTTTCCACCACAGGCCTGAAAGCGCTCCAAATGTCCACTTGTAGACACTACGAAAAGCATGTTTCAGAACTACTCTATGAAAAGCAATGTGAAACTCTGGGAGTTGAACACAAACATCACAGAGAAGTTTCTGAGAATGCTTCTGTTTAGCTTTCCTGTGAAGATTCTCCCGTTTCCAACGAAATCTTCAAAATAGGTCCAAATATCCACTTGCAGATTCCACAGAAAGAGTGATTGGAAACTGCTCTTTGAAAAGGAACCTTCAACTCTGTGAGTTGAATGCAATCATCACAAAGAAGTTTCTGACAATGCTTCTATCTAGCTTTTACGGGAAGATAATTCCTTTTCCACCACAGGCCTCAAAGCCCTCCAAATGTCCACTTGCAGATTCTGGAAAAAGAGTGTTTCAAAGCTTCTCTCTCGAAAGGAAAGTTCAACTCTGTGAGTTGAATGCAAGCATCACAAAGAAGTTTCTGAGAATGCTACTGTCTAACTTTTATATGAAGCTATTTCCTTTACTACCATAGGCCTCAAAGCGGTCCATATCTCCACTTGCAGATTCTACACAAAGAGAGTTTCCAAACTGCTCTGTCAAAGGGAATGTTCAACTCTGTGACTTGAATGCAATCATCACAAAGTAGTTTCTGAGAATGCTTCTGTTTAGTTCTGTGCGGTTTATCCCGTTTCCAACGAAATCCTCAGAGAGGCCTAAATATCCACTTGCACATTCTACAAATAGTGTGTTTCGAAACTGCTCCATCCAAAGGAATGTTCAGCTCTGTGAGTTAAACTCAGTCGTCACCAAGAGTTTTCTGTGAATGCTTCTGTTTTAGTTCTGTGCGGTTTATCCCGTTTCCAACGAAATCCTCAGAGAGGGCCAAATATCTACTTGCAGTTTCTACAGAAAGACCGTTTCAAACCTGAACTATCAAAGAAAGGTTCAACACTGTGAGTTGAATGCAAACATCACGAAGAAGGTTCTGAGAATGCTTCTGTATAGTTCTGTGCGGTTTATCCCGTTTCCAACGAAATCCTCAGAGAGGACCAAATATCCACTTGCAGTTTCTACAAAAAGAGTGTTTCAAAGCTGAACTATCAAAGAAAGTTTCAGCACCGTGAATTGAATGCAAACATCACGAAGAGGGTTCTGAGAATGCTTCTGTCTTCTTTTTATAGGAAGTTATTTCCTTTACTACGGTAGGCCTCAAAGAAGTGCAATGATCCCCTTGCAGTTTCTACAAAAAGAGTGTTTCAAACCTGAACTATCAAAGAAAGGTTCCACACTGTGAGTTGAATGCAGACATCACGAAGAAGGTTCTGAGAATGCTTCTGTTTAGTCAGCTGAAATTATCCCGTTTCCAACGAATTCCTCAGAGAGGTCCACATATGCACTTGCAGATTCTGCAGAAAGGGTGTTTCTAAACTGCTACATCGCAAGGAGTGTTCAGCTCTGTTTGCTCCACTCAATCATCCCAAAGAATTTTCTGAGAAAGCTTCTGTCTAGATGTCATGTGAAGATATACCCGTTTCGAACGAAGGACACAGAGTGGTCCAAATATCCACTTGTAGATCCTGCAAAAAGAGTGTTTCAAACGTGAACTTTGAAAGGAAAGTTCAACTCTGGGATTTGAATGCAAACAACACAAAGAAGATTCTGAGACTGCTTCTGTATAGTTTTTATGTGAAGATGATTCCGTTTCCAACGAAATCTTCAAAGAGGTCTACATGTCCCCTTGCAGATGCCACAGAAAGGGAGTTTCAAAACTGCGCTCTCAAAAGGAGTGTTCAACTCCGTGAGTTGAATGCAGTCATCACAGAGAAGCTTCTGAGAATGCTTCTATCTAGTATTTAGGTGAAGATATTTCCTTTTCCACCACAAACCACAAAGCCCTCCAAACGTCCACTTGCAGATTCTAGAAAAAGAGTGTTTCATAGCAGCTCTTTCCAAAGGAAAGTTCAACTCTGGGAGTTGAATACAAACATCACCAAAAAGTTCCTGAGAATGCATCTGTCTAGTTTTTCTATGAAGCTATTCCCTTTACTACCATAGGCCTCAAAGCGCTCCAAATCTCCACTTGCACATTCCACAACAAGAGTGTTTCCAAACTGCTCTATCAATAGGAATGTTCAACTCTGTGAGGTGAATGCAATCATCACAAAGCAGTTTCTGAGAATGCTTCCGTTTAGTTAGGTGCAGTTATCCCGTTTCCAACGAAATCCTCAGAGAGGTCCAAATATCCACTTGTAGATTCTACAAAAAGTGTGTCTCAAACCTGCTCCATCCAAAGGAATGTTCAGCTCTGTGATTTAAACTCAATCATCACAAAGTATTTTCTGAGAATGCTTCTGTCTAGATTTTATGCGAAGATGTACCCGTTTCGAACGAAGGCCACAGAGTGGTCCAAATAGCCACTTGCAGATCCTACAAAAAGAGTGTTTCAAACCTGAACTATCAAAGGAAGGTTCAACTCTGGGATTTGAATACAAACATCACCAAGAAGTTTCTGAGAATGCTTCTGTTTAGTTTTTATGTGAAGATATTCCCGTTTCCAAAGACATCTTCGGAGAGGTCCACATATCCACTTGCAGATTCCACAAAAAGAGAGTTTCAACACTGCTCTATCCATAGGAGGGTTCAACTCTGTGAGTTGAATGCAATCATCACAGAGAAGTTTCTGAGAAGGCTTCTCTCCAGTTTTTATGTGACCATAATTCGTTTTCCACCACAGGCCTGAAAGCGCTCCAAATGTCCACTTGCAGACACTAGGAAAAGCATGTTTCAGAACTACTCTATGAAAAGCAACGTGAAACTCTGGGAGTTGAACACAAACATCACAGAGAAGTTTCTGAGAATGCTTCTGTTTTAGTTCTGTGCGTTTTATCCCGTTTCCAACGAAATCCTCAGAGAGGCCCAAATATCCACTTGCAGATTCCACAGAAAGAGTGATTGGAAACTGCTGTTTGAAAAGGAACCTTCAACTCTGTGAGTTGAATGCAATCATCACAAAGAAGTTTCTGACAATGCTTCTGTTTTAGTTCTGTGCGGTTTATCCCGTTTCCAACGAAATCCTCAGAGAGGACCAAACATCCACTTGCAGTTTCTACAAAAAGAGTGTTTCAAAGCTGCACTATCAAAGAAAGGTTCAGCACTGTGAGTTGAATGCAAACATCACGAAGAGGGCTCTGAGAATTCTTCTGTTTAGTTCTGTGCGGTTTATCCCGTTTCCAACGAAATCCTCAGAGAGGACCAAATATCCACTTGCAGTTTCTACAAGAAGAGTGTTTCAAAGCTGAACTATCAAAGAAAGGTTCAGCACTGTGAGTTGAATGCAAACATCACGAAGAGGGTTCTGAGAATGCTTCTGTCTTCTTTCTATAGGAAGTTATTTCCTTTACTACGGTAGGCCTCAAAGAAGTGCAATTATCCCCTTGCAGTTTCTACAAAAAGAGTGTTTCAAACCTGAACTATCAAAGAAAGGTTCCACACTGTGAGTTGAATGCAGACATCACGAAGAAGGTTCTGAGAATGCTTCTGTTTAGTCAGCTGAAATTATCCCGTTTCCAACGAATTCCTCAGAGAGGTCCAAATATGCACTTGCAGATTCTGCAGAAAGTGTGTTTCTAAACTGCTCCATCGCAAGGAATGTTCAGCTCTGTGAGTTCCACTCAATCATCCCAAAGAATTTTCTGAGAAAGCTTCTGTCTAGATGTCATGTGAAGATATACCCGTTTCGAACGAAGGACACAGAGTGGTCCAAATATCCACTTGTAGATCCTGCAAAAAGAGTGTTTCAAACGTGAACTTTGAAAGGAAAGTTCAACTCTGGGATTTGAATGCAAACATCACAAAGAAGATTCTGAGACTGCTTCTGTATAGTTTTTATGTGAAGATGATTCCGTTTCCAACGAAATCTTCAAAGAGGTCTACATGTCCCCTTGCGGATGCCACAGAAAGAGAGTTTCAAAACTGCGCTCTCAAAAGGAGTGTTCAACTCCGTGAGTTGAATGCAGTCATCACAGAGAAGCTTCTGAGAATGCTTCTCTCTAGTATTTAGGTGAAGATATTTCCTTTTCCACCACAAACCACAAAGCCCTCCAAACGTCCACTTGCAGATTCTAGAAAAAGAGTGTTTCATAGCTGCTCTTTCCAAAGGAAAGTTCAACTCTGGGAGTTGAATACAAACATCACCAAAAAGTTCCTGAGAATGCATCTGTCTAGTTTTTCTATGAAGCTATTCCCTTTACTACCATAGGCCTCAAAGCGCTCCAAATCTCCACTTGCACATTCCACAACAAGAGTGTTTCCAAACTGCTCTATCAATAGGAATGTTCAACTCTGTGAGGTGAATGCAATCATCACAAAGCAGTTTCTGAGAATTCTTCCGTTTAGTTAGGTGCAGTTATCCCGTTTCCAACGAAATCCTCAGAGAGGTCCAAATATCCACTTGTAGATTCTACAAAAAGTGTGTCTCAAACCTGCTCCATCCAAAGGAATGGTCAGCTCTGTGATTTAAACTCAATCATCACAAAGTATTTTCTGAGAATGCTTCTGTCTAGATGTTATGTGAAGATGTACCCGTTTCGAACGAAGGCCACAGAGTGGTCCAAATATCCACTTGCAGATCGTACAGAAAGAGTGTTTCAAACCTGACCTATCAAAGGAAGTTTCAACTCTGGGATTTGAATGCAAATATCACAAAGAAGTTTCTGAGAATGCTTCTGTTTAGTTTTTATGTGAAGATATTCCCGTTTCCAAAGACATCTTCGGAGAGGTCCACATATCCACTTGCAGATTCCACAAAAAGAGAGTTTCAACACTGCTCTATCCATAGGAGGGTTCAACTCTGTGAGTTGAATGCAATCATCACAGAGAAGTTTCCTGAGAAGGCTTCTCTCCAGTTTTTATGTGACCATAATTCGTTTTCCACCACAGGCCTGAAAGCGCTCCAAATGTCCACTTGCAGACACTACGAAAAGCATGTTTCAGAACTACTCTATGAAAAGCAACGTGAAACTCTGGGAGTTGAACACAAACATCACAGAGAAGTTTCTGAGAATGCTTCTGTTTTAGTTCTGTGCGTTTTATCCCGTTTCCAACGAAATCCTCAGAGAGGCCCAAATATCCACTTGCAGATTCCACAGAAAGAGTGATTGGAAACTGCTGTTTGAAAAGGAACCTTCAACTCTGTGAGTTGAATGCAATCATCACAAAGAAGTTTCTGACAATGCTTCTGTTTTAGTTCTGTGCGGTTTATCCCGTTTCCAACGAAATCCTCAGAGAGGACCAAACATCCACTTGCAGTTTCTACAAAAAGAGTGTTTCAAAGCTGCACTATCAAAGAAAGGTTCAGCACTGTGAGTTGAATGCAAACATCACGAAGAGGGCTCTGAGAATTCTTCTGTTTAGTTCTGTGCGGTTTATCCCGTTTCCAACGAAATCCTCAGAGAGGACCAAATATCCACTTGCAGTTTCTACAAGAAGAGTGTTTCAAAGCTGAACTATCAAAGAAAGGTTCAGCACTGTGAGTTGAATGCAAACATCACGAAGAGGGTTCTGAGAATGCTTCTGTCTTCTTTCTATAGGAAGTTATTTCCTTTACTACGGTAGGCCTCAAAGAAGTGCAATTATCCCCTTGCAGTTTCTACAAAAAGAGTGTTTCAAACCTGAACTATCAAAGAAAGGTTCCACACTGTGAGTTGAATGCAGACATCACGAAGAAGGTTCTGAGAATGCTTCTGTTTAGTCAGCTGAAATTATCCCGTTTCCAACGAATTCCTCAGAGAGGTCCAAATATGCACTTGCAGATTCTGCAGAAAGTGTGTTTCTAAACTGCTACATCGCAAGGAATGTTCAGCTCTGTGAGTTCCACTCAATCATCCCAAAGAATTTTCTGAGAAAGCTTCTGTCTAGATGTCATGTGAAGATATACCCGTTTCGAACGAAGGACACAGAGTGGTCCAAATATCCACTTGTAGATCCTGCAAAAAGAGTGTTTCAAACGTGAACTTTGAAAGGAAATTCAACTCTGGGATTTGAATGCAAACATCACAAAGAAGATTCTGAGACTGCTTCTGTATAGTTTTTATGTGAAGATGATTCCGTTTCCAACGAAATCTTCAAAGAGGTCTACATGTCCCCTTGCAGATGCCACAGAAAGAGAGTTTCAAAACTGCGCTCTCAAAAGGAGTGTTCAACTCCGTGAGTTGAATGCAGTCATCACAGAGAAGCTTCTGAGAATGCTTCTATCTAGTATTTAGGTGAAGATATTTCCTTTTCCACCACAAACCACAAAGCCCTCCAAACGTCCACTTGCAGATTCTAGAAAAAGTGTTTCATAGCTGCTCTTTCCAAAGGAAAGTTCAACTCTGGGAGTTGAATACAAACATCACCAAAAAGTTCCTGAGAATGCATCTGTCTAGTTTTTCTATGAAGCTATTCCCTTTACTACCATAGGCCTCAAAGCGCTCCAAATCTCCACTTGCACATTCCACAACAAGAGTGTTTCCAAACTGCTCTATCAATAGGAATGTTCAACTCTGTGAGGTGAATGCAATCATCACAAAGCAGTTTCTGAGAATGCTTCCGTTTAGTTAGGTGCAGTTATCCCGTTTCCAACGAAATCCTCAGAGAGGTCCAAATATCCACTTGTAGATTCTACAAAAAGTGTGTCTCAAACCTGCTCCATCCAAAGGAATGGTCAGCTCTGTGATTTAAACTCAATCATCACAAAGTATTTTCTGAGAATGCTTCTGTCTAGATTTTATGCGAAGATATACCCGTTTCGAACGAAGGCCACAGAGTGGTCCAAATAGCCACTTGCAGATCCTACAGAAAGAGTGTTTCAAACCTGAACTATCAAAGGAAGGTTCAACTCTGGGATTTGAATGCAAACATCACCAAGAAGTTTCTGAGAATGCTTCTGTTTAGTTTTTATGTGAAGATATTCCCGTTTCCAAAGACATCTTCGGAGAGGTCCACATATCCACTTGCAGATTCCACAAAAAGAGAGTTTCAACACTGCTCTATCCATAGGAGGGTTCAACTCTGTGAGTTGAATGCAATCATCACAGAGAAGTTTCTGAGAAGGCTTCTCTCCAGTTTTTATGTGACCATAATTCGTTTTCCACCACAGGCCTGAAAGCGCTCCAAATGTCCACTTGCAGACACTACGAAAAGCATGTTTCAGAACTACTCTATGAAAAGCAACGTGAAACTCTGGGAGTTGAACACAAACATCACAGAGAAGTTTCTGAGAATGCTTCTGTTTTAGTTCTGTGCGTTTTATCCCGTTTCCAACGAAATCCTCAGAGAGGCCCAAATATCCACTTGCAGATTCCACAGAAAGAGTGATTGGAAACTGCTGTTTGAAAAGGAACCTTCAACTCTGTGAGTTGAATGCAATCATCACAAAGAAGTTTCTGACAATGCTTCTGTTTTAGTTCTGTGCGGTTTATCCCGTTTCCAACGAAATCCTCAGAGAGGACCAAACATCCACTTGCAGTTTCTACAAAAAGAGTGTTTCAAAGCTGCACTATCAAAGAAAGGTTCAGCACTGTGAGTTGAATGCAAACATCACGAAGAGGGCTCTGAGAATTCTTCTGTTTAGTTCTGTGCGGTTTATCCCGTTTCCAACGAAATCCTCAGAGAGGACCAAATATCCACTTGCAGTTTCTACAAGAAGAGTGTTTCAAAGCTGAACTATCAAAGAAAGGTTCAGCACTGTGAGTTGAATGCAAACATCACGAAGAGGGTTCTGAGAATGCTTCTGTCTTCTTTCTATAGGAAGTTATTTCCTTTACTACGGTAGGCCTCAAAGAAGTGCAATTATCCCCTTGCAGTTTCTACAAAAAGAGTGTTTCAAACCTGAACTATCAAAGAAAGGTTCCACACTGTGAGTTGAATGCAGACATCACGAAGAAGGTTCTGAGAATGCTTCTGTTTAGTCAGCTGAAATTATCCCGTTTCCAACGAATTCCTCAGAGAGGTCCAAATATGCACTTGCAGATTCTGCAGAAAGTGTGTTTCTAAACTGCTACATCGCAAGGAATGTTCAGCTCTGTGAGTTCCACTCAATCATCCCAAAGAATTTTCTGAGAAAGCTTCTGTCTAGATGTCGTGTGAAGATATACCCGTTTCGAACGAAGGACACAGAGTGGTCCAAATATCCACTTGTAGATCCTGCAAAAAGAGTGTTTCAAACGTGAACTTTGAAAGGAAAGTTCAACTCTGGGATTTGAATGCAAACATCACAAAGAAGATTCTGAGACTGCTTCTGTATAGTTTTTATGTGAAGATGATTCCGTTTCCAACGAAATCTTCAAAGAGGTCTACATGTCCCCTTGCAGATGCCACAGAAAGAGAGTTTCAAAACTGCGCTCTCAAAAGGAGTGTTCAACTCCGTGAGTTGAATGCAGTCATCACAGAGAAGCTTCTGAGAATGCTTCTATCTAGTATTTAGGTGAAGATATTTCCTTTTCCACCACAAACCACAAAGCCCTCCAAACGTCCACTTGCAGATTCTAGAAAAAGAGTGTTTCATAGCTGCTCTTTCCAAAGGAAAGTTCAACTCTGGGAGTTGAATACAAACATCACCAAAAGGTTCCTGAGAATGCATCTGTCTAGTTTTTCTATGAAGCTATTCCCTTTACTACCACAGGCCTCAAAGCGCTCCAAATCTCCACTTGCACATTCCACAACAAGAGTGTTTCCAAACTGCTCTATCAATAGGAATGTTCAACTCTGTGAGGTGAATGCAATCATCACAAAGCAGTTTCTGAGAATGCTTCCGTTTAGTTAGGTGCAGTTATCCCGTTTCCAACGAAATCCTCAGAGAGGTCCAAATATCCACTTGTAGATTCTACAAAAAGTGTGTCTCAAACCTGCTCCATCCAAAGGAATGGTCAGCTCTGTGATTTAAACTCAATCATCACAAAGTATTTTCTGAGAATGCTTCTGTCTAGATTTTATGCGAAGATATACCCGTTTCGAACGAAGGCCACAGAGTGGTCCAAATAGCCACTTGCAGATCCTACAGAAAGAGTGTTTCAAACCTGAACTATCAAAGGAAGGTTCAACTCTGGGATTTGAATGCAAACATCACCAAGAAGTTTCTGAGAATGCTTCTGTTTAGTTTTTATGTGAAGATATTCCCGTTTCCAAAGACATCTTCGGAGAGGTCCACATATCCACTTGCAGATTCCACAAAAAGAGAGTTTCAACACTGCTCTATCCATAGGAGGGTTCAACTCTGTGAGTTGAATGCAATCATCACAGAGAAGTTTCTGAGAAGGCTTCTCTCCAGTTTTTATGTGACCATAATTCGTTTTCCACCACAGGCCTGAAAGCGCTCCAAATGTCCACTTGCAGACACTACGAAAAGCATGTTTCAGAACTACTCTATGAAAAGCAACGTGAAACTCTGGGAGTTGAACACAAACATCACAGAGAAGTTTCTGAGAATGCTTCTGTTTTAGTTCTGTGCGTTTTATCCCGTTTCCAACGAAATCCTCAGAGAGGCCCAAATATCCACTTGCAGATTCCACAGAAAGAGTGATTGGAAACTGCTGTTTGAAAAGGAACCTTCAACTCTGTGAGTTGAATGCAATCATCACAAAGAAGTTTCTGACAATGCTTCTGTTTTAGTTCTGTGCGGTTTATCCCGTTTCCAACGAAATCCTCAGAGAGGACCAAACATCCACTTGCAGTTTCTACAAAAAGAGTGTTTCAAAGCTGCACTATCAAAGAAAGGTTCAGCACTGTGAGTTGAATGCAAACATCACGAAGAGGTCTCTGAGAATGCTTCTGTTTAGTTCTGTGCGGTTTATCCCGTTTCCAACGAAATCCTCAGAGAGGACCAAATATCCACTTGCAGTTTCTACAAGAAGAGTGTTTCAAAGCTGAACTATCAAAGAAAGGTTCAGCACTGTGAGTTGAATGCAAACATCACGAAGAGGGTTCTGAGAATGCTTCTGTCTTCTTTCTATAGGAAGTTATTTCCTTTACTACGGTAGGCCTCAAAGAAGTGCAATTATCCCCTTGCAGTTTCTACAAAAAGAGTGTTTCAAACCTGAACTATCAAAGAAAGGTTCCACACTGTGAGTTGAATGCAGACATCACGAAGAAGGTTCTGAGAATGCTTCTGTTTAGTCAGCTGAAATTATCCCGTTTCCAACGAATTCCTCAGAGAGGTCCAAATATGCACTTGCAGATTCTGCAGAAAGTGTGTTTCTAAACTGCTACATCGCAAGGAATGTTCAGCTCTGTGAGTTCCACTCAATCATCCCAAAGAATTTTCTGAGAAAGCTTCTGTCTAGATGTCGTGTGAAGATATACCCGTTTCGAACGAAGGACACAGAGTGGTCCAAATATCCACTTTGTAGATCCTGCAAAAAGAGTGTTTCAAACGTGAACTTTGAAAGGAAAGTTCAACTCTGGGATTTGAATGCAAACATCACAAAGAAGATTCTGAGACTGCTTCTGTATAGTTTTTATGTGAAGATGATTCCGTTTCCAACGAAATCTTCAAAGAGGTCTACATGTCCCCTTGCAGATGCCACAGAAAGAGAGTTTCAAAACTGCGCTCTCAAAAGGAGTGTTCAACTCCGTGAGTTGAATGCAGTCATCACAGAGAAGCTTCTGAGAATGCTTCTATCTAGTATTTAGGTGAAGATATTTCCTTTTCCACCACAAACCACAAAGCCCTCCAAACGTCCACTTGCAGATTCTAGAAAAAGAGTGTTTCATAGCTGCTCTTTCCAAAGGAAAGTTCAACTCTGGGAGTTGAATACAAACATCACCAAAAAGTTCCTGAGAATGCATCTGTCTAGTTTTTCTATGAAGCTATTCCCTTTACTACCATAGACCTCAAAGCGCTCCAAATCTCCACTTGCACATTCCACAACAAGAGTGTTTCCAAACTGCTCTATCAATAGGAATGTTCAACTCTGTGAGGTGAATGCAATCATCACAAAGCAGTTTCTGAGAATGCTTCCGTTTAGTTAGGTGCAGTTATCCCGTTTCCAACGAAATCCTCAGAGAGGTCCAAATATCCACTTGTAGATTCTACAAAAAGTGTGTCTCAAACCTGCTCCATCCAAAGGAATGGTCAGCTCTGTGATTTAAACTCAATCATCACAAAGTATTTTCTGAGAATGCTTCTGTCTAGATTTTATGCGAAGATATACCCGTTTCGAACGAAGGCCACAGAGTGGTCCAAATAGCCACTTGCAGATCCTACAAAAAGAGTGTTTCAAACCTGAACTATCAAAGGAAGGTTCAACTCTGGGATTTGAATGCAAACATCACCAAGAAGTTTCTGAGAATGCTTCTGTTTAGTTTTTATGTGAAGATATTCCCGTTTCCAAAGACATCTTCGGAGAGGTCCACATATCCACTTGCAGATTCCACAAAAAGAGAGTTTCAACACTGCTCTATCCATAGGAGGGTTCAACTCTGTGAGTTGAATGCAATCATCACAGAGAAGTTTCTGAGAAGGCTTCTCTCCAGTTTTTATGTGACCATAATTCGTTTTCCACCACAGGCCTGAAAGCGCTCCAAATGTCCACTTGCAGACACTACGAAAAGCATGTTTCAGAACTACTCTATGAAAAGCAACGTGAAACTCTGGGAGTTGAACACAAACATCACAGAGAAGTTTCTGAGAATGCTTCTGTTTTAGTTCTGTGCGTTTTATCCCGTTTCCAACGAAATCCTCAGAGAGGCCCAAATATCCACTTGCAGATTCCACAGAAAGAGTGATTGGAAACTGCTGTTTGAAAAGGAACCTTCAACTCTGTGAGTTGAATGCAATCATCACAAAGAAGTTTCTGACAATGCTTCTGTTTTAGTTCTGTGCGGTTTATCCCGTTTCCAACGAAATCCTCAGAGAGGACCAAACATCCACTTGCAGTTTCTACAAAAAGAGTGTTTCAAAGCTGCACTATCAAAGAAAGGTTCAGCACTGTGAGTTGAATGCAAACATCACGAAGAGGGCTCTGAGAATTCTTCTGTTTAGTTCTGTGCGGTTTATCCCGTTTCCAACGAAATCCTCAGAGAGGACCAAATATCCACTTGCAGTTTCTACAAGAAGAGTGTTTCAAAGCTGAACTATCAAAGAAAGGTTCAGCACTGTGAGTTGAATGCAAACATCACGAAGAGGGTTCTGAGAATGCTTCTGTCTTCTTTCTATAGGAAGTTATTTCCTTTACTACGGTAGGCCTCAAAGAAGTGCAATTATCCCCTTGCAGTTTCTACAAAAAGAGTGTTTCAAACCTGAACTATCAAAGAAAGGTTCCACACTGTGAGTTGAATGCAGACATCACGAAGAAGGTTCTGAGAATGCTTCTGTTTAGTCAGCTGAAATTATCCCGTTTCCAACGAATTCCTCAGAGAGGTCCAAATATGCACTTGCAGATTCTGCAGAAAGTGTGTTTCTAAACTGCTACATTGCAAGGAATGTTCAGCTCTGTGAGTTCCACTCAATCATCCCAAAGAATTTTCTGAGAAAGCTTCTGTCTAGATGTCGTGTGAAGATATACCCGTTTCGAACGAAGGACACAGAGTGGTCCAAATATCCACTTGTAGATCCTGCAAAAAGAGTGTTTCAAACGTGAACTTTGAAAGGAAAGTTCAACTCTGGGATTTGAATGCAAACATCACAAAGAAGATTCTGAGACTGCTTCTGTATAGTTTTTATGTGAAGATGATTCCGTTTCCAACGAAATCTTCAAAGAGGTCTACATGTCCCTTGCAGATGCCACAGAAAGAGAGTTTCAAAACTGCGCTCTCAAAAGGAGTGTTCAACTCCGTGAGTTGAATGCAGTCATCACAGAGAAGCTTCTGAGAATGCTTCTATCTAGTATTTAGGTGAAGATATTTCCTTTTCCACCACAAACCACAAAGCCCTCCAAACGTCCACTTGCAGATTCTAGAAAAAGGGTGTTTCATAGCTGCTCTTTCCAAAGGAAAGTTCAACTGCTGGGAGTTGAATACAAACATCACCAAAAAGTTGCCTGAGAATGCATCTGTCTAGTTTTTCTATGAAGCTATTCCCTTTACTACCACAGGCCTCAAAGCGCTCCAAATCTCCACTTGCACATTCCACAACAAGAGTGTTTCCAAACTGCTCTATCAATAGGAATGTTCAACTCTGTGAGGTGAATGCAATCATCACAAAGCAGTTTCTGAGAATGCTTCCGTTTAGTTAGGTGCAGTTATCCCGTTTCCAACGAAATCCTCAGAGAGGTCCAAATATCCACTTGTAGATTCTACAAAAAGTGTGTCTCAAACCTGCTCCATCCAAAGGAATGGTCAGCTCTGTGATTTAAACTCAATCATCACAAAGTATTTTCTGAGAATGCTTCTGTCTAGATTTTATGCGAAGATATACCCGTTTCGAACGAAGGCCACAGAGTGGTCCAAATAGCCACTTGCAGATCCTACAGAAAGAGTGTTTCAAACCTGAACTATCAAAGGAAGGTTCAACTCTGGGATTTGAATGCAAACATCACCAAGAAGTTTCTGAGAATGCTTCTGTTTAGTTTTTATGTGAAGATATTCCCGTTTCCAAAGACATCTTCAAAGAGGTCCACATATCCACTTGCAGATTCCACAAAAAGAGAGTTTCAACACTGCTCTATCCATAGGAGGGTTCAACTCTGTGAGTTGAATGCAGTCATCACACAGAAGTTTCTGAGAAGGCTTCTCTCCAGTTTTTATGTGACCATAATTCGTTTTCCACCACAGGCCTGAAAGCTCTCCAAATGTCCACTTGCAGACACTACGAAAAGCATGTTTCAGAACTACTCTATGAGAAGCAATGTGAAACTCTGGGAGTTGAACACAAACATCACAGAGAAGTTTCTGAGAATGCTTCTGTTTAGCTTTTCTGTGAAGATTCTCCCGTTTCCAACGAAATCTTCAAAGAGGTCCAAACATCCACTTGCAGATTCCACAGAAACAGTGTTTGGAAACCGCTGTTTGAAAAGGAACCTTCAACTCTGTGAGTTGAATGCAATCATCACAAAGAAGTTTCTGACAATGCTTCTATCTAGCTTTTACGGGATGATAATTCCTTTTCCACCACAGGCCTCAAAGCCCTCCAAATGTCCACTTGCAGATTCTGGAAAAAGAGTGTTTCGAAGATTCTCTCTCGAAATGAAAGTTCAACTCTGTGAGTTGAATGCAAGCATCACAAAGAAGTTTCTGAGAATGCTACTGTCTAGCTTTTATATGAAGCTATTTCCTTTACTACCATAGTCCCCAAAGCATTTCATATCTCCACTTGCAGATTCTACACAAAGAGAGTTTCCAAACTGCTCTGTCAAAGGGAATGTTCAGCTCTGTGACTTGAATGCAATCATCACAAAGTAGTTTCTGAGAATGCTTCTGTTTTAGTTCTGTGCGGTTTATCCCGTTTCCAGTGAAATCCTCAGAGAGGCCCAAATATCCACTTGCAGAATCTACAAATAGTGTGTTTCAAAACTGCTCCATCCAAAGGAATGTTCAGCTCTGTGAGTTAAACTCAGTCGTCACCAAGAGTTTTCTGTGAATGCTTCTGTTTAGTTCTGTGCGGTTTATCCCGTTTCCAACGAAATCCTCAGAGAGGACCAAATATCCACTTGCAGTTTCTACAAAAAGAGTGTTTCAAAGCTGAACTATCAAAGAAAGTTTCAGCAGTGTGAGTTGAATGCAAACATCACGAAGAGGGTTCTGAGAATGCTTCTGTCTTCTTTTTATAGGAAGTTATTTCCTTTACTACGGTAGGCCTCAAAGAAGTGCAATTATCCCCTTGCAGTTTCTACAAAAAGAGTGTTTCAAACCTGAGCTATCAAAGAAAGGTTCCACACTGTGAGTTGAATGCAGACATCACGAAGAAGGTTCTGAGAACGCTTCTGTTTAGTCAGCTGAAATTATCCCGTTTCCAACGAATTCCTCACAGAGGTCCAAATATGCACTTGCAGATTCTGCAGAAAGTGTGTTTCTAAACTGCTACATCGCTAGGAATGTTCAGCACTGTGAGTTCAACTCAATCATCCCAAAGAATTTTCTGAGAAAGCTTCTGTCTAGATGTCATGTGAAGATATACCCGTTTCGAACGAAGGACACAGAGTGGTCCAAATATCCACTTGTAGATCCTGCAAAAAGAGTGTTTCAAACGTGAACTTTGAAAGGAAAGTTCAACTCTGGGATTTGAATGCAAACATCACAAAGAAGATTCTGAGACTGCTTCTGTATAGTTTTTATGTGAAGATGATTCCGTTTCCAACGAAATCTTCAAAGAGGTCTACATGTCCCCTTGCAGATGCCACAGAAAGAGATTTTCAAAACTGCGCTCTCAAAAGGAGTGTTCAACTCCGTGAGTTGAATGCAGTCATCACAGAGAAGCTTCTGAGAATGCTTCTATCTAGTATTTAGGTGAAGATATTTCCTTTTCCACCACAAACCACAAAGCCCTCCAAACGTCCACTTGCAGATTCTAGAAAAAGAGTGTTTCATAGCTGCTCTTTCCAAAGGAAAGTTCAACTCTGGGAGTTGAATACAAACATCACCAAAAAGTTCCTGAGAATGCATCTGTCTAGTTTTTCTATGAAGCTATTCCCTTTACTACCATAGGCCTCAAAGCACTCCAAATCTCCACTTGCACATTCCACAACAAGAGTGTTTCCAAACTGCTCTATCAATAGGAATGGTCAACTCTGTGAGGTGAATGCAATCATCACAAAGCAGTTTCTGAGAATGCTTCCGTTTAGTTCGGTGCAGTTATCCCGTTTCCAACGAAATCCTCAGAGAGGTCCAAATATCCACTTGTGGATTCTACAAAAAGTGTGTCTCAAGCCTGCTCCATCCAAAGGAATGTTCAGCTCTGTGAGTTAAACTCAATCATCACAAAGTATTTTCTGAGAATGCTTCTGTCTAGATTTTATGCGAAGATATACCCGTTTCGAACGAAGGCCACAGAGTGGTCCAAATATCCACTTGCAGATCCTACAAAAAGAGTGTTTCAAACCTGAACTATCAAAGGAAGGTTCAACTCTGGGATTTGAATGCAAACATCACCAAGAAGTTTACTGAGAATGCTTCTGTTTAGTTTTTATGTGAAGATATTCCCGTTTCCAAAGACATCTTCGGAGAGGTCCACATATCCACTTGCAGATTCCACAAAAAGAGAGTTTCAACACTGCTCTATCCATAGGAGGGTTCAACTCTGTGAGTTGAATGCAATCATCACAGAGAAGTTTCTGAGAAGGCTTCTCTCCAGTTTTTATGTGACCATAATTCGTTTTCCACCACAGGCCTGAAAGCGCTCCAAATGTCCACTTGTAGACACTACGAAAAGCATGTTTCAGAACTACTCTATGAAAAGCAATGTGAAACTCTGGGAGTTGAACACAAACATCACAGAGAAGTTTCTGAGAATGCTTCTGTTTAGCTTTCCTGTGAAGATTCTCCCGTTTCCAACGAAATCTTCAAAATAGGTCCAAATATCCACTTGCAGATTCCACAGAAAGAGTGATTGGAAACTGCTCTTTGAAAAGGAACCTTCAACTCTGTGAGTTGAATGCAATCATCACAAAGAAGTTTCTGACAATGCTTCTATCTAGCTTTTACGGGAAGATAATTCCTTTTCCACCACAGGCCTCAAAGCCCTCCAAATGTCCACTTGCAGATTCTGGAAAAAGAGTGTTTCAAAGCTTCTCTCTCGAAAGGAAAGTTCAACTCTGTGAGTTGAATGCAAGCATCACAAAGAAGTTTCTGAGAATGCTACTGTCTAGCTTTTATATGAAGCTATTTCCTTTACTACCATAGGCCTCAAAGCGGTCCATATCTCCACTTGCAGATTCTACACAAAGAGAGTTTCCAAACTGCTCTGTCAAAGGGAATGTTCAACTACTGTGACTTGAATGCAATCATCACAAAGTAGTTTCTGAGAATGCTTCTGTTTAGTTCTGTGCGGTTTATCCCGTTTCCAACGAAATCCTCAGAGAGGCCTAAATATCCACTTGCACATTCTACAAATAGTGTGTTTCGAAACTGCTCCATCCAAAGGAATGTTCAGCTCTGTGAGTTAAACTCAGTCGTCACCAAGAGTTTTCTGTGAATGCTTCTGTTTTAGTTCTGTGCGGGTTATCCCGTTTCCAACGAAATCCTCAGAGAGGTCCAAATATCTACTTGCAGTTTCTACAGAAAGACCGTTTCAAACCTGAACTATCAAAGAAAGGTTCAACACTGTGAGTTGAATGCAAACATCACGAAGAAGGTTCTGAGAATGCTTCTGTTTAGTTCTGTGCAGTTTATCCCGTTTCCAACGAAATCCTCAGAGAGGACCAAATATCCACTTGCAGTTTCTACAAAAAGAGTGTTTCAAAGCTGAACTATCAAAGAAAGGTTCAGCACTGTGAGTTGAATGCAAACATCACGAAGAGGGTTCTGAGAATGCTTCTGTCTTCTTTTTATAGGAAGTTATTTCCTTTACTACGGTACTCCTCAAAGAGTGCAATTATCCCCTTGCAGTTTCTACAGAAAGAGTGTTTCAAACCTGAACTATCAAAGAAAGGTTCCACACTGTGAGTTGAATGCAGACATCACGAAGAAGGTTCTGAGAATGCTTCTGTTTAGTCAGCTGAAATTATCCCGTTTCCAACGAATTCCTCACAGAGGTCCAAATATGCACTTGCAGATTCTGCAGAAAGTGTGTTTCTAAACTGCTACATCGCAAGGAATGCTCAGCTCTGTGAGTTCAACTCAATCATCCCAAAGAATTTTCTGAGAAAGCTTCTGTCTAGATGTCATGTGAAGATATACCCGTTTCGAACGAAGGACACAGAGTGGTCCAAATATCCACTTGTAGATCCTGCAAAAAGAGTGTTTCAAACGTGAACTTTGAAAGGAAAGTTCAACTCGGGGATTTGAATGCAAACATCACAAAGAAGATTCTGAGACTGCTTCTGTATAGTTTTTATGTGAAGATGATTCCGTTTCCAACGAAATCTTCAAAGAGGTCTACATGTCCCCTTGCAGATGCCACAGAAAGAGAGTTTCAAAACTGCGCTCTCAAAAGGAGTGTTCAACTCCGTGAGTTGAATGCAGTCATCACAGAGAAGCTTCTGAGAATGCTTCTATCTAGTATTTAGGTGAAGATATTTCCTTTTCCACCACAAACCACAAAGCCCTCCAAACGTCCACTTGCAGATTCTAGAAAAAGAGTGTTTCATAGCTGCTCTTTCCAAAGGAAAGTTCAACTCTGGGAGTTGAATACAAACATCACCAAAAAGTTCCTGAGAATGCATCTGTCTAGTTTTTCTATGAAGCTATTCCCTTTACTACCATAGGCCTCAAAGCGCTCCAAATCTCCACTTGCACATTCCACAACAAGAGTGTTTCCAAACTGCTCTATCAATAGGAATGTTCAACTCTGTGAGGTGAATGCAATCATCACAAAGCAGTTTCTGAGAATGCTTCCGTTTAGTTAGGTGCAGTTATCCCGTTTCCAACGAAATCCTCAGAGAGGTCCAAATATCCACTTGTAGATTCTACAAAAAGTGTGTCTCAAACCTGCTCCATCCAAAAGAATGTTCAGCTCTGTGAGTTAAACTCAATCATCACAAAGTATTTTCTGAGAATGCTTCTGTCTAGATTTTATGCGAAGATATACCCGTTTCGAACGAAGGCCACAGAGTGGTCCAAATAGCCACTTGCAGATCCTACAAAAAGAGTGTTTCAAACCTGAACTATCAAAGGAAGGTTCAACTCTGGGATTTGAATGCAAACATCACCAAGAAGTTTCTGAGAATGCTTCTGTTTAGTTTTTATGTGAAGATATTCCCGTTTCCAAAGACATCTTCGGAGAGGTCCACATATCCACTTGCAGATTCCACAAAAAGAGAGTTTCAACACTGCTCTATCCATAGGAGGGTTCAACTCTGTGAGTTGAATGCAATCATCACAGAGAAGTTTCTGAGAAGGCTTCTCTCCAGTTTTTATGTGACCATAATTCGTTTTCCACCACAGGCCTGAAAGCGCTCCAAATGTCCACTTGCAGACACTACGAAAAGCATGTTTCAGAACTACTCTATGAAAAGCAACGTGAAACTCTGGGAGTTGAACACAAACATCACAGAGAAGTTTCTGAGAATGCTTCTGTTTTAGTTCTGTGCGTTTTATCCCGTTTCCAACGAAATCCTCAGAGAGGCCCAAATATCCACTTGCAGATTCCACAGAAAGAGTGATTGGAAACTGCTGTTTGAAAAGGAACCTTCAACTCTGTGAGTTGAATGCAATCATCACAAAGAAGTTTCTGACAATGCTTCTGTTTTAGTTCTGTGCGGTTTATCCCGTTTCCAACGAAATCCTCAGAGAGGACCAAACATCCACTTGCAGTTTCTACAAAAAGAGTGTTTCAAAGCTGCACTATCAAAGAAAGGTTCAGCACTGTGAGTTGAATGCAAACATCACGAAGAGGGCTCTGAGAATTCTTCTGTTTAGTTCTGTGCGGTTTATCCCGTTTCCAACGAAATCCTCAGAGAGGACCAAATATCCACTTGCAGTTTCTACAAGAAGAGTGTTTCAAAGCTGAACTATCAAAGAAAGGTTCAGCACTGTGAGTTGAATGCAAACATCACGAAGAGGGTTCTGAGAATGCTTCTGTCTTCTTTTTATAGGAAGTTATTTCCATTACTACGGTAGGCCTCAAAGAAGTGCAATTATCCCCTTGCAGTTTCCACAAAAAGAGTGTTTCAAACCTGAACTATCAAAGAAAGGTTCCACACTGTGAGTTGAATGCAGACATCACGAAGAAGGTTCTGAGAATGCTTCTGTTTAGTCAGCTGAAATTATCCCGTTTCCAACGAATTCCTCAGAGAGATCCAAATATGCACTTGTAGATTCTGCAGAAAGTGTGTTTCTAACTGCTCCATCGCAAGGAATGTTCAGCTCTGTGAGTTCAACTCAATCATCCCAAAGAATTTTCTGAGAAAGCTTCCGTCTAGATGTCATGTGAAGATATACCCGTTTCGAACGAAGGACACAGAGTGGTCCAAATATCCACTTGTAGATCCTGCAAAAAGAGTGTTTCAAACGTGAACTTTGAAAGGAAAGTTCAACTCTGGGATTTGAATGCAAACATCACAAAGAAGATTCTGAGACTGCTTCTGTATAGTTTTTATGTGAAGATGATTCCGTTTCCAACGAAATCTTCAAAGAGGTCTACATGTCCCCTTGCAGATGCCACAGAAAGAGAGTTTCAAAACTGCGCTCTCAAAAGGAGTGTTCAACTCCGTGAGTTGAATGCAGTCATCACAGAGAAGCTTCTGAGAATGCTTCTATCCTAGTATTTAGGTGAAGATATTTCCTTTTCCACCACAAACCACAAAGCCCTCCAAACGTCCACTTGCAGATTCTAGAAAAAGAGTGTTTCATAGCTGCTCTTTCCAAAGGAAAGTTCAACTCTGGGAGTTGAATACAAACATCACCAAAAAGTTCCTGAGAATGCATCTGTCTAGTTTTTCTATGAAGCTATTCCCTTTACTACCATAGGCCTCAAAGCACTCCAAATCTCCACTTGCACATTCCACAACAAGAGTGTTTCCAAACTGCTCTATCAATAGGAATGTTCAACTCTGTGAGGTGAATGCAATCATCACAAAGCAGTTTCTGAGAATGTTTCCGTTTAGTTAGGTGCAGTTATCCCGTTTCCAACGAAATCCTCAGAGAGGTCCAAATATCCACTTGTAGATTCTACAAAAAGTGTGTCTCAAACCTGCTCCATCCAAAGGAATGTTCAGCTGCTGTGAGTTAAACTCAATCATCACAAAGTATTTTCTGAGAATGCTTCTGTCTAGATTTTATGCGAAGATATACCCGTTTCGAACGAAGGCCACAGAGTGGTCCAAATAGCCACTTGCAGATCCTACAGAAAGAGTGTTTCAAACCTGAACTATCAAAGGAAGGTTCAACTCTGGGATTTGAATGCAAACATCACCAAGAAGTTTCTGAGAATGCTTCTGTTTAGTTTTTATGTGAAGATATTCCCGTTTCCAAAGACATCTTCGGAGAGGTCCACATATCCACTTGCAGATTCCACAAAAAGAGAGTTTCAACACTGCTCTATCCATAGGAGGGTTCAACTCTGTGAGTTGAATGCAATCATCACAGAGAAGTTTCTGAGAAGGCTTCTCTCCAGTTTTTATGTGACCATAATTCGTTTTCCACCACAGGCCTGAAAGCGCTCCAAATGTCCACTTGCAGACACTACGAAAAGCATGTTTCAGAACTACTCTATGAAAAGCAACGTGAAACTCTGGGAGTTGAACACAAACATCACAGAGAAGTTTCTGAGAATGCTTCTGTTTTAGTTCTGTGCGTTTTATCCCGTTTCCAACGAAATCCTCAGAGAGGCCCAAATATCCACTTGCAGATTCCACAGAAAGAGTGATTGGAAACTGCTGTTTGAAAAGGAACCTTCAACTCTGTGAGTTGAATGCAATCATCACAAAGAAGTTTCTGACAATGCTTCTGTTTTAGTTCTGTGCGGTTTATCCCGTTTCCAACGAAATCCTCAGAGAGGACCAAACATCCACTTGCAGTTTCTACAAAAAGAGTGTTTCAAAGCTGCACTATCAAAGAAAGGTTCAGCACTGTGAGTTGAATGCAAACATCACGAAGAGGGCTCTGAGAATTCTTCTGTTTAGTTCTGTGCGGTTTATCCCGTTTCCAACGAAATCCTCAGAGAGGACCAAATATCCACTTGCAGTTTCTACAAGAAGAGTGTTTCAAAGCTGAACTATCAAAGAAAGGTTCAGCACTGTGAGTTGAATGCAAACATCACGAAGAGGGTTCTGAGAATGCTTCTGTCTTCTTTCTATAGGAAGTTATTTCCTTTACTACGGTAGGCCTCAAAGAAGTGCAATTATCCCCTTGCAGTTTCTACAAAAAGAGTGTTTCAAACCTGAACTATCAAAGAAAGGTTCCACACTGTGAGTTGAATGCAGACATCACGAAGAAGGTTCTGAGAATGCTTCTGTTTAGTCAGCTGAAATTATCCCGTTTCCAACGAATTCCTCAGAGAGGTCCAAATATGCACTTGCAGATTCTGCAGAAAGTGTGTTTCTAAACTGCTACATCGCAAGGAATGTTCAGCTCTGTGAGTTCCACTCAATCATCCCAAAGAATTTTCTGAGAAAGCTTCTGTCTAGATGTCGTGTGAAGATATACCCGTTTCGAACGAAGGACACAGAGTGGTCCAAATATCCACTTGTAGATCCTGCAAAAAGAGTGTTTCAAACGTGAACTTTGAAAGGAAAGTTCAACTCTGGGATTTGAATGCAAACATCACAAAGAAGATTCTGAGACTGCTTCTGTATAGTTTTTATGTGAAGATGATTCCGTTTCCAACGAAATCTTCAAAGAGGTCTACATGTCCCCTTGCAGATGCCACAGAAAGAGAGTTTCAAAACTGCGCTCTCAAAAGGAGTGTTCAACTCCGTGAGTTGAATGCAGTCATCACAGAGAAGCTTCTGAGAATGCTTCTATCTAGTATTTAGGTGAAGATATTTCCTTTTCCACCACAAACCACAAAGCCCTCCAAACGTCCACTTGCAGATTCTAGAAAAAGAGTGTTTCATAGCTGCTCTTTCCAAAGGAAAGTTCAACTCTGGGAGTTGAATACAAACATCACCAAAAGGTTCCTGAGAATGCATCTGTCTAGTTTTTCTATGAAGCTATTCCCTTTACTACCATAGGCCTCAAAGCGCTCCAAATCTCCACTTGCACATTCCACAACAAGAGTGTTTCCAAACTGCTCTATCAATAGGAATGTTCAACTCTGTGAGGTGAATGCAATCATCACAAAGCAGTTTCTGAGAATGCTTCCGTTTAGTTAGGTGCAGTTATCCCGTTTCCAACGAAATCCTCAGAGAGGTCCAAATATCCACTTGTAGATTCTACAAAAAGTGTGTCTCAAACCTGCTCCATCCAAAGGAATGGTCAGCTCTGTGATTTAAACTCAATCATCACAAAGTATTTTCTGAGAATGCTTCTGTCTAGATTTTATGCGAAGATATACCCGTTTCGAACGAAGGCCACAGAGTGGTCCAAATAGCCACTTGCAGATCCTACAGAAAGAGTGTTTCAAACCTGAACTATCAAAGGAAGGTTCAACTCTGGGATTTGAATGCAAACATCACCAAGAAGTTTCTGAGAATGCTTCTGTTTAGTTTTTATGTGAAGATATTCCCGTTTCCAAAGACATCTTCGGAGAGGTCCACATATCCACTTGCAGATTCCACAAAAAGAGAGTTTCAACACTGCTCTATCCATAGGAGGGTTCAACTCTGTGAGTTGAATGCAATCATCACAGAGAAGTTTCTGAGAAGGCTTCTCTCCAGTTTTCATGTGACCATAATTCGTTTTCCACCACAGGCCTGAAAGCGCTCCAAATGTCCACTTGCAGACACTACGAAAAGCATGTTTCAGAACTACTCTATGAAAAGCAACGTGAAACTCTGGGAGTTGAACACAAACATCACAGAGAAGTTTCTGAGAATGCTTCTGTTTAGCTTTTCTGTGAAGATTCTCCCGTTTCCAACGAAATCTTCAAAGAGGTCGAAATATCCACTTGCAGATTCCACAGAAAGAGTGATTGGAAACTGCTGTTTGAAAAGGAACCTTCAACTCTGTGAGTTGAATGCAATCATCACAAAGAAGTTTCTGACAATGCTTCTATCTAGCTTTTACGGGAAGATAACTCCTTTTCCACCACAGGCCTCAAAGCCCTCCAAATGTCCACTTGCACATTCTGGAAAAAGAGTGTTTCAAAGCTTCTCTCTCGAAAGGGAAGTTCAACTCTGTGAGTTGAATGCAAGCATCACAAAGAAGTTTCTGAGAATGCTACTGTCTAGCTTTTATATGAAGCTATTTCCTTTACTACCATAGGCCTCAAAGCGGTCCATATCTCCACTTGCAGATTCTACACAAAGAGAGTTTCCAAACTGCTCTGTCAAAGGGAATGTTCAACTCTGTGACTTGAATGCAATCATCACAAAGTAGTTTACTGAGAATGCTTCTGTTTAGTTCTGTGCGGTTTATCCCGTTTCCAACGAAATCCTCAGAGAGGCCTAAATATCCACTTGCACATTCTACAAATAGTGTGTTTCGAAACTGCTCCATCCAAAGGAATGTTCAGCTCTGTGAGTTAAACTCAGTCGTCACCAAGAGTTTTCTGTGAATGCTTCTGTTTTAGTTCTGTGCGGGTTATCCCGTTTCCAACGAAATCCTCAGAGAGGTCCAAATATCTACTTGCAGTTTCTACAGAAAGACCGTTTCAAACCTGAACTATCAAAGAAAGGTTCAACACTGTGAGTTGAATGCAAACATCACGAAGAAGGTTCTGAGAATGCTTCTGTTTAGTTCTGTGCAGTTTATCCCGTTTCCAACGAAATGCTCAGAGAGGACCAAATATCCACTTGCAGTTTCTACAAAAAGAGTGTTTCAAAGCTGAACTATCAAAGAAAGGTTCAGCACTGTGAGTTGAATGCAAACATCACGAAGAGGGTTCTGAGAATGCTTCTGTCTTCTTTTTATAGGAAGTTATTTCCTTTACTACGGTACTCCTCAAAGAGTGCAATTATCCCCTTGCAGTTTCTACAGAAAGAGTGTTTCAAACCTGAACTATCAAAGAAAGGTTCCACACTGTGAGTTGAATGCAGACATCACGAAGAAGGTTCTGAGAATGCTTCTGTTTAGTCAGCTGAAATTATCCCGTTTCCAACGAATTCCTCACAGAGTTCCAAATATGCACTTGCAGATTCTGCAGAAAGTGTGTTTCTAAACTGCTACATCGCAAGGAATGCTCAGCTCTGTGAGTTCAACTCAATCATCCCAAAGAATTTTTTGAGAAAGCTTCTGTCTAGATGTCATGTGAAGATATACCCGTTTCGAACGAAGGACACAGAGTGGTCCAAATATCCACTTGTAGATCCTGCAAAAAGAGTGTTTCAAACGTGAACTTTGAAAGGAAAGTTCAACTCGGGGATTTGAATGCAAACATCACAAAGAAGATTCTGAGACTGCTTCTGTATAGATTTTATGTGAAGATGATTCCGTTTCCAACGAAATCTTCAAAGAGGTCTACATGTCCCCTTGCGGATGCCACAGAAAGAGAGTTTCAAAACTGCGCTCTCAAGAGGAGTGTTCAACTCCGTGAGTTGAATGCAGTCATCACAGAGAAGCTTCTGAGAATGCTTCTATCTAGTATTTAGTTGAAGATATTTCCTTTTCCACCACAAACCACAAAGCCCTCCAAACGTCCACTTGCAGATTCTAGAAAAAGAGTGTTTCATAGCTGCTCTTTCCAAAGGAAAGTTCAACTCTGGGAGTTGAATACAAACATCACCAAAAAGTTCCTGAGAATGCATCTGTCTAGTTTTTCTATGAAGCTATTCCCTTTATTACCATAGGCCTCAAAGCGCTCCAAATCTCCACTTGCACATTCCACAACAAGAGTGTTTCCAAACTGCTCTATCAATAGGAATGTTCAACTCGGTGAGGTGAATGCAATCATCACAAAGTAGTTTCTGAGAATGCTTCCGTTTAGTTAGGTGCAGTTATCGCGTTTCCAACGAAATCCTCAGAGAGGTCCAAATATCCACTTGTAGATTCTACAAAAAGTGTGACTCAAACCTGCTCCATCCAAAGGAATGTTCAGCTCTGTGAGTTAAACTCAATCATCACAAAGTATTTTCTGAGAATGCTTCTGTCTAGATTTTATGCGAAGATGTACCCGTTTCGAACGAAGGCCACAGAGTGGTCCAAATATCCACTTGCAGATCCTACAAAAAGTGTGTTTCAAACCTGAACTATCACAGGAAGTTTCAACTCTGGGATTTGAATGCAAACATCACCAAGAAGTTTCTGAGAATGCTTCTGTTTAGTTTTTATGTGAAGATATTCCCGTTTCCAAAGACATCTTCGGAGAGGTCCACATATCCACTTGCAGATTCCACAAAAAGAGAGTTTCAACAATGCTCTATCCATAGGAGGGTTCAAACCTGTGAGTTGAATGCAATCATCACAGAGAAGTTTCTGAGAAGGCTTCTCTCCAGTTTTTATGGGACCATAATTCGTTTTCCACCACAGGCCTGAAAGCGCTCCAAATGTCCACTTGCAGACACTACGAAAAGCATGTTTCAGAACTACTCTATGAAAAGCAATGTGAAACTCTGGGAGTTGAACACAAACATCACAGAGAAGTTTCTGAGAATGCTTCTGTTTAGCTTTTCTGTGAAGATTCTCCCGTTTCCAATGAAATCTTCAATGAGGTCCAAATATCCACTTGCAGATTCCACAGAAAGAGTGTTTGGAAACTGCTGTTTGTAAAGGAACCTTCATCTCTGTGAGTTGAATGCAATCATCACAAAGAAGTTTCTGACAATGCTTCTATCTAGCTTTTACGGGAAGTTAATTCCTTTTCCACCACAGGCCTCAAAGCCCTCCAAATGTCCACTTGCAGATTCTGGAAAAAGAGTGTTTCAAAGCTTCTCTCTCGAAAGGAAAGTTCAACTCTGTGAGTTGAATGCAAGCATCACAAAGAAGTTTCTGAGAATGCTACTGTCTAGCTTTTATATGAAGCTATTTCCTTTACTACCATAGGCCTCAAAGCGGTCCATATCTCCACTTGCAGATTCTACACAAAGAGAGTTTCCAAACTGCTCTGTCAAAGGGAATGTTCAACTCTGTGACTTGAATGCAATCATCACAAAGTAGTTTCTGAGAATGCTTCTGTTTTAGTTCTGTGCGTTTTAATCCGGTTTCCAACGAAATCCTCAGAGAGGCCCAAATATCCACTTGCAGATTCTACAAATAGTGTGTTTCGAAACTGCTCCATCCAAAGGAATGTTCAGCTCTGTGAGTTAAACTCAGTCGTCACCAAGAGTTTTCTGTGAATGCTTCTGTTTTAGTTCTGTGCGGTTTATCCCGTTTCCAACGAAATCCTCAGAGAGGACCAAACATCCACTTGCAGTTTCTACAAAAAGAGTGTTTCAAAGCTGCACTATCAAAGAAAGGTTCAGCACTGTGAGTTGAATGCAAACATCACGAAGAGGGCTCTGAGAATTCTTCTGTCTTCTTTTTATAGGAAGTTATTTCCTTTACTACGGTACTCCTCAAAGAGTGCAATTATCCCCTTGCAGTTTCTACAAAAAGAGTTTTTAAAACCTGAACTATCAAAGAAAGGTTCCACACTTTGTGTTGAATGCAGACATCACGAAGAAGGTTCTGAGAATGCTTCTGTGTAGTCAGCTGAAATTATCCCGTTTCCAACGAATTCCTCACAGAGGTCCAAATATGCACTTGCAGATTCTGCAGAAAGTGTGTTTCTAAACTGCTACATCGCAAGGAATGCTCAGCTCTGTGAGTTCAACTCAATCATCCCAAAGAATTTTCTGAGAAAGCTTCTGTCTAGATGTCATGTGAAGATATACCCGTTTCGAACGAAGGACACAGAGTGGTCCAAATATCCACTTGTAGATCCTGCAAAAAGAGTGTTTCAAACGTGAACTTGGAAAGGAAAGTTCAACTCTGGGATTTGAATGCAAACATCACAAAGAAGATTCTGAGACTGCTTCTGTATAGTTTTGATGTGAAGATGATTCCGTTTCCAACGAAATCTTCAAAGAGGTCTACATGTCCCCTTGCAGAAGCCACAGAAACAGAGTTTCAAAACTGCGCTCTCAAAAGGAGTGTTCAACTCCGTGAGTTGAATGCAGTCATCACAGAGAAGCTTCTGAGAATGCTTCTATCTAGTATTTAGGTGAAGATATTTCCTTTTCCACCACAAACCACAAAGCCCTCCAAACGTCCACTTGCAGATTCTAGAAAAAGAGTGTTTCATAGCTGCTCTTTCCAAAGGAAAGTTCAACTCTGGGAGTTGAATACAAACATCACCAAAAAGTTCCTGAGAATGCATCTGTCTAGTTTTTCTATGAAGCTATTCCCTTTACTACCATAGGCCTCAAAGCGCTCCAAATCTCCACTTGCACATTCCACAACAAGAGTGTTTCCAAACTGCTCTATCAATAGGAATGTTCAACTCTGTGAGGTGAATGCAATCATCACAAAGCAGTTTCTGAGAATGCTTCCGTTTAGTTAGGTGCAGTTATCCCGTTTCCAACGAAATCCTCAGAGAGGTCCAAATATCCACTTGTAGATTCTACAAAAAGTGTGTCTCAAACCTGCTCCATCCAAAGGAATGGTCAGCTCTGTGATTTAAACTCAATCATCACAAAGTATTTTCTGAGAATGCTTCTGTCTAGATTTTATGCGAAGATATACCCGTTTCGAACGAAGGCCACAGAGTGGTCCAAATAGCCACTTGCAGATCCTACAGAAAGAGTGTTTCAAACCTGAACTATCAAAGGAAGGTTCAACTCTGGGATTTGAATGCAAACATCACCAAGAAGTTTCTGAGAATGCTTCTGTTTAGTTTTTATGTGAAGATATTCCCGTTTCCAAAGACATCTTCGGAGAGGTCCACATATCCACTTGCAGGTTCCACAAAAAGAGAGTTTCAACACTGCTCTATCCATAGGAGGGTTCAACTCTGTGAGTTGAATGCAATCATCACAGAGAAGTTTCTGAGAAGGCTTCTCTCCAGTTTTTATGTGACCATAATTCGTTTTCCACCACAGGCCTGAAAGCGCTCCAAATGTCCACTTGCAGACACTACGAAAAGCATGTTTCAGAACTACTCTATGAAAAGCAACGTGA
The DNA here is from genome assembly GCF_000001405.40 of Homo sapiens. Taxonomy (NCBI): domain Eukaryota; kingdom Metazoa; phylum Chordata; class Mammalia; order Primates; family Hominidae; genus Homo; species Homo sapiens. The sequence continues at coordinate 24,931,892 of NC_000017.11, read as the reverse complement.
AACTCTGGGAGTTGAACACAAACATCACAGAGAAGTTTCTGAGAATGCTTCTGTTTTAGTTCTGTGCGTTTTATCCCGTTTCCAACGAAATCCTCAGAGAGGCCCAAATATCCACTTGCAGATTCCACAGAAAGAGTGATTGGAAACTGCTGTTTGAAAAGGAACCTTCAACTCTGTGAGTTGAATGCAATCATCACAAAGAAGTTTCTGACAATGCTTCTGTTTTAGTTCTGTGCGGTTTATCCCGTTTCCAACGAAATCCTCAGAGAGGACCAAACATCCACTTGCAGTTTCTACAAAAAGAGTGTTTCAAAGCTGCACTATCAAAGAAAGGTTCAGCACTGTGAGTTGAATGCAAACATCACGAAGAGGGCTCTGAGAATTCTTCTGTTTAGTTCTGTGCGGTTTATCCCGTTTCCAACGAAATCCTCAGAGAGGACCAAATATCCACTTGCAGTTTCCACAAGAAGAGTGTTTCAAAGCTGAACTATCAAAGAAAGGTTCAGCACTGTGAGTTGAATGCAAACATCACGAAGAGGGTTCTGAGAATGCTTCTGTCTTCTTTCTATAGGAAGTTATTTCCTTTACTACGGTAGGCCTCAAAGAAGTGCAATTATCCCCTTGCAGTTTCTACAAAAAGAGTGTTTCAAACCTGAAATATCAAAGAAAGGTTCCACACTGTGAGTTGAATGCAGACATCACGAAGAAGGTTCTGAGAATGCTTCTGTTTAGTCAGCTGAAATTATCCCGTTTCCAACGAATTCCTCAGAGAGGTCCAAATATGCACTTGCAGATTCTGCAGAAAGTGTGTTTCTAAACTGCTACATCGCAAGGAATGTTCAGCTCTGTGAGTTCCACTCAATCATCCCAAAGAATTTTCTGAGAAAGCTTCTGTCTAGATGTCGTGTGAAGATATACCCGTTTCGAACGAAGGACACAGAGTGGTCCAAATATCCACTTGTAGATCCTGCAAAAAGAGTGTTTCAAACGTGAACTTTGAAAGGAAAGTTCAACTCTGGGATTTGAATGCAAACATCACAAAGAAGATTCTGAGACTGCTTCTGTATAGTTTTTATGTGAAGATGATTCCGTTTCCAACGAAATCTTCAAAGAGGTCTACATGTCCCCTTGCAGATGCCACAGAAAGAGAGTTTCAAAACTGCGCTCTCAAAAGGAGTGTTCAACTCCGTGAGTTGAATGCAGTCATCACAGAGAAGCTTCTGAGAATGCTTCTATCTAGTATTTAGGTGAAGATATTTCCTTTTCCACCACAAACCACAAAGCCCTCCAAACGTCCACTTGCAGATTCTAGAAAAAGAGTGTTTCATAGCTGCTCTTTCCAAAGGAAAGTTCAACTCTGGGAGTTGAATACAAACATCACCAAAAAGTTCCTGAGAATGCATCTGTCTAGTTTTTCTATGAAGCTATTCCCTTTACTACCACAGGCCTCAAAGCGCTCCAAATCTCCACTTGCACATTCCACAACAAGAGTGTTTCCAAACTGCTCTATCAATAGGAATGTTCAACTCTGTGAGGTGAATGCAATCATCACAAAGCAGTTTCTGAGAATGCTTCCGTTTAGTTAGGTGCAGTTATCCCGTTTCCAACGAAATCCTCAGAGAGGTCCAAATATCCACTTGTAGATTCTACAAAAAGTGTGTCTCAAACCTGCTCCATCCAAAGGAATGGTCAGCTCTGTGATTTAAACTCAATCATCACAAAGTATTTTCTGAGAATGCTTCTGTCTAGATTTTATGCGAAGATATACCCGTTTCGAACGAAGGCCACAGAGTGGTCCAAATAGCCACTTGCAGATCCTACAGAAAGAGTGTTTCAAACCTGAACTATCAAAGGAAGGTTCAACTCTGGGATTTGAATGCAAACATCACCAAGAAGTTTCTGAGAATGCTTCTGTTTAGTTTTTATGTGAAGATATTCCCGTTTCCAAAGACATCTTCGGAGAGGTCCACATATCCACTTGCAGATTCCACAAAAAGAGAGTTTCAACACTGCTCTATCCATAGGAGGGTTCAACTCTGTGAGTTGAATGCAATCATCACAGAGAAGTTTCTGAGAAGGCTTCTCTCCAGTTTTTATGTGACCATAAATCGTTTTCCACCACAGGCCTGAAAGCGCTCCAAATGTCCACTTGCAGACACTACGAAAAGCATGTTTCAGAACTACTCTATGAAAAGCAATGTGAAACTCTGGGAGTTGAACACAAACATCACAGAGAAGTTTCTGAGAATGCTTCTGTTTAGCTTTTCTGTGAAGATTCTCCCGTTTCCAACGAAATCTTCAAAGAGGTCCAAATATCCACTTGCAGATTCCACAGAAAGAGTGATTGGAAACTGCTCTTTGAAAAGGAACCTTCAACTCTGTGAGTTGAATGCAATCATCACAAAGAAGTTTCTGACAATGCTTCTATCTAGCTTTTACGGGAAGATAATTCCTTTTCCACCACAGGCCTCAAAGCCCTCCAAATGTCCACTTGCAGATTCTGGAAAAAGAGTGTTTCAAAGCTTCTCTCTCAAAAGGAAAGTTCAACTCTGTGAGTTGAATGCAAGCATCAGAAAGAAGTTTCTGAGAATGCTACTGTCTAGCTTTTATATGAAGCTATTTCCTTTACTACCATAGGCCTCAAAGCGGTCCATATCTCCACTTGCAGATTCTACACAAAGAGAGTTTCCAAACTGCTCTGTCAAAGGGAATGTTCAACTCTGTGACTTGAATGCAATCATCACAAAGTAGTTTCTGAGAATGCTTCTGTTTAGTTCTGTGCGGTTTATCCCGTTTCCAACGAAATCCTCAGAGAGGCCCAAATATCCACTTGCACATTCTACAAATAGTGTGTTTCGAAACTGCTCCCTCCAAAGGAATGTTCAGCTCTGTGAGTTAAACTCAGTCGTCACCAAGAGTTTTTTCTGAATGCTTCTGTTTTAGTTCTGTGCGGGTTATCCCGTTTCCAACGAAATCCTCAGAGCGGTCCAAATATCTACTTGCAGTTTCTACAGAAAGACCGTTTCAAACCTGAACTATCAAAGAAAGGTTCAACACTGTTGAGTTGAATGCAAACATCACGAAGAAGGTTCTGAGAATGCTTCTGTTTTAGTTCTGTGCGGTTTATCCCGTTTCCAACGAAATCCTCAGAGAGGACCAAACATCCACTTGCAGTTTCTACAAAAAGAGTGTTTCAAAGCTGCACTATCAAAGAAAAGTTCAGCACTGTGAGTTGAATGCAAACATCACGAAGAGGGCTCTGAGAATTCTTCTGTTTAGTTCTGTGCGGTTTATCCCGTTTCCAACGAAATCCTCAGAGAGGACCAAATATCCACTTGCAGTTTCTACAAGAAGAGTGTTTCAAAGCTGAACTATCAAAGAAAGGTTCAGCACTGTGAGTTGAATGCAAACATCACGAAGAGGGTTCTGAGAATGCTTCTGTCTTCTTTCTATAGGAAGTTATTTCCTTTACTACGGTAGGCCTCAAAGAAGTGCAATTATCCCCTTGCAGTTTCTACAAAAAGAGTGTTTCAAACCTGAACTATCAAAGAAAGGTTCCACACTGTGAGTTGAATGCAGACATCACGAAGAAGGTTCTGAGAATGCTTCTGTTTAGTCAGCTGAAATTATCCCGTTTCCAACGAATTCCTCAGAGAGGTCCAAATATGCACTTGCAGATTCTGCAGAAAGTGTGTTTCTAAACTGCTACATCACAAGGAATGTTCAGCTCTGTGAGTTCCACTCAATCATCCCAAAGAATTTTCTGAGAAAGCTTCTGTCTAGATGTCCTGTGAAGATATACCCGTTTCGAACGAAGGACACAGAGTGGTCCAAATATCCACTTGTAGATCCTGCAAAAAGAGTGTTTCAAACGTGAACTTTGAAAGGAAAGTTCAACTCTGGGATTTGAATGCAAACATCACAAAGAAGATTCTGAGACTGCTTCTGTATAGTTTTTATGTGAAGATGATTCCGTTTCCAACGAAATCTTCAAAGAGGTCTACATGTCCCCTTGCAGATGCCACAGAAAGAGAGTTTCAAAACTACGCTCTCAAAAGGAGTGTTCAACTCCGTGAGTTGAATGCAGTCATCACAGAGAAGCTTCTGAGAATGCTTCTATCTAGTATTTAGGTGAAGATATTTCCTTTTCCACCACAAACCACAAAGCCCTCCAAACGTCCACTTGCAGATTCTAGAAAAAGAGTGTTTCATAGCTGCTCTTTCCAAAGGAAAGTTCAACTCTGGGAGTTGAATACAAACATCACCAAAAAGTTCCTGAGAATGCATCTGTCTAGTTTTTCTATGAAGCTATTCCCTTTACTACCATAGGCCTCAAAGCGCTCCAAATCTCCACTTGCACATTCCACAACAAGAGTGTTTCCAAACTGCTCTATCAATAGGAATGTTCAACTCTGTGAGGTGAATGCAATCATCACAAAGCAGTTTCTGAGAATGCTTCCGTTTAGTTAGGTGCAGTTATCCCGTTTCCAACGAAATCCTCAGAGAGGTCCAAATATCCACTTGTAGATTCTACAAAAAGTGTGTCTCAAACCTGCTCCATCCAAAGGAATGGTCAGCTCTGTGATTTAAACTCAATCATCACAAAGTATTTTCTGAGAATGCTTCTGTCTAGATTTTATGCGAAGATATACCCGTTTCGAACGAAGGCCACAGAGTGGTCCAAATAGCCACTTGCAGATCCTACAGAAAGAGTGTTTCAAACCTGAACTATCAAAGGAAGGTTCAACTCTGGGATTTGAATGCAAACATCACCAAGAAGTTTCTGAGAATGCTTCTGTTTAGTTTTTATGTGAAGATATTCCCGTTTCCAAAGACATCTTCGGAGAGGTCCACATATCCACTTGCAGATTCCACAAAAAGAGAGTTTCAACACTGCTCTATCCATAGGAGGGTTCAACTCTGTGAGTTGAATGCAATCATCACAGAGAAGTTTCTGAGAAGGCTTCTCTCCAGTTTTTATGTGACCATAATTCGTTTTCCACCACAGGCCTGAAAGCGCTCCAAATGTCCACTTGCAGACACTACGAAAAGCATGTTTCAGAACTACTCTATGAAAAGCAACGTGAAACTCTGGGAGTTGAACACAAACATCACAGAGAAGTTTCTGAGAATGCTTCTGTTTTAGTTCTGTGCGTTTTATCCCGTTTCCAACGAAATCCTCAGAGAGGCCCAAATATCCACTTGCAGATTCCACAGAAAGAGTGATTGGAAACTGCTGTTTGAAAAGGAACCTTCAACTCTGTGAGTTGAATGCAATCATCACAAAGAAGTTTCTGACAATGCTTCTGTTTTAGTTCTGTGCGGTTTATCCCGTTTCCAACGAAATCCTCAGAGAGGACCAAACATCCACTTGCAGTTTCTACAAAAAGAGTGTTTCAAAGCTGCACTATCAAAGAAAGGTTCAGCACTGTGAGTTGAATGCAAACATCACGAAGAGGGCTCTGAGAATTCTTCTGTTTAGTTCTGTGCGGTTTATCCCGTTTCCAACGAAATCCTCAGAGAGGACCAAATATCCACTTGCAGTTTCTACAAGAAGAGTGTTTCAAAGCTGAACTATCAAAGAAAGGTTCAGCACTGTGAGTTGAATGCAAACATCACGAAGAGGGTTCTGAGAATGCTTCTGTCTTCTTTCTATAGGAAGTTATTTCCTTTACTACGGTAGGCCTCAAAGAAGTGCAATTATCCCCTTGCAGTTTCTACAAAAAGAGTGTTTCAAACCTGAACTATCAAAGAAAGGTTCCACACTGTGAGTTGAATGCAGACATCACGAAGAAGGTTCTGAGAATGCTTCTGTTTAGTCAGCTGAAATTATCCTGTTTCCAACGAATTCCTCAGAGAGGTCCAAATATGCACTTGCAGATTCTGCAGAAAGTGTGTTTCTAAACTGCTACATCGCAAGGAATGTTCAGCTCTGTGAGTTCAACTCAATCATCCCAAAGAATTTTCTGAGAAAGCTTCTGTCTAGATGTCGTGTGAAGATATACCCGTTTCGAACGAAGGACACAGAGTGGTCCAAATATCCACTTGTAGATCCTGCAAAAAGAGTGTTTCAAACGTGAACTTTGAAAGGAAAGTTCAACTCTGGGATTTGAATGCAAACATCACAAAGAAGATTCTGAGACTGCTTCTGTATAGTTTTTATGTGAAGATGATTCCGTTTCCAACGAAATCTTCAAAGAGGTCTACATGTCCCCTTGCAGATGCCACAGAAAGAGAGTTTCAAAACTGCGCTCTCAAAAGGAGTGTTCAACTCCGTGAGTTGAATGCAGTCATCACAGAGAAGCTTCTGAGAATGCTTCTATCTAGTATTTAGGTGAAGATATTTCCTTTTCCACCACAAACCACAAAGCCCTCCAAACGTCCACTTGCAGATTCTAGAAAAAGAGTGTTTCATAGCTGCTCTTTCCAAAGGAAAGTTCAACTCTGGGAGTTGAATACAAACATCACCAAAAAGTTCCTGAGAATGCATCTGTCTAGTTTTTCTATGAAGCTATTCCCTTTACTACCATAGGCCTCAAAGCGCTCCAAATCTCCACTTGCACATTCCACAACAAGAGTGTTTCCAAACTGCTCTATCAATAGGAATGTTCAACTCTGTGAGGTGAATGCAATCATCACAAAGCAGTTTCTGAGAATGCTTCCGTTTAGTTAGGTGCAGTTATCCCGTTTCCAACGAAATCCTCAGAGAGGTCCAAATATCCACTTGTAGATTCTACAAAAAGTGTGTCTCAAACCTGCTCCATCCAAAGGAATGGTCAGCTCTGTGATTTAAACTCAATCATCACAAAGTATTTTCTGAGAATGCTTCTGTCTAGATTTTATGCGAAGATATACCCGTTTCGAACGAAGGCCACAGAGTGGTCCAAATAGCCACTTGCAGATCCTACAGAAAGAGTGTTTCAAACCTGAACTATCAAAGGAAGGTTCAACTCTGGGATTTGAATGCAAACATCACCAAGAAGTTTCTGAGAATGCTTCTGTTTAGTTTTTATGTGAAGATATTCCCGTTTCCAAAGACATCTTCGGAGAGGTCCACATATCCACTTGCAGATTCCACAAAAAGAGAGTTTCAACACTGCTCTATCCATAGGAGGGTTCAACTCTGTGAGTTGAATGCAATCATCACAGAGAAGTTTCTGAGAAGGCTTCTCTCCAGTTTTTATGTGACCATAATTCGTTTTCCACCACAGGCCTGAAAGCGCTCCAAATGTCCACTTGCAGACACTACGAAAAGCATGTTTCAGAACTACTCTATGAAAAGCAACGTGAAACTCTGGGAGTTGAACACAAACATCACAGAGAAGTTTCTGAGAATGCTTCTGTTTTAGTTCTGTGCGTTTTATCCCGTTTCCAACGAAATCCTCAGAGAGGCCCAAATATCCACTTGCAGATTCCACAGAAAGAGTGATTGGAAACTGCTGTTTGAAAAGGAACCTTCAACTCTGTGAGTTGAATGCAATCATCACAAAGAAGTTTCTGACAATGCTTCTGTTTTAGTTCTGTGCGGTTTATCCCGTTTCCAACGAAATCCTCAGAGAGGACCAAACATCCACTTGCAGTTTCTACAAAAAGAGTGTTTCAAAGCTGCACTATCAAAGAAAGGTTCAGCACTGTGAGTTGAATGCAAACATCACGAAGAGGGCTCTGAGAATTCTTCTGTTTAGTTCTGTGCGGTTTATCCCGTTTCCAACGAAATCCTCAGAGAGGACCAAATATCCACTTGCAGTTTCTACAAGAAGAGTGTTTCAAAGCTGAACTATCAAAGAAAGGTTCAGCACTGTGAGTTGAATGCAAACATCACGAAGAGGGTTCTGAGAATGCTTCTGTCTTCTTTCTATAGGAAGTTATTTCCTTTACTACGGTAGGCCTCAAAGAAGTGCAATTATCCCCTTGCAGTTTCTACAAAAAGAGTGTTTCAAACCTGAACTATCAAAGAAAGGTTCCACACTGTGAGTTGAATGCAGACATCACGAAGAAGGTTCTGAGAATGCTTCTGTTTAGTCAGCTGAAATTATCCCGTTTCCAACGAATTCCTCAGAGAGGTCCAAATATGCACTTGCAGATTCTGCAGAAAGTGTGTTTCTAAACTGCTACATCGCAAGGAATGTTCAGCTCTGTGAGTTCCACTCAATCATCCCAAAGAATTTTCTGAGAAAGCTTCTGTCTAGATGTCGTGTGAAGATATACCCGTTTCGAACGAAGGACACAGAGTGGTCCAAATATCCACTTGTAGATCCTGCAAAAAGAGTGTTTCAAACGTGAACTTTGAAAGGAAAGTTCAACTCTGGGATTTGAATGCAAACATCACAAAGAAGATTCTGAGACTGCTTCTGTATAGTTTTTATGTGAAGATGATTCCGTTTCCAACGAAATCTTCAAAGAGGTCTACATGTCCCCTTGCAGATGCCACAGAAAGAGAGTTTCAAAACTGCGCTCTCAAAAGGAGTGTTCAACTCCGTGAGTTGAATGCAGTCATCACAGAGAAGCTTCTGAGAATGCTTCTATCTAGTATTTAGGTGAAGATATTTCCTTTTCCACCACAAACCACAAAGCCCTCCAAACGTCCACTTGCAGATTCTAGAAAAAGAGTGTTTCATAGCTGCTCTTTCCAAAGGAAAGTTCAACTCTGGGAGTTGAATACAAACATCACCAAAAAGTTCCTGAGAATGCATCTGTCTAGTTTTTCTATGAAGCTATTCCCTTTACTACCACAGGCCTCAAAGCGCTCCAAATCTCCACTTGCACATTCCGCAACAAGAGTGTTTCCAAACTGCTCTATCAATAGGAATGTTCAACTCTGTGAGGTGAATGCAATCATCACAAAGCAGTTTCTGAGAATGCTTCCGTTTAGTTAGGTGCAGTTATCCCGTTTCCAACGAAATCCTCAGAGAGGTCCAAATATCCACTTGTAGATTCTACAAAAAGTGTGTCTCAAACCTGCTCCATCCAAAGGAATGTTCAGCTCTGTGATTTTAACTCAATCATCACAAAGTATTTTCTGAGAATGCTTCTGTCTAGATTTTATGCGAAGATGTACCCGTTTCGAACGAAGGCCACAGAGTGGTCCAAATATCCACTTGCAGATCCTACAAAAAGAGTGTTTCAAACCTGAACTCTCAAAGGAAGGTTCAACTCTGGGATTTGAATGCAAACATCACCAAGAAGTTTCTGAGAATGCTTCTGTTTAGTTTTTATGTGAAGATATTCCCGTTGCCAAAGACATCTTCGGAGAGGTCCACATATCCGCTTGCAGATTCCACAAAAAGAGAGTTTCAACACTGCTCTATCCATAGGAGGGTTCAACTCTGTGAGTTGAATGCAATCATCACAGAGAAGTTTCTGAGAAGGCTTCTCTCCAGTTTTTATGTGACCATAATTCGTTTTCCACCACAGGCCTGAAAGCGCTCCAAATGTCCACTTGCAGACACTACGAAAAGCATGTTTCAGAACTACTCTATGAGAAGCAATGTGAAACTCTGGGAGTTGAACACAAACATCACAGAGAAGTTTCTGAGAATGCTTCTGTTTAGCTTTTCTGTGATGATTATCCCGTTTCCAACGAAATCTTCAAAGAGGCCCAAATATCCACTTGCAGATTCCACAGAAAGAGTGATTGGAAACTGCTCTTTGAAAAGCAACCTTCAACTCTGTGAGTTGAATGCAATCATTCAAAGAAGTTTCTGACAATGCTTCTATCTAGCTTTTACGGGAAGATAATTCCTTTTCCACCACAGGCCTCAAAGCCCTCCAAATGTCCACTTGCAGATTCTGGAAAAAGAGTGTTTCAAAGCTTCTCTCTCGAAAGGAAAGTTCAACTCTGTGAGTTGAATGCAAGCATCACAAAGAAGTTTCTGAGAATGCTGCTGTCTAGCTTTTATATGAAGCTATTTCCTTTACTACCATAGGCCTCAAAGCGGTCCATATCTCCACTTGCAGATTCTACGCAAAGAGAGTTTCCAAACTGCTCTGTCAAAGGGAATGTTCAACTCTGTGACTTGAATGCAATCATCACAAAGTAGTTTCTGAGAATGCTTCTGTTTAGTTCTGTGCGGTTTATCCCTTTTCCAACGAAATCCTCAGAGAGGCCCACATATCCACTTGCACATTCTACAAATAGTGTGTTTCGAAACTGCTCCATCCAAAGGAATGTTCAGCTCTGTGAGTTAAACTCAGTCGTCACCAAGAGTTTTCTGTGAATGCTTCTGTTTTAGTTCTGTGCGGTTTATCCCGTTTCCAACGAAATCCTCAGAGAGGTCCAAATATCTACTTGCAGTTTCTACAGAAAGACCGTTTCCAACCTGAACTATCAAAGAAAGGTTCAACACTGTGAGTTGAATGCAAACATCACGAAGAAGGTTCTGAGAATGCTTCTGTTTTAGTTCTGTGCGGTTTATCCCGTTTCCAACGAAATCCTCAGAGAGGACCAAATATCCACTTGCAGTTTCTACAAAAAGAGTGTTTCAAAGCTGCACTATCAAAGAAAGGTTGAGCACTGTGAGTTGAATGCAAACATCACGAAGAGGGCTCTGAGAATTCTTCTGTTTAGTTCTGTGCGGTTTATCCCGTTTCCAACGAAATACTCAGAGAGGACCAAATATCCACTTGCAGTTTCTACAAGAAGAGTGTTTCAAAGCTGAACTATCAAATAAAGGTTCAGCACTGTGAGTTGAATGCAAACATCACGAAGAGGGTTCTGAGAATGCTTCTGTCTTCTTTCTATAGGAAGTTATTTCCTTTACTACGGTAGGCCTCAAAGAAGTGCAATTATCCCCTTGCAGTTTCTACAAAAAGAGTGTTTCAAACCTGAACTATCAAAGAAAGGTTCCACACTGTGAGTTGAATGCAGACATCACGAAGAAGGTTCTGAGAATGCTTCTGTTTAGTCAGCTGAAATTATCCCGTTTCCAACGAATTCCTCAGAGAGGTCCAAATATGCACTTGCAGATTCTGCAGAAAGTGTGTTTCTAAACTGCTACATCGCAAGGAATGTTCAGCTCTGTGAGTTCCACTCAATCATCCCAAAGAATTTTCTGAGAAAGCTTCTGTCTAGATGTCGTGTGAAGATATACCCGTTTCGAACGAAGGACACAGAGTGGTCCAAATATCCACTTGTAGATCCTGCAAAAAGAGTGTTTCAAACGTGAACTTTGAAAGGAAAGTTCAACTCTGGGATTTGAATGCAAACATCACAAAGAAGATTCTGAGACTGCTTCTGTACAGTTTTTATGTGAAGATGATTCCGTTTCCAACGAAATCTTCAAAGAGGTCCACATTTCCCCTTGCGGATGCCACAGAAAGAGAGTTTCAAAACTGCGCTCTCAAAAGGAGTGTTCAACTCCGTGAGTTGAATGCAGTCATCACAGAGAAGCTTCTGAGAATGCTTCTATCTAGTATTTAGGTGAAGATATTTCCTTTTAGACCACAAACCACAAAGCCCTCCAAACGTCCACTTGCAGATTCTAGAAAAAGCGTGTTTCATAGCTGCTCTTTCCAAAGGGAAGTTCAACTCTGGGAGTTGAATACAAACATCACCAAAAAGTTCCTGAGAATGCATCTGTCTAGTTTTTCTATGAAGCTATTCCCTTTACTACCATAGGCCTCAAAGCGCTCCAAATCTCCACTTGCACATTCCACAACAAGAGTGTTTCCAAACTGCTCTATCAATAGGAATGTTCAACTCTGTGAGGTGAATGCAATCATCACAAAGCAGTTTCTGAGAATGCTTCCGTTTAGTTAGGTGCAGTTATCCCGTTTCCAACGAAATCCTCAGAGAGGTCCAAATATCCACTTGTAGATTCTACAAAAAGTGTGTCTCAAACCTGCTCCATCCAAAGGAATGGTCAGCTCTGTCATTTAAACTCAATCATCACAAAGTATTTTCTGAGAATGCTTCTGTCTAGATTTTATGCGAAGATATACCCGTTTCGAACGAAGGCCACAGAGTGGTCCAAATAGCCACTTGCAGATCCTACAGAAAGAGTGTTTCAAACCTGAACTATCAAAGGAAGGTTCAACTCTGGGATTTGAATGCAAACATCACCAAGAAGTTTCTGAGAATGCTTCTGTTTAGTTTTTATGTGAAGATATTCCCGTTTCCAAAGACATCTTCGGAGAGGTCCACATATCCACTTGCAGATTCCACAAAAAGAGAGTTTCAACACTGCTCTATCCATAGGAGGGTTCAACTCTGTGAGTTGAATGCAATCATCACAGAGAAGTTTCTGAGAAGGCTTCTCTCCAGTTTTTATGTGACCATAATTCGTTTTCCACCACAGGCCTGAAAGCGCTCCAAATGTCCACTTGCAGACACTACGAAAAGCATGTTTCAGAACTACTCTATGAAAAGCAACGTGAAACTCTGGGAGTTGAACACAAACATCACAGAGAAGTTTCTGAGAATGCTTCTGTTTTAGTTCTGTGCGTTTTATCCCGTTTCCAACGAAATCCTCAGAGAGGCCCAAATATCCACTTGCAGATTCCACAGAAAGAGTGATTGGAAACTGCTGTTTGAAAAGGAACCTTCAACTCTGTGAGTTGAATGCAATCATCACAAAGAAGTTTCTGACAATGCTTCTGTTTTAGTTCTGTGCGGTTTATCCCGTTTCCAACGAAATCCTCAGAGAGGACCAAACATCCACTTGCAGTTTCTACAAAAAGAGTGTTTCAAAGCTGCACTATCAAAGAAAGGTTCAGCACTGTGAGTTGAATGCAAACATCACGAAGAGGGCTCTGAGAATTCTTCTGTTTAGTTCTGTGCGGTTTATCCCGTTTCCAACGAAATCCTCAGAGAGGACCAAATATCCACTTGCAGTTTCTACAAGAAGAGTGTTTCAAAGCTGAACTATCAAAGAAAGGTTCAGCACTGTGAGTTGAATGCAAACATCACGAAGAGGGTTCTGAGAATGCTTCTGTCTTCTTTCTATAGGAAGTTATTTCCTTTACTACGGTAGGCCTCAAAGAAGTGCAATTATCCCCTTGCAGTTTCTACAAAAAGAGTGTTTCAAACCTGAACTATCAAAGAAAGGTTCCATACTGTGAGTTGAATGCAGACATCACGAAGAAGGTTCTGAGAATGCTTCTGTTTAGTCAGCTGAAATTATCCCGTTTCCAACGAATTCCTCAGAGAGGTCCAAATATGCACTTGCAGATTCTGCAGAAAGTGTGTTTCTAAACTGCTACATCGCAAGGAATGTTCAGCTCTGTGAGTTCCACTCAATCATCCCAAAGAATTTTCTGAGAAAGCTTCTGTCTAGATGTCGTGTGAAGTTATACCCGTTTCGAACGAAGGACACAGAGTGGTCCAAATATCCACTTGTAGATCCTGCAAAAAGAGTGTTTCAAACGTGAACTTTGAAAGGAAAGTTCAACTCTGGGATTTGAATGCAAACATCACAAAGAAGATTCTGAGACTGCTTCTGTATAGTTTTTATGTGAAGATGATTCCGTTTCCAGCGAAATCTTCAAAGAGGTCTACATGTCCCCTTGCAGATGCCACAGAAAGAGAGTTTCAAAACTGCGCTCTCAAAAGGAGTGTTCAACTCCGTGAGTTGAATGCAGTCATCACAGAGAAGCTTCTGAGAATGCTTCTATCTAGTATTTAGGTGAAGATATTTCCTTTTCCACCACAAACCACAAAGCCCTCCAAACGTCCACTTGCAGATTCTAGAAAAAGAGTGTTTCATAGCTGCTCTTTCCAAAGGAAAGTTCAACTCTGGGAGTTGAATACAAACATCACCAAAAAGTTCCTGAGAATGCATCTGTCTAGTTTTTCTATGAAGCTATTCCCTTTACTACCATAGGCCTCAAAGCGCTCCAAATCTCCACTTGCACATTCCACAACAAGAGTGTTTCCAAACTGCTCTATCAATAGGAATGTTCAACTCTGTGAGGTGAATGCAATCATCACAAAGCAGTTTCTGAGAATGCTTCCGTTTAGTTAGGTGCAGTTATCCCGTTTCCAAGGAAATCCTCAGAGAGGTCCAAATATCCACTTGTAGATTCTACAAAAAGTGTGTCTCAAACCTGCTCCATCCAAAGGAATTTTCAGCTCTGTGAGTTAAACTCAATCATCACAAAGTATTTTCTGAGAATGCTTCTGTCTAGATTTTATGCGAAGATATACCCGTTTCGAACGAAGGCCACAGAGTGGTCCAAATATCCACTTGCAGATCCTACAAAAAGAGTGTTTCAAACCTGAACTATCAAAGGAAGGTTCAACTCTGGGATTTGAATGCAAACATCACCAAGAAGTTTCTGAGAATGCTTCTGTTTAGTTTTTATGTGAAGATATTCCCGTTTCCAAAGACATCTTCAGAGAGGTGCACATATCCACCTGCAGATTCCACAAAAAGAGAGTTTCAACACTGCTCTATCCATAGGAGGGTTCAACTCTGTGAGTTGAATGCAATCATCACAGAGAAGTTTCTGAGAAGGCTTCTCTCCAGTTTTTATGTGACCATAATTCGTTTTCCACCACAGGCCTGAAAGCGCTCCAAATGTCCACTTGCAGACACTGCGAAAAGCATGTTTCAGAACTACTCTATGAAAAGCAATATGAAACTCTGGGAGTTGAACACAAACATCACAGAGAAGTTTCTGAGAATGCTTCTGTTTAGCTTTTCTGTGAAGATTCTCCCGTTTCCAACGAAATCTTCAAAGAGGTCCAAATATCCACTTGTAGATACCACAGAAAGAGTGTTTGGAAACTGCTGTTTGAAAAGGAACCTTCAACTCTGTGAGTTGAATGCAATCATCACAAAGAAGTTTCTGACAATGCTTCTATCTAGCTTTTACGGGAAGATAATTCCTTTTCCACCACAGGCCTCAAAGCCCTCCAAATGTCCACTTGCAGATTCTGGAAAAAGAGTGTTTCAAAGCTTCTCTCTCGAAAGGAAAGTTCAACTCTGTGAGTTGAATGCAAGCATCACAAAGAAGTTTCTGAGAATGCTAATGTCTAGCTTTTATATGAAGCTATTTCCTTTACTACCATAGGCCTCAAAGCGGTCCATATCTCCACTTGCAGATTCTACACAAAGAGAGTTTCCAAACTGCTCTGTCAAAGGGAATGTTCAACTCTGTGACTTGAATGCAATCATCACAAAGTAGTTTCTGAGAATGCTTCTGTTTAGTTCTGTGCGGTTTATCCCGTTTCCAACGAAATCCTCAGAGAGGCCCAAATATCCACTTGCACATTCTACAAATAGTGTGTTTCGAAACTGCTCCATCCAAAGGAATGTTCAGCTCTGTGAGTTAAACTCAGTCGTCACCAAGAGTTTTCTGTGAATGCTTCTGTTTTAGTTCTGTGCGGTTTATCCCGTTTCCAACGAAATCCTCAGAGAGGTCCAAATATCTACTTGCAGTTTCTACAGAAAGACCGTTTCAAACCTGAACTATGAAAGAAAGGTTCAACACTGTGAGTTGAATGCAAACATCACGAAGAAGGTTCTGAGAATGCTTCTGTTTAGTTCTGTGCGGTTTATCCCGTTTCCAACGAAATCCTCAGAGAGGACCAAATATCCACTTGCAGTTTCTACAAGAAGAGTGTTTCAAAGCTGAACTATCAAAGAAAGGTTCAGCACTGTGAGTTGAATGCAAACATCACGAAGAGGGTTCTGAGAATGCTTCTGTCTTCTTTCTATAGGAAGTTATTTCCTTTACTACGGTAGGCCTCAAAGAAGTGCAATTATCCCCTTGCAGTTTCTACAAAAAGAGTGTTTCAAACCTGAACTATCAAAGAAAGGTTCCACACTGTGAGTTGAATGCAGACATCACGAAGAAGGTTCTGAGAATGCTTCTGTTTAGTCAGCTGAAATTATCCCGTTTCCAACGAATTCCTCAGAGAGGTCCAAATATGCACTTGCAGATTCTGCAGAAAGTGTGTTTCTAAACTGCTCCATCGCAAGGAATGTTCAGCTACTGTGAGTTCCACTCAATCATCCCAAAGAATTTTCTGAGAAAGCTTCTGTCTAGATGTCGTGTGAAGATATACCCGTTTCGAACGAAGGACACAGAGTGGTCCAAATATCCACTTGTAGATCCTGCAAAAAGAGTGTTTCAAACGTGAACTTTGAAAGGAAAGTTCAACTCTGGGATTTGAATGCAAACATCACAAAGAAGATTCTGAGACTGCTTCTGTATAGTTTTTATGTGAAGATGATTCCGTTTCCAACGAAATCTTCAAAGAGGTCTACATGTCCCCTTGCAGATGCCACAGAAAGAGAGTTTCAAAACTGCGCTCTCAAAAGGAGTGTTCAACTCCGTGAGTTGAATGCAGTCATCACAGAGAAGCTTCTGAGAATGCTTCTATCTAGTATTTAGGTGAAGATATTTCCTTTTCCACCACAAACCACAAAGCCCTCCAAACGTCCACTTGCAGATTCTAGAAAAAGAGTGTTTCATAGCTGCTCTTTCCAAAGGAAAGTTCAACTCTGGGAGTTGAATACAAACATCACCAAAAGGTTCCTGAGAATGCATCTGTCTAGTTTTTCTATGAAGCTATTCCCTTTACTACCACAGGCCTCAAAGCGCTCCAAATCTCCACTTGCACATTCCACAACAAGAGTGTTTCCAAACTGCTCTATCAATAGGAATGTTCAACTCTGTGAGGTGAATGCAATCATCACAAAGCAGTTTCTGAGAATGCTTCCGTTTAGTTAGGTGCAGTTATCCCGTTTCCAACGAAATCCTCAGAGAGGTCCAAATATCCACTTGTAGATTCTACAAAAAGTGTGTCTCAAACCTGCTCCATCCAAAGGAATGGTCAGCTCTGTGATTTAAACTCAATCATCACAAAGTATTTTCTGAGAATGCTTCTGTCTAGATTTTATGCGAAGATATACCCGTTTCGAACGAAGGCCACAGAGTGGTCCAAATAGCCACTTGCAGATCCTACAGAAAGAGTGTTTCAAACCTGAACTATCAAAGGAAGGTTCAACTCTGGGATTTGAATGCAAACATCACCAAGAAGTTTCTGAGAATGCTTCTGTTTAGTTTTTATGTGAAGATATTCCCGTTTCCAAAGACATCTTCGGAGAGGTCCACATATCCACTTGCAGATTCCACAAAAAGAGAGTTTCAACACTGCTCTATCCATAGGAGGGTTCAACTCTGTGAGTTGAATGCAATCATCACAGAGAAGTTTCTGAGAAGGCTTCTCTCCAGTTTTTATGTGACCATAATTCGTTTTCCACCACAGGCCTGAAAGCGCTCCAAATGTCCACTTGCAGACACTACGAAAAGCATGTTTCAGAACTACTCTATGAAAAGCAACGTGAAACTCTGGGAGTTGAACACAAACATCACAGAGAAGTTTCTGAGAATGCTTCTGTTTTAGTTCTGTGCGTTTTATCCCGTTTCCAACGAAATCCTCAGAGAGGCCCAAATATCCACTTGCAGATTCCACAGAAAGAGTGATTGGAAACTGCTGTTTGAAAAGGAACCTTCAACTCTGTGAGTTGAATGCAATCATCACAAAGAAGTTTCTGACAATGCTTCTGTTTTAGTTCTGTGCGGTTTATCCCGTTTCCAACGAAATCCTCAGAGAGGACCAAACATCCACTTGCAGTTTCTACAAAAAGAGTGTTTCAAAGCTGCACTATCAAAGAAAGGTTCAGCACTGTGAGTTGAATGCAAACATCACGAAGAGGGCTCTGAGAATTCTTCTGTTTAGTTCTGTGCGGTTTATCCCGTTTCCAACGAAATCCTCAGAGAGGACCAAATATCCACTTGCAGTTTCTACAAGAAGAGTGTTTCAAAGCTGAACTATCAAAGAAAGGTTCAGCACTGTGAGTTGAATGCAAACATCACGAAGAGGGTTCTGAGAATGCTTCTGTCTTCTTTCTATAGGAAGTTATTTCCTTTACTACGGTAGGCCTCAAAGAAGTGCAATTATCCCCTTGCAGTTTCTACAAAAAGAGTGTTTCAAACCTGAACTATCAAAGAAAGGTTCCACACTGTGAGTTGAATGCAGACATCACGAAGAAGGTTCTGAGAATGCTTCTGTTTAGTCAGCTGAAATTATCCCGTTTCCAACGAATTCCTCAGAGAGGTCCAAATATGCACTTGCAGATTCTGCAGAAAGTGTGTTTCTAAACTGCTACATCGCAAGGAATGTTCAGCTCTGTGAGTTCCACTCAATCATCCCAAAGGATTTTCTGAGAAAGCTTCTGTCTAGATGTCATGTGAAGATATACCCGTTTCGAACGAAGGACACAGAGTGGTCCAAATATCCACTTGTAGATCCTGCAAAAAGAGTGTTTCAAACGTGAACTTTGAAAGGGAAGTTCAACTCTGGGATTTGAATGCAAACATCACAAAGAAGATTCTGAGACTGCTTCTGTATAGTTTTTATGCGAAGATGATTCCGTTTCCAACGAAATCTTCAAAGAGGTCTACATGTCCCCTTGCAGATGCCACAGAAAGAGAGTTTCAAAACTGCGCTCTCAAAAGGAGTGTTCAACTCCGTGAGTTGAATGCAGTCATCACAGAGAAGCTTCTGAGAATGCTTCTATCTAGTATTTAGGTGAAGATATTTCCTTTTCCACCACAAACCACAAAGCCCTCCAAACGTCCACTTGCAGATTCTAGAAAAAGAGTGTTTCATAGCTGCTCTTTCCAAAGGAAAGTTCAACTCTGGGAGTTGAATACAAACATCACCAAAAAGTTCCTGAGAATGCATCTGTCTAGTTTTTCTATGAAGCTATTCCCTTTACTACCACAGGCCTCAAAGCGCTCCAAATCTCCACTTGCACATTCCACAACAAGAGTGTTTCCAAACTGCTCTATCAATAGGAATGTTCAACTCCTGTGAGGTGAATGCAATCATCACAAAGCAGTTTCTGAGAATGCTTTCCGTTTAGTTAGGTGCAGTTATCCCGTTTCCAACGAAATCCTCAGAGAGGTCCAAATATCCACTTGTAGATTCTACAAAAAGTGTGTCTCAAACCTGCTCCATCCAAAGGAATGGTCAGCTCTGTGATTTAAACTCAATCATCACAAAGTATTTTCTGAGAATGCTTCTGTCTAGATTTTATGCGAAGATATACCCGTTTCGAACGAAGGCCACAGAGTGGTCCAAATAGCCACTTGCAGATCCTACAGAAAGAGTGTTTCAAACCTGAACTATCAAAGGAAGGTTCAACTCTGGGATTTGAATGCAAACATCACCAAGAAGTTTCTGAGAATGCTTCTGTTTAGTTTTTATGTGAAGATATTCCCGTTTCCAAAGACATCTTCGGAGAGGTCCACATATCCACTTGCAGATTCCACAAAAAGAGAGTTTCAACACTGCTCTATCCATAGGAGGGTTCAACTCTGTGAGTTGAATGCAATCATCACAGAGAAGTTTCTGAGAAGGCTTCTCTCCAGTTTTTATGTGACCATAATTCGTTTTCCACCACAGGCCTGAAAGCGCTCCAAATGTCCACTTGCAGACACTACGAAAAGCATGTTTCAGAACTACTCTATGAAAAGCAACGTGAAACTCTGGGAGTTGAACACAAACATCACAGAGAAGTTTCTGAGAATGCTTCTGTTTTAGTTCTGTGCGTTTTATCCCGTTTCCAACGAAATCCTCAGAGAGGCCCAAATATCCACTTGCAGATTCCACAGAAAGAGTGATTGGAAACTGCTGTTTGAAAAGGAACCTTCAACTCTGTGAGTTGAATGCAATCATCACAAAGAAGTTTCTGACAATGCTTCTGTTTTAGTTCTGTGCGGTTTATCCCGTTTCCAACGAAATCCTCAGAGAGGACCAAACATCCACTTGCAGTTTCTACAAAAAGAGTGTTTCAAAGCTGCACTATCAAAGAAAGGTTCAGCACTGTGAGTTGAATGCAAACATCACGAAGAGGGCTCTGAGAATTCTTCTGTTTAGTTCTGTGCGGTTTATCCCGTTTCCAACGAAATCCTCAGAGAGGACCAAATATCCACTTGCAGTTTCTACAAGAAGAGTGTTTCAAAGCTGAACTATCAAAGAAAGGTTCAGCACTGTGAGTTGAATGCAAACATCACGAAGAGGGTTCTGAGAATGCTTCTGTCTTCTTTCTATAGGAAGTTATTTCCTTTACTACGGTAGGCCTCAAAGAAGTGCAATTATCCCCTTGCAGTTTCTACAAAAAGAGTGTTTCAAACCTGAACTATCAAAGAAAGGTTCCACACTGTGAGTTGAATGCAGACATCACGAAGAAGTTCTGAGAATGCTTCTGTTTAGTCAGCTGAAATTATCCCGTTTCCAACGAATTCCTCAGAGAGGTCCAAATATGCACTTGCAGATTCTGCAGAAAGTGTGTTTCTAAACTGCTACATCGCAAGGAATGTTCAGCTCTGTGAGTTCCACTCAATCATCCCAAAGAATTTTCTGAGAAAGCTTCTGTCTAGATGTCATGTGAAGATATACCCGTTTCGAACGAAGGACACAGAGTGGTCCAAATATCCACTTGTAGATCCTGCAAAAAGAGTGTTTCAAACGTGAACTTTGAAAGGGAAGTTCAACTCTGGGATTTGAATGCAAACATCACAAAGAAGATTCAGAGACTGCTTCTGTATAGTTTTTATGTGAAGATGATTCCGTTTCCAACGAAATCTTCAAAGAGGTCTACATGTCCCCTTGCAGATGCCACAGAAAGAGAGTTTCAAAACTGCGCTCTCAAAAGGAGTGTTCAACTCCGTGAGTTGAATGCAGTCATCACAGAGAAGCTTCTGAGAATGCTTCTATCTAGTATTTAGGTGAAGATATTTCCTTTTCCACCACAAACCACAAAGCCCTCCAAACGTCCACTTGCAGATTCTAGAAAAAGAGTGTTTCATAGCTGCTCTTTCCAAAGGAAAGTTCAACTCTGGGAGTTGAATACAAACATCACCAAAAAGTTCCTGAGAATGCATCTGTCTAGTTTTTCTATGAAGCTATTCCCTTTACTACCATAGGCCTCAAAGCGCTCCAAATCTCCACTTGCACATTCCACAACAAGAGTGTTTCCAAACTGCTCTATCAATAGGAATGTTCAACTCTGTGAGGTGAATGCAATCATCACAAAGCAGTTTCTGAGAATGCTTCCGTTTAGTTAGGTGCAGTTATCCCGTTTCCAACGAAATCCTCAGAGAGGTCCAAATATCCACTTGTAGATTCTACAAAAAGTGTGTCTCAAACCTGCTCCATCCAAAGGAATGGTCAGCTCTGTGATTTAAACTCAATCATCACAAAGTATTTTCTGAGAATGCTTCTGTCTAGATTTTATGCGAAGATATACCCGTTTCGAACGAAGGCCACAGAGTGGTCCAAATAGCCACTTGCAGATCCTACAAAAAGAGTGTTTCAAACCTGAACTATCAAAGGAAGGTTCAACTCTGGGATTTGAATGCAAACATCACCAAGAAGTTTCTGAGAATGCTTCTGTTTAGTTTTTATGTGAAGATATTCCCGTTTCCAAAGACATCTTCGGAGAGGTCCACATATCCACTTGCAGATTCCACAAAAAGAGAGTTTCAACACTGCTCTATCCATAGGAGGGTTCAACTCTGTGAGTTGAATGCAATCATCACAGAGAAGTTTCTGAGAAGGCTTCTCTCCAGTTTTTATGTGACCATAATTCGTTTTCCACCACAGGCCTGAAAGCGCTCCAAATGTCCACTTGCAGACACTACGAAAAGCATGTTTCAGAACTACTCTATGAAAAGCAACGTGAAACTCTGGGAGTTGAACACAAACATCACAGAGAAGTTTCTGAGAATGCTTCTGTTTTAGTTCTGTGCGTTTTATCCCGTTTCCAACGAAATCCTCAGAGAGGCCCAAATATCCACTTGCAGATTCCACAGAAAGAGTGATTGGAAACTGCTGTTTGAAAAGGAACCTTCAACTCTGTGAGTTGAATGCAATCATCACAAAGAAGTTTCTGACAATGCTTCTGTTTTAGTTCTGTGCGGTTTATCCCGTTTCCAACGAAATCCTCAGAGAGGACCAAACATCCACTTGCAGTTTCTACAAAAAGAGTGTTTCAAAGCTGCACTATCAAAGAAAGGTTCAGCACTGTGAGTTGAATGCAAACATCACGAAGAGGGCTCTGAGAATTCTTCTGTTTAGTTCTGTGCGGTTTATCCCGTTTCCAACGAAATCCTCAGAGAGGACCAAATATCCACTTGCAGTTTCTACAAGAAGAGTGTTTCAAAGCTGAACTATCAAAGAAAGGTTCAGCACTGTGAGTTGAATGCAAACATCACGAAGAGGGTTCTGAGAATGCTTCTGTCTTCTTTCTATAGGAAGTTATTTCCTTTACTACGGTAGGCCTCAAAGAAGTGCAATTATCCCCTTGCAGTTTCTACAAAAAGAGTGTTTCAAACCTGAACTATCAAAGAAAGGTTCCACACTGTGAGTTGAATGCAGACATCACGAAGAAGGTTCTGAGAATGCTTCTGTTTAGTCAGCTGAAATTATCCCGTTTCCAACGAATTCCTCAGAGAGGTCCAAATATGCACTTGCAGATTCTGCAGAAAGTGTGTTTCTAAACTGCTCCATCGCAAGGAATGTTCAGCTCTGTGAGTTCCACTCAATCATCCCAAAGAATTTTCTGAGAAAGCTTCTCTCTAGATGTCGTGTGAAGATATACCCGTTTCGAACGAAGGACACAGAGTGGTCCAAATATCCACTTGTAGATCCTGCAAAAAGAGTGTTTCAAACGTGAACTTTGAAAGGAAAGTTCAACTCTGGGATTTGAATGCAAACATCACAAAGAAGATTCTGAGACTGCTTCTGTATAGTTTTTATGTGAAGATGATTCCGTTTCCAACGAAATCTTCAAAGAGGTCTACATGTCCCCTTGCAGATGCCACAGAAAGAGAGTTTCAAAACTGCGCTCTCAAAAGGAGTGTTCAACTCCGTGAGTTGAATGCAGTCATCACAGAGAAGCTTCTGAGAATGCTTCTATCTAGTATTTAGGTGAAGATATTTCCTTTTCCACCACAAACCACAAAGCCCTCCAAACGTCCACTTGCAGATTCTAGAAAAAGAGTGTTTCATAGCTGCTCTTTCCAAAGGAAAGTTCAACTCTGGGAGTTGAATACAAACATCACCAAAAAGTTCCTGAGAATGCATCTGTCTAGTTTTTCTATGAAGCTATTCCCTTTACTACCATAGGCCTCAAAGCGCTCCAAATCTCCACTTGCACATTCCACAACAAGAGTGTTTCCAAACTGCTCTATCAATAGGAATGTTCAACTCTGTGAGGTGAATGCAATCATCACAAAGCAGTTTCTGAGAATGCTTCCGTTTAGTTAGGTGCAGTTATCCCGTTTCCAACGAAATCCTCAGAGAGGTCCAAATATCCACTTGTAGATTCTACAAAAAGTGTGTCTCAAACCTGCTCCATCCAAAGGAATGTTCAGCTCTGTGAGTTAAACTCAATCATCACAAAGTATTTTCTGAGAATGCTTCTGTCTAGATTTTATGCGAAGATATACCCGTTTCGAACGAAGGCCACAGAGTGGTCCAAATATCCACTTGCAGATCCTACAAAAAGAGTGTTTCAAACCTGAACTATCAAAGGAAGGTTCAACTCTGGGATTTGAATGCAAACATCACCAAGAAGTTTCTGAGAATGCTTCTGTTTAGTTTTTATGTGAAGATATTCCCGTTTCCAAAGACATCTTCGGAGAGGTCCACATATCCACTTGCAGATTCCACAAAAAGAGAGTTTCAACACTGCTCTATCCATAGGAGGGTTCAACTCTGTGAGTTGAATGCAATCATCACAGAGAAGTTTCTGAGAAGGCTTCTCTCCAGTTTTTATGTGACCATAATTCGTTTTCCACCACAGGCCTGAAAGCGCTCCAAATGTCCACTTGCAGACACTACGAAAAGCATGTTTCAGAACTACTCTATGAAAAGCAACGTGAAACTCTGGGAGTTGAACACAAACATCACAGAGAAGTTTCTGAGAATGCTTCTGTTTTAGTTCTGTGCGTTTTATCCCGTTTCCAACGAAATCCTCAGAGAGGCCCAAATATCCACTTGCAGATTCCACAGAAAGAGTGATTGGAAACTGCTGTTTGAAAAGGAACCTTCAACTCTGTGAGTTGAATGCAATCATCACAAAGAAGTTTCTGACAATGCTTCTGTTTTAGTTCTGTGCGGTTTATCCCGTTTCCAACGAAATCCTCAGAGAGGACCAAACATCCACTTGCAGTTTCTACAAAAAGAGTGTTTCAAAGCTGCACTATCAAAGAAAGGTTCAGCACTGTGAGTTGAATGCAAACATCACGAAGAGGGCTCTGAGAATTCTTCTGTTTAGTTCTGTGCGGTTTATCCCGTTTCCAACGAAATCCTCAGAGAGGACCAAATATCCACTTGCAGTTTCTACAAGAAGAGTGTTTCAAAGCTGAACTATCAAAGAAAGGTTCAGCACTGTGAGTTGAATGCAAACATCACGAAGAGGGTTCTGAGAATGCTTCTGTCTTCTTTCTATAGGAAGTTATTTCCTTTACTACGGTAGGCCTCAAAGAAGTGCAATTATCCCCTTGCAGTTTCTACAAAAAGAGTGTTTCAAACCTGAACTATCAAAGAAAGGTTCCACACTGTGAGTTGAATGCAGACATCACGAAGAAGGTTCTGAGAATGCTTCTGTTTAGTCAGCTGAAATTATCCCGTTTCCAACGAATTCCTCAGAGAGGTCCAAATATGCACTTGCAGATTCTGCAGAAAGTGTGTTTCTAAACTGCTACATCGCAAGGAATGTTCAGCTCTGTGAGTTCCACTCAATCATCCCAAAGAATTTTCTGAGAAAGCTTCTGTCTAGATGTCATGTGAAGATATACCCGTTTCGAACGAAGGACACAGAGTGGTCCAAATATCCACTTGTAGATCCTGCAAAAAGAGTGTTTCAAACGTGAACTTTGAAAGGCAAGTTCAACTCTGGGATTTGAATGCAAACATCACAAAGAAGATTCTGAGACTGCTTCTGTATAGTTTTTATGTGAAGATGATTCCGTTTCCAACGAAATCTTCAAAGAGGTCCACATGTCCCCTTGCGGATGCCACAGAAGGAGAGTTTCAAAACTGCGCTCTCAAAAGGAGTGTTCAACTCCGTGAGTTGAATGCAGTCATCACAGAGAAGCTTCTGAGAATGCTTCTATCTAGTATTTAGGTGAAGATATTTCCTTTTCCACCACAAACCACAAAGCCCTCCAAACGTCCACTTGCAGATTCTAGAAAAAGAGTGTTTCATAGCTGCTCTTTCCAAAGGAAAGTTCAACTCTGGGAGTTGAATACAAACATCACCAAAAAGTTACCTGAGAATGCATCTGTCTAGTTTTTCTATGAAGCTATTCCCTTTACTACCATAGGCCTCAAAGCGCTCCAAATCTCCACTTGCACATTCCACAACAAGAGTGTTTCCAAACTGCTCTATCAATAGGAATGTTCAACTCTGTGAGGTGAATGCAATCATCACAAAGCAGTTTCTGAGAATGCTTCCGTTTAGTTAGGTGCAGTTATCCCGTTTCCAACGAAATCCTCAGAGAGGTCCAAATATCCACTTGTAGATTCTACAAAAAGTGTGTCTCAAACCTGCTCCATCCAAAGGAATGGTCAGCTCTGTGATTTAAACTCAATCATCACAAAGTATTTTCTGAGAATGCTTCTGTCTAGATTTTATGCGAAGATATACCCGTTTCGAACGAAGGCCACAGAGTGGTCCAAATAGCCACTTGCAGATCCTACAGAAAGAGTGTTTCAAACCTGAACTATCAAAGGAAGGTTCAACTCTGGGATTTGAATGCAAACATCACCAAGAAGTTTCTGAGAATGCTTCTGTTTAGTTTTTATGTGAAGATATTCCCGTTTCCAAAGACATCTTCGGAGAGGTCCACATATCCACTTGCAGGTTCCACAAAAAGAGAGTTTCAACACTGCTCTATCCATAGGAGGGTTCAACTCTGTGAGTTGAATGCAATCATCACAGAGAAGTTTCTGAGAAGGCTTCTCTCCAGTTTTTATGTGACCATAATTCGTTTTCCACCACAGGCCTGAAAGCGCTCCAAATGTCCACTTGCAGACACTACGAAAAGCATGTTTCAGAACTACTCTATGAAAAGCAACGTGAAACTCTGGGAGTTGAACACAAACATCACAGAGAAGTTTCTGAGAATGCTTCTGTTTTAGTTCTGTGCGTTTTATCCCGTTTCCAACGAAATCCTCAGTAGAGGCCCAAATATCCACTTGCAGATTCCACAGAAAGAGTGATTGGAAACTGCTGTTTGAAAAGGAACCTTCAACTCTGTGAGTTGAATGCAATCATCACAAAGAAGTTTCTGACAATGCTTCTGTTTTAGTTCTGTGCGGTTTATCCCGTTTCCAACGAAATCCTCAGAGAGGACCAAACATCCACTTGCACTTTCTACAAAAAGAGTGTTTCAAAGCTGCACTATCAAAGAAAGGTTCAGCACTGTGAGTTGAATGCAAACATCACGAAGAGGGCTCTGAGAATGCTTCTGTTTAGTTCTGTGCGGTTTATCCCGTTTCCAACGAAATCCTCAGAGAGGACCAAATATCCACTTGCAGTTTCTACAAGAAGAGTGTTTCAAAGCTGAACTATCAAAGAAAGGTTCAGCACTGTGAGTTGAATGCAAACATCACGAAGAGGGTTCTGAGAATGCTTCTGTCTTCTTTCTATAGGAAGTTATTTCCTTTACTACGGTAGGCCTCAAAGAAGTGCAATTATCCCCTTGCAGTTTCTACAAAAAGAGTGTTTCAAACCTGAACTATCAAAGAAAGGTTCCACACTGTGAGTTGAATGCAGACATCACGAAGAAGGTTCTGAGAATGCTTCTGTTTAGTCAGCTGAAATTATCCCGTTTCCAACGAATTCCTCAGAGAGGTCCAAATATGCACTTGCAGATTCTGCAGAAAGTGTGTTTCTAAACTGCTACATCGCAAGGAATGTTCAGCTCTGTGAGTTCCACTCAATCATCCCAAAGAATTTTCTGAGAAAGCTTCTGTCTAGATGTCATGTGAAGATATACCCGTTTCAAACGAAGGACACAGAATGGTCCAAATATCCACTTGTAGATCCTGCAAAAAGAGTGTTTCAAACGTGAACTTTGAAAGGAAAGTTCAACTCTGGGATTTGAATGCAAACATCACAAAGAAGATTCTGAGACTGCTTCTGTATAGTTTTTATGTGAAGATGATTCCGTTTCCAACGAAATCTTCAAAGAGGTCTACATGTCCCCTTGCAGATGCCACAGAAAGAGAGTTTCAAAACTGCGCTCTCAAAAGGAGTGTTCAACTCCGTGAGTTGAATGCAGTCATCACAGAGAAGCTTCTGAGAATGCTTCTATCTAGTATTTAGGTGAAGATATTTCCTTTTCCACCACAAACCACAAAGCCCTCCAAACGTCCACTTGCAGATTCTAGAAAAAGAGTGTTTCATAGCTGCTCTTTCCAAAGGAAAGTTCAACTCTGGGAGTTGAATACAAACATCACCAAAAAGTTCCTGAGAATGCATCTGTCTAGTTTTTCTATGAAGCTATTCCCTTTACTACCATAGGCCTCAAAGCGCTCCAAATCTCCACTTGCACATTCCACAACAAGAGTGTTTCCAAACTGCTCTATCAATAGGAATGTTCAACTCTGTGAGGTGAATGCAATCATCACAAAGCAGTTTCTGAGAATGCTTCCGTTTAGTTAGGTGCAGTTATCCCGTTTCCAACGAAATCCTCAGAGAGGTCCAAATATCCACTTGTAGATTCTACAAAAAGTGTGTCTCAAACCTGCTCCATCCAAAGGAATGGTCAGCTCTGTGATTTAAACTCAATCATCACAAAGTATTTTCTGAGAATGCTTCTGTCTAGATTTTATGCGAAGATATACCCGTTTCGAACGAAGGCCACAGAGTGGTCCAAATAGCCACTTGCAGATCCTACAGAAAGAGTGTTTCAAACCTGAACTATCAAAGGAAGGTTCAACTCTGGGATTTGAATGCAAACATCACCAAGAAGTTTCTGAGAATGCTTCTGTTTAGTTTTTATGTGAAGATATTCCCGTTTCCAAAGACATCTTCGGAGAGGTCCACATATCCACTTGCAGATTCCACAAAAAGAGAGTTTCAACACTGCTCTATCCATAGGAGGGTTCAACTCTGTGAGTTGAATGCAATCATCACAGAGAAGTTTCTGAGAAGGCTTCTCTCCAGTTTTTATGTGACCATAATTCGTTTTCCACCACAGGCCTGAAAGCGCTCCAAATGTCCACTTGCAGACACTACGAAAAGCATGTTTCAGAACTACTCTATGAAAAGCAACGTGAAACTCTGGGAGTTGAACACAAACATCACAGAGAAGTTTCTGAGAATGCTTCTGTTTAGCTTTTCTGTGAAGATTCTCCCGTTTCCAACGAAATCTTCAAAGAGGTCGAAATATCCACTTGCAGATTCCACAGAAAGAGTGATTGGAAACTGCTGTTTGAAAAGGAACCTTCAACTCTGTGAGTTGAATGCAATCATCACAAAGAAGTTTCTGACAATGCTTCTATCTAGCTTTTACGGGAAGATAATTCCTTTTCCACCACAGGCCTCAAAGCTCCCCAAATGTCCACTTGCACATTCTGGAAAAAGAGTGTTTCAAAGCTTCTCTCTCGAAAGGAAAGTTCAACTCTGTGAGTTGAATGCAAGCATCACAAAGAAGTTTCTGAGAATGCTACTGTCTAGCTTTTATATGAAGCTATTTCCTTTACTACCATAGGCCTCAAAGCGTTCCATATCTCCACTTGCAGATTCTACACAAAGAGAGTTTCCAAACTGCTCTGTCAAAGGGAATGTTCAACTCTGTGACTTGAATGCAATCATCACAAAGTAGTTTCTGAGAATGCTTCTGTTTTAGTTCTGTGCGTTTTATCCCGTTTCCAACGAAATCCTCAGAGAGGCCCAAATATCCACTTGCAGATTCTACAAATAGTGTGTTTCGAAACTGCTCCATCCAAAGGAATGTTCAGCTCTGTGAGTTAAACTCAGTCGTCACCAAGAGTTTTCTGTGAATGCTTCTCTTTAGTTCTGTGCGGTTTATCCCGTTTCCAACGAAATCCTCAGAGAGGACCAAATATCCACTTGCAGTTTCTACAAAAAGAGTGTTTCAAAGCTGCACTATCAAAGAAAGGTTCAGCACTGTGAGTTGAATGCAAACACCACGAAGAGGGCTCTGAGAATTCTTCTGTCTTCTTTTTATAGGAAGTTATTTCCTTTACTACGGTAGGCCTCAAAGAAGTGCAATTATCCCCTTGCAGTTTCTACAAAAAGAGTGTTTCAAACCTGAACTATCAAAGAAAGGTTCCACACTGTGAGTTGAATGCAGACATCACGAAGAAGGTTCTGAGAATGCTTCTGTTTAGTCAGCTGAAATTATCCCGTTTCCAACGAATTCCTCACAGAGGTCCCAAATATGCACTTGCAGATTCTGCAGAAAGTGTGTTTCTAAACTGCTACATCGCAAGGAATGCTCAGCTCTGTGAGTTCAACTCAATCATCCCAAAGAATTTTCTGAGAAAGCTTCTGTCTAGATGTCATGTGAAGATATACCCGTTTCGAACGAAGGACACAGAGTGGTCCAAATATCCACTTGTAGATCCTGCAAAAAGAGTGTTTCAAACGTGAACTTTGAAAGGAAAGTTCAACTCGGGGATTTGAATGCAAACATCACAAAGAAGATTGCTGAGACTGCTTCTGTATAGTTTTTATGTGAAGATGATTCCGTTTCCAACGAAATCTTCAAAGAGGTCTACATGTCCCCTTGCAGATGCCACAGAAAGAGAGTTTCAAAACTGCGCTCTCAAAAGGAGTGTTCAACTCCGTGAGTTGAATGCAGTCATCACAGAGAAGCTTCTGAGGATGCTTCTATCTAGTATTTAGGTGAAGATATTTCCTTTTCCACCACAAACCACAAAGCCCTCCAAACGTCCACTTGCAGATTCTAGAAAAAGAGTGTTTCATAGCTGCTCTTTCCAAAGGAAAGTTCAACTCTGGGAGTTGAATACAAACATCACCAAAAAGTTCCTGAGAATGCATCTGTCTAGTTTTTCTATGAAGCTATTCCCTTTACTACCATAGGCCTCAAAGCGCTCCAAATCTCCACTTGCACATTCCACAACAAGAGTGTTTCCAAACTGCTCTATCAATAGGAATGTTCAACTCTGTGAGGTGAATGCAATCATCACAAAGCAGTTTCTGAGAATGCTTCCGTTTAGTTAGGTGCAGTTATCCCGTTTCCAACGAAATCCTCAGAGAGGTCCAAATATCCACTTGTAGATTCTACAAAAAGTGTGTCTCAAACCTGCTCCATCCAAAGGAATGGTCAGCTCTGTGATTTAAACTCAATCATCACAAAGTATTTTCTGAGAATGCTTCTGTCTAGATTTTATGCGAAGATATACCCGTTTCGAACGAAGGCCACAGAGTGGTCCAAATAGCCACTTGCAGATCCTACAGAAAGAGTGTTTCAAACCTGAACTATCAAAGGAAGGTTCAACTCTGGGATTTGAATGCAAACATCACCAAGAAGTTTCTGAGAATGCTTCTGTTTAGTTTTTATGTGAAGATATTCCCGTTTCCAAAGACATCTTCGGAGAGGTCCACATATCCACTTGCAGATTCCACAAAAAGAGAGTTTCAACACTGCTCTATCCATAGGAGGGTTCAACTCTGTGAGTTGAATGCAATCATCACAGAGAAGTTTCTGAGAAGGCTCTCTCCAGTTTTTATGTGACCATAATTCGTTTTCCACCACAGGCCTGAAAGCGCTCCAAATGTCCACTTGCAGACACTACGAAAAGCATGTTTCAGAACTACTCTATGAAAAGCAACGTGAAACTCTGGGAGTTGAACACAAACATCACAGAGAAGTTTCTGAGAATGCTTCTGTTTTAGTTCTGTGCGTTTTATCCCGTTTCCAACGAAATCCTCAGAGAGGCCCAAATATCCACTTGCAGATTCCACAGAAAGAGTGATTGGAAACTGCTGTTTGAAAAGGAACCTTCAACTCTGTGAGTTGAATGCAATCATCACAAAGAAGTTTCTGACAATGCTTCTGTTTTAGTTCTGTGCGGTTTATCCCGTTTCCAACGAAATCCTCAGGGAGGACCAAACATCCACTTGCAGTTTCTACAAAAAGAGTGTTTCAAAGCTGCACTATCAAAGAAAGGTTCAGCACTGTGAGTTGAATGCAAACATCACGAAGAGGGCTCTGAGAATTCTTCTGTTTAGTTCTGTGCGGTTTATCCCGTTTCCAACGAAATCCTCAGAGAGGACCAAATATCCACTTGCAGTTTCTACAAGAAGAGTGTTTCAAAGCTGAACTATCAAAGAAAGGTTCAGCACTGTGAGTTGAATGCAAACATCACGAAGAGGGTTCTGAGAATGCTTCTGTCTTCTTTCTATAGGAAGTTATTTCCTTTACTACGGTAGGCCTCAAAGAAGTGCAATTATCCCCTTGCAGTTTCTACAAAAAGAGTGTTTCAAACCTGAACTATCAAAGAAAGGTTCCACACTGTGAGTTGAATGCAGACATCACGAAGAAGGTTCTGAGAATGCTTCTGTTTAGTCAGCTGAAATTATCCCGTTTCCAACGAATTCCTCAGAGAGGTCCAAATATGCACTTGCAGATTCTGCAGAAAGTGTGTTTCTAAACTGCTCCATCGCAAGGAATGTTCAGCTCTGTGAGTTCCACTCAATCATCCCAAAGAATTTTCTGAGAAAGCTTCTGTCTAGATGTCCTGTGAAGATATACCCGTTTCGAACGAAGGACACAGAGTGGTCCAAATATCCACTTGTAGATCCTGCAAAAAGAGTGTTTCAAACGTGAACTTTGAAAGGAAAGTTCAACTCTGGGATTTGAATGCAAACATCACAAAGAAGATTCTGAGACTGCTTCTGTATAGTTTTTATGTGAAGATGATTCCGTTTCCAACGAAATCTTCAAAGAGGTCTACATGTCCCCTTGCAGATGCCACAGAAAGAGAGTTTCAAAACTACGCTCTCAAAAGGAGTGTTCAACTCCGTGAGTTGAATGCAGTCATCACAGAGAAGCTTCTGAGAATGCTTCTATCTAGTATTTAGGTGAAGATATTTCCTTTTCCACCACAAACCACAAAGCCCTCCAAACGTCCACTTGCAGATTCTAGAAAAAGAGTGTTTCATAGCTGCTCTTTCCAAAGGAAAGTTCAACTCTGGGAGTTGAATACAAACATCACCAAAAAGTTCCTGAGAATGCATCTGTCTAGTTTTTCTATGAAGCTATTCCCTTTGCTACCACAGGCCTCAAAGCGCTCCAAATCTCCACTTGCACATTCCACAACAAGAGTGTTTCCAAACTGCTCTATCAATAGGAATGTTCAACTCTGTGAGGTGAATGCAATCATCACAAAGCAGTTTCTGAGAATGCTTCCGTTTAGTTAGGTGCAGTTATCCCGTTTCCAACGAAATCCTCAGAGAGGTCCAAATATCCACTTGTAGATTCTACAAAAAGTGTGTCTCAAACCTGCTCCATCCAAAGGAATGGTCAGCTCTGTGATTTAAACTCAATCATCACAAAGTATTTTCTGAGAATGCTTCTGTCTAGATTTTATGCGAAGATATACCCGTTTCGAACGAAGGCCACAGAGTGGTCCAAATAGCCACTTGCAGATCCTACAGAAAGAGTGTTTCAAACCTGAACTATCAAAGGAAGGTTCAACTCTGGGATTTGAATGCAAACATCACCAAGAAGTTTCTGAGAATGCTTCTGTTTAGTTTTTATGTGAAGATATTCCCGTTTCCAAAGACATCTTCGGAGAGGTCCACATATCCACTTGCAGATTCCACAAAAAGAGAGTTTCAACACTGCTCTATCCATAGGAGGGTTCAACTCTGTGAGTTGAATGCAATCATCACAGAGAAGTTTCTGAGAAGGCTTCTCTCCAGTTTTTATGTGACCATAATTCGTTTTCCACCACAGGCCTGAAAGCGCTCCAAATGTCCACTTGCAGACACTACGAAAAGCATGTTTCAGAACTACTCTATGAAAAGCAACGTGAAACTCTGGGAGTTGAACACAAACATCACAGAGAAGTTTCTGAGAATGCTTCTGTTTTAGTTCTGTGCGTTTTATCCCGTTTCCAACGAAATCCTCAGAGAGGCCCAAATATCCACTTGCAGATTCCACAGAAAGAGTGATTGGAAACTGCTGTTTGAAAAGGAACCTTCAACTCTGTGAGTTGAATGCAATCATCACAAAGAAGTTTCTGACAATGCTTCTGTTTTAGTTCTGTGCGGTTTATCCCGTTTCCAACGAAATCCTCAGAGAGGACCAAACATCCACTTGCAGTTTCTACAAAAAGAGTGTTTCAAAGCTGCACTATCAAAGAAAGGTTCAGCACTGTGAGTTGAATGCAAACATCACGAAGAGGGCTCTGAGAATTCTTCTGTTTAGTTCTGTGCGGTTTATCCCGTTTCCAACGAAATCCTCAGAGAGGACCAAATATCCACTTGCAGTTTCTACAAGAAGAGTGTTTCAAAGCTGAACTATCAAAGAAAGGTTCAGCACTGTGAGTTGAATGCAAACATCACGAAGAGGGTTCTGAGAATGCTTCTGTCTTCTTTCTATAGGAAGTTATTTCCTTTACTACGGTAGGCCTCAAAGAAGTGCAATTATCCCCTTGCAGTTTCTACAAAAAGAGTGTTTCAAACCTGAACTATCAAAGAAAGGTTCCACACTGTGAGTTGAATGCAGACATCACGAAGAAGGTTCTGAGAATGCTTCTGTTTAGTCAGCTGAAATTATCCCGTTTCCAACGAATTCCTCAGAGAGGTCCAAATATGCACTTGCAGATTCTGCAGAAAGTGTGTTTCTAAACTGCTACATCGCAAGGAATGTTCAGCTCTGTGAGTTCCACTCAATCATCCCAAAGAATTTTCTGAGAAAGCTTCTGTCTAGATGTCGTGTGAAGATATACCCGTTTCGAACGAAGGACACAGAGTGGTCCAAATATCCACTTGTAGATCCTGCAAAAAGAGTGTTTCAAACGTGAACTTTGAAAGGAAAGTTCAACTCTGGGATTTGAATGCAAACATCACAAAGAAGATTCTGAGACTGCTTCTGTATAGTTTTTATGTGAAGATGATTCCGTTTCCAACGAAATCTTCAAAGAGGTCTACATGTCCCCTTGCAGATGCCACAGAAAGAGAGTTTCAAAACTGCGCTCTCAAAAGGAGTGTTCAACTCCGTGAGTTGAATGCAGTCATCACAGAGAAGCTTCTGAGAATGCTTCTATCTAGTATTTAGGTGAAGATATTTCCTTTTCCACCACAAACCACAAAGCCCTCCAAACGTCCACTTGCAGATTCTAGAAAAAGAGTGTTTCATAGCTGCTCTTTCCAAAGGAAAGTTCAACTCTGGGAGTTGAATACAAACATCACCAAAAAGTTCCTGAGAATGCATCTGTCTAGTTTTTCTATGAAGCTATTCCCTTTACTACCATAGGCCTCAAAGCGCTCCAAATCTCCACTTGCACATTCCACAACAAGAGTGTTTCCAAACTGCTCTCTAAATAGGAATGTTCAACTCTGTGAGGTGAATGCAATCATCACAAAGCAGTTTCTGAGAATGCTTCCGTTTAGTTAGGTGCAGTTATCCCGTTTCCAACGAAATCCTCAGAGAGGTCCAAATATCCACTTGTAGATTCTACAAAAAGTGTGTCTCAAACCTGCTCCATCCAAAGGAATGTTCAGCTCTGTGAGTTCAACTCAATCATCACAAAGTATTTTCTGAGAATGCTTCTGTCTAGGATTTTATGCGAAGATATACCCGTTTCGAACGAAGGCCACAGAGTGGTCTAAATAGCCAATTGCAGATCCTACAAAAAGAGTGTTTCAAACCTGAACTATCAAAGGAAGGTTCAACTCTGGGATTTGAATGCAAACATCACCAAGAAGTTTCTGAGAATGCTTCTGTTTAGTTTTTATGTGAAGATAGTCCCGTTTCCAAAGACATCTTCGGAGAGGTCCACATATCCACTTGCAGATTCCACAAAAAGAGAGTTTCAACACTGCTCTATCCATAGGACGGTTCAACTCTGTGAGTTGAATGCAATCATCACAGAGAAGTTTCTGAGAAGGCTTCTCTCCAGTTTTTATGTGACCATAATTCGTTTTCCACCACAGGCCTGAAAGCGCTCCAAATGTCCACTTGCAGACACTACGAAAAGCATGTTTCAGAACTACTCTATGAAAAGCAACGTGAAACTCTGGGAGTTGAACACAAACATCACAGAGAAGTTTCTGAGAATGCTTCTGTTTTAGTTCTGTGCGTTTTATCCCGTTTCCAACGAAATCCTCAGAGAGGCCCAAATATCCACTTGCAGATTCCACAGAAAGAGTGATTGGAAACTGCTGTTTGAAAAGGAACCTTCAACTCTGTGAGTTGAATGCAATCATCACAAAGAAGTTTCTGACAATGCTTCTGTTTTAGTTCTGTGCGGTTTATCCCGTTTCCAACGAAATCCTCAGAGAGGACCAAACATCCACTTGCAGTTTCTACAAAAAGAGTGTTTCAAAGCTGCACTATCAAAGAAAGGTTCAGCACTGTGAGTTGAATGCAAACATCACGAAGAGGGCTCTGAGAATTCTTCTGTTTAGTTCTGTGCGGTTTATCCCGTTTCCAACGAAATCCTCAGAGAGGACCAAATATCCACTTGCAGTTTCTACAAGAAGAGTGTTTCAAAGCTGAACTATCAAAGAAAGGTTCAGCACTGTGAGTTGAATGCAAACATCACGAAGAGGGTTCTGAGAATGCTTCTGTCTTCTTTCTATAGGAAGTTATTTCCTTTACTACGGTAGGCCTCAAAGAAGTGCAATTATCCCCTTGCAGTTTCTACAAAAAGAGTGTTTCAAACCTGAACTATCAAAGAAAGGTTCCACACTGTGAGTTGAATGCAGACATCACGAAGAAGGTTCTGAGAATGCTTCTGTTTAGTCAGCTGAAATTATCCCGTTTCCAACGAATTCCTCAGAGAGGTCCAAATATGCACTTGCAGATTCTGCAGAAAGTGTGTTTCTAAACTGCTACATCGCAAGGAATGTTCAGCTCTGTGAGTTCCACTCAATCATCCCAAAGAATTTTCTGAGAAAGCTTCTGTCTAGATGTCGTGTGAAGATATACCCGTTTCGAACGAAGGACACAGAGTGGTCCAAATATCCACTTGTAGATCCTGCAAAAAGAGTGTTTCAAACGTGAACTTTGAAAGGAAAGTTCAACTCTGGGATTTGAATGCAAACATCACAAAGAAGATTCTGAGACTGCTTCTGTATAGTTTTTATGTGAAGATGATTCCGTTTCCAACGAAATCTTCAAAGAGGTCTACATGTCCCCTTGCAGATGCCACAGAAAGAGAGTTTCAAAACTGCGCTCTCAAAAGGAGTGTTCAACTCCGTGAGTTGAATGCAGTCATCACAGAGAAGCTTCTGAGAATGCTTCTATCTAGTATTTAGGTGAAGATATTTCCTTTTCCACCACAAACCACAAAGCCCTCCAAACGTCCACTTGCAGATTCTAGAAAAAGGGTGTTTCATAGCTGCTCTTTCCAAAGGAAAGTTCAACTCTGGGAGTTGAATACAAACATCACCAAAAGGTTCCTGAGAATGCATCTGTCTAGTTTTTCTATGAAGCTATTCCCTTTACTACCACAGGCCTCAAAGCGCTCCAAATCTCCACTTGCACATTCCACAACAAGAGTGTTTCCAAACTGCTCTATCA
Source organism: Homo sapiens (assembly GCF_000001405.40). Lineage (NCBI taxonomy): Eukaryota > Metazoa > Chordata > Mammalia > Primates > Hominidae > Homo > Homo sapiens. The sequence continues at coordinate 24,895,112 of NC_000017.11, read as the reverse complement.
ATAGGAATGTTCAACGCTGTGAGGTGAATGCAATCATCACAAAGCAGTTTGCTGAGAATGCTTCCGTTTAGTTAGGTGCAGTTATCCCGTTTCCAACGAAATCCTCAAAGAGGTCCAAATATCCACTTGTAGATTCTACAAAAAGTGTGTCTCAAACCTGCTCCATCCAAAGGAATGTTCAGCTCTGTGAGTTCAACTCAATCATCACAAAGTATTTTCTGAGAATGCTTCTGTCTAGATTTTATGCGAAGATGTACCCGTTTCGAACGAAGGCCACAGAGTGGTCCAAATATCCACTTGCAGGTCCTACAAAAAGAGTGTTTCAAACCTGAACTATCAAAGGAAGGTTCAACTCTGGGATTTGAATGCAAACATCACCAAGAAGTTTCTGAGAATGCTTCTGTTTAGTTTTTATGTGAAGATATTCCCGTTTCCAAAGACATCTTCGGAGAGGTCCACATATCCACTTGCAGATTCCACAAAAAGAGAGTTTCAACACTGCTCTATCCATAGGAGGGTTCAACTCCGTGAGTTGAATGCAATCATCACAGAGAAGTTTCTGAGAAGGCTTCTCTCCAGTTTTTATGTGACCATAATTCGTTTTCCACCACAGGCCTGAAAGCGCTCCAAATGTCCACTTGCAGACACTACGAAAAGCATGTTTCAGAACTACTCTATGAAAAGCAATGTGAAACTCTGGGAGTTGAACACAAACATCACAGAGAAGTTTCTGAGAATGCTTCTGTTTAGCTTTTCTGTGAAGATACTCCCGTTTCCAACGAAATCTTCAAAGAGGTCCAAATATCCACTTGCAGATTCCACAGAAAGAGTGATTGGAAACTGCTGTTTGAAAAGGAACCTTCAACTCTGTGAGTTGAATGCAATCATCACAAAGAAGTTTCTGACAATGCTTCTATCTAGCTTTTACGGGAAGATAATTCCTTTTCCACCACAGGCCTCAAAGCCCTCCAAATGTCCACTTGCAGATTCTGGAAAAAGAGTGTTTCAAAGCTTCTCTCTCGAAAGGAAAGTTCAACTCTGTGAGTTGAATGCAAGCATCACAAAGAAGTTTCTGAGAATGCTACTGTCTAGCTTTTATATGAAGCTATTTCCTTTACTACCATAGGCCTCAAAGCGGTCCATATCTCCACTTGCAGATTCTACACAAAGAGAGTTTCCAAACTGTTCTGTCAAAGGGAATGTTCAACTCTGTGACTTGAATGCAATCATCACAAAGTAGTTTCTGAGAATGCTTCTGTTTTAGTTCTGTGCGTTTTATCCCGTTTCCAACGAAATCCTCAGAGAGGCCCAAATATCCACTTGCAGATTCTACAAATAGTGTGTTTCGAAACTGCTCCATCCAAAGGAATGTTCAGCTCTGTGAGTTAAACTCAGTCGTCACCAAGAGTTTTCTGTGAATGCTTCTGTTTTAGTTCTGTGCGGTTTATCCCGTTTCCAACGAAATCCTCAGAGAGGACCAAATATCCACTTGCAGTTTCTACAAAAAGAGTGTTTCAAAGCTGCACTATCAAAGAAAGGTTCAGCACTGTGAGTTGAATGCAAACATCACGAAGAGGGCTCTGAGAATTCTTCTGTTTAGTTCTGTGCGGTTTATCCCGTTTCCAACGAAATCCTCAGAGAGGACCAAATATCCACTTGCAGTTTCTACAAGAAGAGTGTTTCAAAGCTGAACTATCAAAGAAAGGTTCAGCACTGTGAGTTGAATGCAAGCATCACGAAGAGGGTTCTGAGAATGCTTCTGTCTTCTTTCTATAGGAAGTTATTTCCTTTACTACGGTAGGCCTCAAAGAAGTGCAATTATCCCCTTGCAGTTTCTACAAAAAGAGTGTTTCAAACCTGAACTATCAAAGAAAGGTTCCACACTGTGAGTTGAATGCAGACATCACGAAGAAGGTTCTGAGAATGCTTCTGTTTAGTCAGCTGAAATTATCCCGTTTCCAACGAATTCCTCAGAGAGGTCCAAATATGCACTTGCAGATTCTGCAGAAAGTGTGTTTCTAAACTGCTACATCGCAAGGAATGTTCAGCTCTGTGAGTTCCACTCAATCATCCCAAAGAATTTTGCTGAGAAAGCTTCTGTCTAGATGTCGTGTGAAGATATACCCGTTTCGAACGAAGGACACAGAGTGGTCCAAATATCCACTTGTAGATCCTGCAAAAAGAGTGTTTCAAACGTGAACTTTGAAAGGAAAGTTCAACTCTGGGATTTGAATGCAAACATCACAAAGAAGATTCTGAGACTGCTTCTGTATAGTTTTTATGTGAAGATGATTCCGTTTCCAACGAAATCTTCAAAGAGGTCTACATGTCCCCTTGCAGATGTCACAGAAAGAGAGTTTCAAAACTGCGCTCTCAAAAGGAGTGTTCAACTCCGTGAGTTGAATGCAGTCATCACAGAGAAGCTTCTGAGAATGCTTCTATCTAGTATTTAGGTGAAGATATTTCCTTTTCCACCACAAACCACAAAGCCCTCCAAACGTCCACTTGCAGATTCTAGAAAAAGAGTGTTTCATAGCTGCTCTTTCCAAAGGAAAGTTCAACTCTGGGAGTTGAATACAAACATCACCAAAAAGTTCCTGAGAATGCATCTGTCTAGTTTTTCTATGAAGCTATTCCCTTTACTACCATAGGCCTCAAAGCGCTCCAAATCTCCACTTGCACATTCCACAACAAGAGTGTTTCCAAACTGTTCTATCAATAGGAATGTTCAACTCTGTGAGGTGAATGCAATCATCACAAAGTAGTTTCTGTGAATGCTTCCGTTTAATTAGGTGCAGTTATCGCGTTTCCAACGAAATCCTCAGAGAGGTCCAAATATCCACTTGTAGATTCTACAAAAAGTGTGTCTCAAACCTGCTCCATCCAAAGGAATGTTCAGCTCTGTGAGTTAAACTCAATCATCACAAAGTATTTTCTGAGAATGCTTCTGTCTAGATTTTATGTGAAGATGTACCCGTTTCGAACGAAGGCCACAGAGTGGTCCAAATATCCACTTGCAGATCCTACAAAAAGAGTGTTTCAAACCTGAACTATCACAGGAAGGTTCAACTACTGGGATTTGAATGCAAACATCACCAAGAAGTTTCTGAGAATGCTTCTGTTTAGTTTTTATGTGAAGATATTCCCGTTTCCAAAGACATCTTCGGAGAGGTCCACATATCCACTTGCAGATTCCACAAAAAGAGAGTTTCAACAATGCTCTATCCATAGGAGGGTTCAAATCTGTGAGTTGAATGCAATCATCACAGAGAAGTTTCTGAGAAGGCTTCTCTCCAGTTTTTATGGGACCATAATTCGTTTTCCACCACAGGCTTGAAAGCGCTCCAAATGTCCACTTGCAGACACTACGAAAAGCATGTTTCAGAACTACTCTATGAAAAGCAATGTGAAATTCTGGGAGTTGAACACAAACATCACAGAGAAGTTTCTGAGAATGCTTCTGTTTAGATTTTCTGTGAAGATTCTCCCGTTTCCAACGAAATCTTCAAAGAGGTCCAAATATCCACTTGCAGATTCCACAGAAAGAGTGTTTGGAAACTGCTGTTTGTAAAGGAACCTTCATCTCTGTGAGTTGAATGCAATCATCACAAAGAAGTTTCTGACAATGCTTCTATCTAGCTTTTATGGGAAGTTAATTCCTTTTCCACCACAGGCCTCAAAGCCCTCCAAATGTCCACTTGCAGATTCTGGAAAAAGAGTGTTTCAAAGCTTCTCTCTCGAAAGGAAAGTTCAACTCTGTGAGTTGAATGCAAGCATCACAAAGAAGTTTCTGAGAATGCTACTGTCTAGCTTTTATATGAAGCTATTTCCTTTACTACCATAGGCCTCAAAGCGGTCCATATCTCCACTTGCAGATTCTACACAAAGAGAGTTTCCAAACTGCTCTGTCAAAGGGAATGTTCAACTCTGTGACTTGAATGCAATCATCACAAAGTAGTTTCTGAGAATGCTTCTGTTTAGTTCTGTGCGGTTTATCCCGTTTCCAACGAAATCCTCAGAGAGGCCCAAATATCCACTTGCACATTCTACAAATAGTGTGTTTCGAAACTGCTCCATCCAAAGGAATGTTCAGCTCTGTGAGTTAAACTCAGTCGTCACCAAGAGTTTTCTGTGAATGCTTCTGTTTTAGCTCTGTGCGGTTTATCCCGTTTCCAACGAAATCCTCAGAGAGGTCCAAATATCTACTTGCAGTTTCTACAGAAAGACCGTTTCAAACCTGAACTATCAAAGAAAGGTTCAACACTGTGAGTTGAATGCAAACATCACGAAGAAGGTTCTGAGAATGCTTCTGTTTAGTTCTGTGCGTTTTATCCCGTTTCCAACGAAATCCTCAGAGAGGACCAAATATTCACTTGCAGTTTCTACAAAAAGAGTGTTTCAAAGCTGAACTATCAAAGAAAGGTTCAGCACTGTGAGTTGAATGCAAACATCACGAAGAGGGTTCTGAGAATGCTTCTGTCTTCTTTTTATAGGAAGTTATTTCCTTTACTACGGTACTCCTCAAAGAGTGCAATTATCCCCTTGCAGTTTCTACAAAAAGAGTTTTTAAAACCTGAACTATCAAAGAAAAGTTCCACACTTTGTGTTGAATGCAGACATCACGAAGAAGGTTCTGAGAATGCTTCTGTTTAGTCAGCTGAAATTATCCCGTTTCCAACGAATTCCTCACAGAGGTCCAAATATGCACTTGCAGATTCTGCAGAAAGTGTGTTTCTAAACTGCTACATCGCAAGGAATGCTCAGCTCTGTGAGTTCAACTCAATCATCCCAAAGAATTTTCTGAGAAAGCTTCTGTCTAGATGTCGTGTGAAGATATACCCGTTTCGAACGAAGGACACAGAGTGGTCCAAATATCCACTTGTAGATCCTGCAAAAAGAGTGTTTCAAACGTGAACTTTGAAAGGAAAGTTCAACTCTGGGATTTGAATGCAAACATCACAAAGAAGATTCTGAGACTGCTTCTGTATAGTTTTTATGTGAAGATGATTCCGTTTCCAACGAAATCTTCAAAGAGGTCTACATGTCCCCTTGCAGATGCCACAGAAAGAGAGTTTCAAAACTGCGCTCTCAAAAGGAGTGTTCAACTCCGTGAGTTGAATGCAGTCATCACAGAGAAGCTTCTGAGAATGCTTCTATCTAGTATTTAGGTGAAGATATTTCCTTTTCCACCACAAACCACAAAGCCCTCCAAACGTCCACTTGCAGATTCTAGAAAAAGAGTGTTTCATAGCTGCTCTTTCCAAAGGAAAGTTCAACTCTGGGAGTTGAATACAAACATCACCAAAAAGTTCCTGAGAATGCATCTGTCTAGTTTTTCTATGAAGCTATTCCCTTTACTACCATAGGCCTCAAAGCGCTCCAAATCTCCACTTGCACATTCCACAACAAGAGTGTTTCCAAACTGCTCTATCAATAGGAATGTTCAACTCTGTGAGGTGAATGCAATCATCACAAAGCAGTTTCTGAGAATGCTTCCGTTTAGTTAGGTGCAGTTATCCCGTTTCCAACGAAATCCTCAGAGAGGTCCAAATATCCACTTGTAGATTCTACAAAAGGTGTGTCTCAAACCTGCTCCATCCAAAGGAATGTTCAGCTCTGTGAGTTAAACTCAATCATCACAAAGTATTTTCTGAGAATGCTTCTGTCTAGATTTTATGCGAAGATGTACCCGTTTCGAACGAAGGCCACAGAGTGGTCCAAATATCCACTTGCAGATCCTACAAAAAGAGTGTTTCAAACCTGAACTATCAAAGGAAGGTTCAACTCTGGGATTTGAATGCAAACATCACCAAGAAGTTTCTGAGAATGCTTCTGTTAAGTTTTTATGTGAAGATATTCCCGTTTCCAAAGACATCTTCGGAGAGGTCCACATATCCACTTGCAGATTCCACAAAAAGAGAGTTTCAACACTGCTCTATCCATAGGAGGGTTCAACTCTGTGAGTTGAATGCAATCATCACAGAGAAGTTTCTGAGAAGGCTTCTCTCCAGTTTTTATGTGACCATAATTCGTTTTCCACCACAGGCCTGAAAGCGCTCCAAATGTCCACTTGTAGACACTACGAAAAGCATGTTTCAGAACTACTCTATGAAAAGCAATGTGAAACTCTGGGAGTTGAACACAAACATCACAGAGAAGTTTCTGAGAATGCTTCTGTTTAGCTTTCCTGTGAAGATTCTCCCGTTTCCAACGAAATCTTCAAAATAGGTCCAAATATCCACTTGCAGATTCCACACAAAGAGTGATTGGAAACTGCTCTTTGAAAAGGAACCTTCAACTCTGTGAGTTGAATGCAATCATCACAAAGAAGTTTCTGACAATGCTTCTATCTAGCTTTTACGGGAAGATAATTCCTTTTCCACCACAGGCCTCAAAGCCCTCCAAATGTCCACTTGCAGATTCTGGAAAAAGAGTGTTTCAAAGCTTCTCTCTCGAAAGGAAAGTTCAACTCTGTGAGTTGAATGCAAGCATCAGAAAGAAGTTTCTGAGAATGCTACTGTCTAGCTTTTATATGAAGCTATTTCCTTTACTACCATAGGCCTCAAAGCGGTCCATATCTCCACTTGCAGATTCTACACAAAGAGAGTTTCCAAACTGCTCTGTCAAAGGGAATGTTCAACTCTGTGACTTGAATGCAATCATCACAAAGTAGTTTCTGAGAATGCTTCTGTTTAGTTCTGTGCGGTTTATCCCGTTTCCAACGAAATCCTCAGAGAGGCCTAAATATCCACTTGCACATTCTACAAATAGTGTGTTTCGAAACTGCTCCATCCAAAGGAATGTTCAGCTCTGTGAGTTAAACTCAGTCGTCACCAAGAGTTTTCTGTGAATGCTTCTGTTTTAGTTCTGTGCGGGTTATCCCGTTTCCAACGAAATCCTCAGAGAGGTCCAAATATCTACTTGCAGTTTCTACAGAAAGACCGTTTCAAACCTGAACTATCAAAGAAAGGTTCAACACTGTGAGTTGAATGCAAACATCACGAAGAAGGTTCTGAGAATGCTTCTGTTTAGTTCTGTGCGGTTTATCCCGTTTCCAACGAAATCCTCAGAGAGGCCCAAATATCCACTTGCCGTTTCTACAAAAAGAGAGTTTCAAAGCTGAACTATCAAAGAAAGGTTCAGCACTGTGAGTTGAATGCAAATATCACGAAGATGGTTCTGAGAATGCTTCTGTCTTCTTTTTATAGGAAGTTATCTCCTTTACTAAGGTAGGCCTCAAAGAAGTGCAATGATCCCCTTGCAGTTTCTACAAAAAGAGTGTTTCAAACCTGAACTATCAAAGAAAGGTTCCACACTGTGAGTTGAATGCAGACATCACGAAGAAGGTTCTGAGAATGCGTCTGTTTAGTCAGCTGAAATTATCCCGTTTCCAACGAATTCCTCAGAGAGGTCCACATATGCAGTTGCAGATTCTGCAGAAAGTGTGTTTCTAAACTGCTACATCGCAAGGAGTGTTCAGCTCTGTTTGCTCAACTCAATCATCCCAAAGAATTTTCTGAGAAAGCTTCTGTCTAGATGTCATGTGAAGATATACCCGTTTCGAACGAAGGACACAGAGTGGTCCAAATATCCACTTGTAGATCCTGCAAAAAGAGTGTTTCAAACGTGAACTTTGAAAGGAAAGCTCAACTCTGGGATTTGAATGCAAACATCACAAAGAAGATTCTGAGACTGCTTCTGTATAGTTTTGATGTGAAGATGATTCCGTTTCCAACGAAATCTTCAAAGAGGTCTACATGTCCCCTTGCAGATGCCACAGAAAGAGAGTTTCAAAACTGCGCTCTCAAAAGGAGTGTTCAACTCCGTGAGTTGAATGCAGTCATCACAGAGAAGCTTCTGAGAATGCTTCTATCTAGTATTTAGGTGAAGATATTTCCTTTTCCACCACAAACCACAAAGCCCTCCAAACGTCCACTTGCAGATTCTAGAAAAAGAGTGTTTCATAGCTGCTCTTTCCAAAGGAAAGTTCAACTCTGGGAGTTGAATACAAACATCACCAAAAAGTTCCTGAGAATGCATCTGTCTAGTTTTTCTATGAAGCTATTCCCTTTACTACCATAGGCCTCAAAGCGCTCCAAATCTCCACTTGCACATTCCACAACAAGAGTGTTTCCAAACTGCTCTATCAATAGGAATGTTCAACTCTGTGAGGTGAATGCAATCATCACAAAGCAGTTTCTGAGAATGCTTCCGTTTAGTTAGGTGCAGTTATCCCGTTTCCAACGAAATCCTCAGAGAGGTCCAAATATCCACTTGTAGATTCTACAAAAAGTGTGTCTCAAACCTGCTCCATCCAAAGGAATGGTCAGCTCTGTGATTTAAACTCAATCATCACAAAGTATTTTCTGAGAATGCTTCTGTCTAGATTTTATGCGAAGATATACCCGTTTCGAACGAAGGCCACAGAGTGGTCCAAATAGCCACTTGCAGATCCTACAGAAAGAGTGTTTCAAACCTGAACTATCAAAGGAAGGTTCAACTCTGGGATTTGAATGCAAACATCACCAAGAAGTTTCTGAGAATGCTTCTGTTTAGTTTTTATGTGAAGATATTCCCGTTTCCAAAGACATCTTCGGAGAGGTCCACATATCCACTTGCAGATTCCACAAAAAGAGAGTTTCAACACTGCTCTATCCATAGGAGGGTTCAACTCTGTGAGTTGAATGCAATCATCACAGAGAAGTTTCTGAGAAGGCTTCTCTCCAGTTTTTATGTGACCATAATTCGTTTTCCACCACAGGCCTGAAAGCGCTCCAAATGTCCACTTGCAGACACTACGAAAAGCATGTTTCAGAACTACTCTATGAAAAGCAACGTGAAACTCTGGGAGTTGAACACAAACATCACAGAGAAGTTTCTGAGAATGCTTCTGTTTAGCTTTTCTGTGAAGATTCTCCCGTTTCCAACGAAATCTTCAAAGAGGTCGAAATATCCACTTGCAGATTCCACAGAAAGAGTGATTGGAAACTGCTGTTTGAAAAGGAACCTTCAACTCTGTGAGTTGAATGCAATCATCACAAAGAAGTTCCTGACAATGCTTCTATCTAGCTTTTACGGGAAGATAATTCCTTTTCCACCCCAGGCCTCAAAGCTCCCCAAATGTCCACTTGCACATTCTGGAAAAAGAGTGTTTCAAAGCTTCTCTCTCGAAAGGAAAGTTCAACTCTGTGAGTTGAATGCAAGCATCACAAAGAAGTTTCTGAGAATGCTACTGTCTGGCTTTTCTATGAAGGTATTTCCTTTACTACCATAGGCCTCAAAGCGGTCCATATCTCCACTTGCAGATTCTACACAAAGAGAGTTTCCAAACTGCTCTGTCAAAGGGAATGTTCAACTCTGTGACTTGAATGCAATCACCACAAAGTAGTTTCTGAGAATGCTTCTGTTTTTGTTCTGTGCGTTTTATCCCGTTTCCAACGAAATCCTCAGAGAGGCCCAAATATCCACTTGCAGATTCTACAAATAGTGTGTTTCGAAACTGCTCCATCCAAAGGAATGTTCAGCTCTGTGAGTTAAACTCAGTCGTCACCAAGAGTTTTCTGTGAATGCTTCTGTTTTAGTTTTGTGCGGTTTATCCCGTTTCCAACGAAATCCTCAGAGAGGACCAAATATCCACTTGCAGTTTCTACAAAAAGAGTGTTTCAAAGCTGCACTATCAAAGAAAGGTTCAGCACTGTGAGTTGAATGCAAACATCACGAAGAGGGCTCTGAGAATTCTTCTGTTTAGTTCTGTGCGGTTTATCCCGTTTCCAACGAAATCCTCAGAGAGGACCAAATATCCACTTGCAGTTTCTACAAGAAGAGTGTTTCAAAGCTGAACTATCAAAGAAAGGTTCAGCACTGTGAGTTGAATGCAAACATCACGAAGAGGGTTCTGAGAATGCTTCTGTCTTCTTTCTATAGGAAGTTATTTCCTTTACTACGGTAGGCCTCAAAGAAGTGCAATTATCCCCTTGCAGTTTCTACAAAAAGAGTGTTTCAAACCTGAACTATCAAAGAAAGGTTCCACACTGTGAGTTGAATGCAGACATCACGAAGAAGGTTCTGAGAATGCTTCTGTTTAGTCAGCTGAAATTATCCCGTTTCCAACGAATTCCTCAGAGAGGTCCAAATATGCACTTGCAGATTCTGCAGAAAGTGTGTTTCTAAACTGCTCCATCGCAAGGAATGTTCAGCTCTGTGAGTTCCACTCAATCATCCCAAAGAATTTTCTGAGAAAGCTTCTGTCTAGATGTCGTGTGAAGATATACCCGTTTCGAACGAAGGACACAGAGTGGTCCAAATATCCACTTGTAGATCCTGCAAAAAGAGTGTTTCAAACGTGAACTTTGAAAGGAAAGTTCAACTCTGGGATTTGAATGCAAACATCACAAAGAAGATTCTGAGACTGCTTCTGTATAGTTTTTATGTGAAGATGATTCCGTTTCCAACGAAATCTTCAAAGAGGTCTACATGTCCCCTTGCAGATGCCACAGAAAGAGAGTTTCAAAACTGCGCTCTCAAAAGGAGTGTTCAACTCCGTGAGTTGAATGCAGTCATCACAGAGAAGCTTCTGAGAATGCTTCTATCTAGTATTTAGGTGAAGATATTTCCTTTTCCACCACAAACCACAAAGCCCTCCAAACGTCCACTTGCAGATTCTAGAAAAAGAGTGTTTCATAGCTGCTCTTTCCAAAGGAAAGTTCAACTCTGGGAGTTGAATACAAACATCACCAAAAAGTTCCTGAGAATGCATCTGTCTAGTTTTTCTATGAAGCTATTCCCTTTACTACCATAGGCCTCAAAGCGCTCCAAATCTCCACTTGCACATTCCACAACAAGAGTGTTTCCAAACTGCTCTATCAATAGGAATGTTCAACTCTGTGAGGTGAATGCAATCATCACAAAGCAGTTTCTGAGAATGCTTCCGTTTAGTTAGGTGCAGTTATCCCGTTTCCAACGAAATCCTCAGAGAGGTCCAAATATCCACTTGTAGATTCTACAAAAAGTGTGTCTCAAACCTGCTCCATCCAAAGGAATGGTCAGCTCTGTGATTTAAACTCAATCATCACAAAGTATTTTCTGAGAATGCTTCTGTCTAGATTTTATGCGAAGATATACCCGTTTCGAACGAAGGCCACAGAGTGGTCCAAATAGCCACTTGCAGATCCTACAGAAAGAGTGTTTCAAACCTGAACTATCAAAGGAAGGTTCAACTCTGGGATTTGAATGCAAACATCACCAAGAAGTTTCTGAGAATGCTTCTGTTTAGTTTTTATGTGAAGATATTCCCGTTTCCAAAGACATCTTCGGAGAGGTCCACATATCCACTTGCAGATTCCACAAAAAGAGAGTTTCAACACTGCTCTATCCATAGGAGGGTTCAACTCTGTGAGTTGAATGCAATCATCACAGAGAAGTTTCTGAGAAGGCTTCTCTCCAGTTTTTATGTGACCATAATTCGTTTTCCACCACAGGCCTGAAAGCGCTCCAAATGTCCACTTGCAGACACTACGAAAAGCATGTTTCAGAACTACTCTATGAAAAGCAACGTGAAACTCTGGGAGTTGAACACAAACATCACAGAGAAGTTTCTGAGAATGCTTCTGTTTAGCTTTTCTGTGAAGATTCTCCCGTTTCCAACGAAATCTTCAAAGAGGTCGAAATATCCACTTGCAGATTCCACAGAAAGAGTGATTGGAAACTGCTGTTTGAAAAGGAACCTTCAACTCTGTGAGTTGAATGCAATCATCACAAAGAAGTTTCTGACAATGCTTCTATCTAGCTTTTACGGGAAGATAATTCCTTTTCCTCCACAGGCCTCAAAGCTCCCCAAATGTCCACTTGCACATTCTGGAAAAAGAGTGTTTCAAAGCTTCTCTCTCGAAAGGAAAGTTCAACTCTGTGAGTTGAATGCAAGCATCACAAAGAAGTTTCTGAGAATGCTACTGTCTAGGTTTTATATGAAGCTATTTCCTTTACTACCATAGGCCTCAAAGCGGTCCATATCTCCACTTGCAGATTCTACACAAAGAGAGTTTCCAAACTGCTCTGTCAAAGGGAATGTTCAACTCTGTGACTTGAATGCAATCATCACAAAGTAGTTTCTGAGAATGCTTCTGTTTTAGTTCTGTGCGTTTTATCCCGTTTCCAACGAAATCCTCAGAGAGGCCCAAATATCCACTTGCAGATTCTACAAATAGTGTGTTTCGAAACTGCTCCATCCAAAGGAATGTTCAGCTCTGTGAGTTAAACTCAGTCGTCACCAAGAGTTTTCTGTGAATGCTTCTGTTTTAGTTCTGTGCGGTGTATCCCGTTTCCAACGAAATCCTCAGAGAGGTCCAAATATCTACTTGCAGTTTCTACAGAAAGACCGTTTCAAACCTGAACTATCAAAGAAAGGTTCAACACTGTGAGTTGAATGCAAACATCACGAAGAAGGTTCTGAGAATGCTCTGTTTTAGTTCTGTGCGGTTTATCCCGTTTCCAACGAAATCCTCAGAGAGGACCAAACATCCACTTGCAGTTTCTACAAAAAGAGTGTTTCAAAGCTGCACTATCAAAGAAAGGTTCAGCACTGTGAGTTGAATGCAAACATCACGAAGAGGGCTCTGAGAATTCTTTCTGTTTAGTTCTGTGCGGTTTATCCCGTTTCCAACGAAATCCTCAGAGAGGACCAAATATCCACTTGCAGTTTCTACAAGAAGAGTGTTTCAAAGCTGAACTATCAAAGAAAGGTTCAGCACTGTGAGTTGAATGCAAACATCACGAAGAGGGTTCTGAGAATGCTTCTGTCTTCTTTCTATAGGAAGTTATTTCCTTTACTACGGTAGGCCTCAAAGAAGTGCAATTATCCCCTTGCAGTTTCTACAAAAAGAGTGTTTCAAACCTGAACTATCAAAGAAAGGTTCCACACTGTGAGTTGAATGCAGACATCACGAAGAAGGTTCTGAGAATGCTTCTGTTTAGTCAGCTGAAATTATCCCGTTTCCAACGAATTCCTCAGAGAGGTCCAAATATGCACTTGCAGATTCTGCAGAAAGTGTGTTTCTAAACTGCTACATCGCAAGGAATGTTCAGCTCTGTGAGTTCCACTCAATCATCCCAAAGAATTTTCTGAGAAAGCTTCTGTCTAGATGTCGTGTGAAGATATACCCGTTTCGAACGAAGGACACAGAGTGGTCCAAATATCCACTTGTAGATCCTGCAAAAAGAGTGTTTCAAACGTGAACTTCGAAAGGAAAGTTCAACTCTGGGATTTGAATGCAAACATCACAAAGAAGATTCTGAGACTGCTTCTGTATAGTTTTTATGCGAAGATGATTCCGTTTCCAACGAAATCTTCAAAGAGGTCTACATGTCCCCTTGCAGATGCCACAGAAAGAGAGTTTCAAAACTGCGCTCTCAAAAGGAGTGTTCAACTGCCGTGAGTTGAATGCAGTCATCACAGAGAAGCTTCTGAGAATGCTTCTATCTAGTATTTAGGTGAAGATATTTCCTTTTCCACCACAAACCACAAAGCCCTCCAAACGTCCACTTGCAGATTCTAGAAAAAGAGTGTTTCATAGCTGCTCTTTCCAAAGGAAAGTTCAACTCTGGGAGTTGAATACAAACATCACCAAAAAGAAGTTCCTGAGAATGCATCTGTCTAGTTTTTCTATGAAGCTATTCCCTTTGCTACCACAGGCCTCAAAGCGCTCCAAATCTCCACTTGCACATTCCACAACAAGAGTGTTTCCAAACTGCTCTATCAATAGGAATGTTCAACTCTGTGAGGTGAATGCAATCATCACAAAGCAGTTTCTGAGAATGCTTCCGTTTAGTTAGGTGCAGTTATCCCGTTTCCAACGAAATCCTCAGAGAGGTCCAAATATCCACTTGTAGATTCTACAAAAAGTGTGTCTCAAACCTGCTCCATCCAAAGGAATGGTCAGCTCTGTGATTTAAACTCAATCATCACAAAGTATTTTCTGAGAATGCTTCTGTCTAGATTTTATGCGAAGATATACCCATTTCGAACGAAGGCCACAGAGTGGTCCAAATAGCCACTTGCAGATCCTACAGAAAGAGTGTTTCAAACCTGAACTATCAAAGGAAGGTTCAACTCTGGGATTTGAATGCAAACATCACCAAGAAGTTTCTGAGAATGCTTCTGTTTAGTTTTTATGTGAAGATATTCCCGTTTCCAAAGACATCTTCGGAGAGGTCCACATATCCACTTGCAGATTCCACAAAAAGAGAGTTTCAACACTGCTCTATCCATAGGAGGGTTCAACTCTGTGAGTTGAATGCAATCATCACAGAGAAGTTTCTGAGAAGGCTTCTCTCCAGTTTTTATGTGACCATAATTCGTTTTCCACCACAGGCCTGAAAGCGCTCCAAATGTCCACTTGCAGACACTACGAAAAGCATGTTTCAGAACTACTCTATGAAAAGCAACGTGAAACTCTGGGAGTTGAACACAAACATCACAGAGAAGTTTCTGAGAATGCTTCTGTTTTAGTTCTGTGCGTTTTATCCCGTTTCCAACGAAATCCTCAGAGAGGCCCAAATATCCACTTGCAGATTCCACAGAAAGAGTGATTGGAAACTGCTGTTTGAAAAGGAACCTTCAACTCTGTGAGTTGAATGCAATCATCACAAAGAAGTTTCTGACAATGCTTCTGTTTTAGTTCTGTGCGGTTTATCCCGTTTCCAACGAAATCCTCAGAGAGGACCAAACATCCACTTGCAGTTTCTACAAAAAGAGTGTTTCAAAGCTGCACTATCAAAGAAAGGTTCAGCACTGTGAGTTGAATGCAAACATCACGAAGAGGGCTCTGAGAATTCTTCTGTTTAGTTCTGTGCGGTTTATCCCGTTTCCAACGAAATCCTCAGAGAGGACCAAATATCCACTTGCAGTTTCTACAAGAAGAGTGTTTCAAAGCTGAACTATCAAAGAAAGGTTCAGCACTGTGAGTTGAATGCAAACATCACGAAGAGGGTTCTGAGAATGCTTCTGTCTTCTTTCTATAGGAAGTTATTTCCTTTACTACGGTAGGCCTCAAAGAAGTGCAATTATCCCCTTGCAGTTTCTACAAAAAGAGTGTTTCAAACCTGAACTATCAAAGAAAGGTTCCACACTGTGAGTTGAATGCAGACATCACGAAGAAGGTTCTGAGAATGCTTCTGTTTAGTCAGCTGAAATTATCCCGTTTCCAACGAATTCCTCAGAGAGGTCCAAATATGCACTTGCAGATTCTGCAGAAAGTGTGTTTCTAAACTGCTACATCGCAAGGAATGTTCAGCTCTGTGAGTTCCACTCAATCATCCCAAAGAATTTTCTGAGAAAGCTTCTGTCTAGATGTCATGTGAAGATATACCCGTTTCGAACGAAGGACACAGAGTGGTCCAAATATCCACTTGAAGATCCTGCAAAAAGAGTGTTTCAAACGTGAACTTTGAAAGGAAAGTTCAACTCTGGGATTTGAATGCAAACATCACAAAGAAGATTCTGAGACTGCTTCTGTATAGTTTTTATGTGAAGATGATTCCGTTTCCAACGAAATCTTCAAAGAGGTCTACATGTCCTCTTGCAGATGCCACAGAAAGAGAGTTTCAAAACTGCGCTCTCAAAAGGAGTGTTCAACTCCGTGAGTTGAATGCAGTCATCACAGAGAAGCTTCTGAGAATGCTTCTATCTAGTATTTAGGTGAAGATATTTCCTTTTCCACCACAAACCACAAAGCCCTCCAAACGTCCACTTGCAGATTCTAGAAAAACAGTGTTTCATAGCTGCTCTTTCCAAAGGAAAGTTCAACTCTGGGAGTTGAATACAAACATCACCAAAAAGTTCCTGAGAATGCATCTGTCTAGTTTTTCTATGAAGCTATTCCCTTTACTACCATAGGCCTCAAAGCGCTCCAAATCTCCACTTGCACATTCCACAACAAGAGTGTTTCCAAACTGCTCTATCAATAGGAATGTTCAACTCTGTGAGGTGAATGCAATCATCACAAAGCAGTTTCTGAGAATGCTTCCGTTTAGTTAGGTGCAGTTATCCCGTTTCCAACGAAATCCTCAGAGAGGTCCAAATATCCACTTGTAGATTCTACAAAAGGTGTGTCTCAAACCTGCTCCATCCAAAGGAATGTTCAGCTCTGTGAGTTAAACTCAATCATCACAAAGTATTTTCTGAGAATGCTTCTGTCTAGATTTTATGCGAAGATATACCCGTTTCGAACGAAGGCCACAGAGTGGTCCAAATATCCACTTGCAGATCCTACAAAAAGAGTGTTTCAAACCTGAACTATCAA
This sequence comes from Homo sapiens, assembly GCF_000001405.40. Taxonomy (NCBI): domain Eukaryota; kingdom Metazoa; phylum Chordata; class Mammalia; order Primates; family Hominidae; genus Homo; species Homo sapiens. Next base: position 24,878,817 of record NC_000017.11, on the reverse strand, counting down.
AGGAAGGTTCGACTCTGGGATTTGAATGCAAACATCACCAAGAAGTTTCTGAGAATGCTTCTGTTTAGTTTTTATGTGAAGATATTCCCGTTTCCAAAGACATCTTCGGAGAGGTCCACATATCCACTTGCAGATTCCACAAAAAGAGAGTTTCAACACTGCTCTATCCATAGGAGGGTTCAACTCTGTGAGTTGAATGCAATCATCACAGAGAAGTTTCTGAGAAGGCTTCTCTCCAGTTTTTATGTGACCATAATTCGTTTTCCACCACAGGCCTGAAAGCGCTCCAAATGTCCACTTGTAGACACTACGAAAAGCATGTTTCAGAACTACTCTATGAAAAGCAATGTGAAACTCTGGGAGTTGAACACAAACATCACAGAGAAGTTTCTGAGAATGCTTCTGTTTTAGTTCTGTGCGTTTTATCCCGTTTCCAACGAAATCCTCAGAGAGGCCCAAATATCCACTTGCAGATTCCACAGAAAGAGTGATTGGAAACTGCTGTTTGAAAAGGAACCTTCAACTCTGTGAGTTGAATGCAATCATCACAAAGAAGTTTCTGACAATGCTTCTGTTTTAGTTCTGTGCGGTTTATCCCGTTTCCAACGAAATCCTCAGAGAGGACCAAACATCCACTTGCAGTTTCTACAAAAAGAGTGTTTCAAAGCTGCACTATCAAAGAAAGGTTCAGCACTGTGAGTTGAATGCAAACATCACGAAGAGGGCTCTGAGAATTCTTCTGTTTAGTTCTGTGCGGTTTATCCCGTTTCCAACGAAATCCTCAGAGAGGACCAAATATCCACTTGCAGTTTCTACAAGAAGAGTGTTTCAAAGCTGAACTATCAAAGAAAGGTTCAGCACTGTGAGTTGAATGCAAACATCACGAAGAGGGTTCTGAGAATGCTTCTGTCTTCTTTCTATAGGAAGTTATTTCCTTTACTACGGTAGGCCTCAAAGAAGTGCAATTATCCCCTTGCAGTTTCTACAAAAAGAGTGTTTCAAACCTGAACTATCAAAGAAAGGTTCCACACTGTGAGTTGAATGCAGACATCACGAAGAAGGTTCTGAGAATGCTTCTGTTTAGTCAGCTGAAATTATCCCGTTTCCAACGAATTCCTCAGAGAGGTCCAAATATGCACTTGCAGATTCTGCAGAAAGTGTGTTTCTAAACTGCTACATCGCAAGGAATGTTCAGCTCTGTGAGTTCCACTCAATCATCCCAAAGAATTTTCTGAGAAAGCTTCTGTCTAGATGTCGTGTGAAGATATACCCGTTTCGAACGAAGGACACAGAGTGGTCCAAATATCCACTTGTAGATCCTGCAAAAAGAGTGTTTCAAACGTGAACTTTGAAAGGAAAGTTCAACTCTGGGATTTGAATGCAAACATCACAAAGAAGATTCTGAGACTGCTTCTGTATAGTTTTTATGTGAAGATGATTCCGTTTCCAACGAAATCTTCAAAGAGGTCTACATGTCCCCTTGCAGATGCCACAGAAAGAGAGTTTCAAAACTGCGCTCTCAAAAGGAGTGTTCAACTCCGTGAGTTGAATGCAGTCATCACAGAGAAGCTTCTGAGAATGCTTCTATCTAGTATTTAGGTGAAGATATTTCCTTTTCCACCACAAACCACAAAGCCCTCCAAACGTCCACTTCCAGATTCTAGAAAAAGAGTGTTTCATAGCTGCTCTTTCCAAAGGAAAGTTCAACTGCTGGGAGTTGAATACAAACATCACCAAAAAGTTCCTGAGAATGCATCTGTCTAGTTTTTCTATGAAGCTATTCCCTTTACTACCATAGGCCTCAAAGCGCTCCAAATCTCCACTTGCACATTCCACAACAAGAGTGTTTCCAAACTGCTCTATCAATAGGAATGTTCAACTCTGTGAGGTGAATGCAATCATCACAAAGCAGTTTCTGAGAATGCTTCCGTTTAGTTAGGTGCAGTTATCCCGTTTCCAACGAAATCCTCAGAGAGGTCCAAATATCCACTTGTAGATTCTACAAAAAGTGTGTCTCAAACCTGCTCCATCCAAAGGAATGTTCAGCTCTGTGAGTTCAACTCAATCATCACAAAGTATTTTCTGAGAATGCTTCTGTCTAGATTTTATGCGAAGATGTACCCGTTTCGAACGAAGGCCACAGAGTGGTCCAAATATCCACTTGCAGATCCTACAAAAAGAGTGTTTCAAACCTGAACTCTCAAAGGAAGGTTCAACTCTGGGATTTGAATGCAAACATCACCAAGAAGTTTCTGAGAATGCTTCTGTTTAGTTTTTATGTGAAGATATTCCCGTTTCCAAAGATGTCTTCGGAGAGGTCCACATATCCGCTTGCAGATTCCACAAAAAGAGAGTTTCAACACTGCTCTATCCATAGGAGGGTTCAACTCTGTGAGTTGAATGCAATTATCACAGAGAAGTTTCTGAGAAGGCTTCTCTCCAGTTTTTATGTGACCATAATTCGTTTTCCACCACAGGCCTGAAAGCGCTCCAAATGTCCACTTGCAGACACTACGAAAAGCATGTTTCAGAACTACTCTATGAGAAGCAATGTGAAACTCTGGGAGTTGAACACAAACATCACAGAGAAGTTTCTGAGAATGCTTCTGTTTAGCTTTTCTGTGAAGATTCTCCCGTTTCCAACGAAATCTTCAAAGAGGTCCAAATATCCACTTGCAGATTCCACAGAAAGAGTGATTGGAAACTGCTCTTTGAAAAGGAACCTTCAACTCTGTGACTTGAATGCAATCATCACAAAGAAGTTTCTGACAATGCTTCTATCTAGCTTTTACGGGAAGATAATTCCTTTTCCACCACAGGCCTCAAAGCCCTCCAAATGTCCACTTGCAGATTCTGGAAAAAGAGTGTTTCAAAGCTTCTCTCTCGAAAGGAAAGTTCAACTCTGTGAGTTGAATGCAAGCATCACAAAGAAGTTTCTGAGAATGCTGCTGTCTAGCTTTTATATGAAGCTATTTCCTTTACTACCATAGGCCTCAAAGCGGTCCATATCTCCACTTGCAGATTCTACGCAAAGAGAGTTTCCAAACTGCTCTGTCAAAGGGAATGTTCAACTCTGTGACTTGAATGCAATCATCACAAAGTAGTTTCTGAGAATGCTTCTGTTTAGTTCTGTGCGGTTTATCCCGTTTCCAACGAAATCCTCAGAGAGGCCCACATATCCACTTGCACATTCTACAAATAGTGTGTTTCGAAACTGCTCCATCCAAAGGAATGTTCAGCTCTGTGAGTTAAACTCAGTCGTCACCAAGAGTTTTCTGTGAATGCTTCTGTTTTAGTTCTGTGCGGGTTATCCCGTTTCCAACGAAATCCTCAGAGAGGTCCAAATATCTACTTGCAGTTTCTACAGAAAGACCGTTTCAAACCTGAACTATCAAAGAAAGGTTCAACACTGTGAGTTGAATGCAAACATCACGAAGAAGTTCTGAGAATGCTTCTGTTTAGTTCTGTGCAGTTTATCCCGTTTCCAACGAAATGCTCAGAGAGGACCAAATATCCACTTGCAGTTTCTACAAAAAGAGTGTTTCAAAGCTGAACTATCAAAGAAAGGTTCAGCACTGTGAGTTGAATGCAAACATCACGAAGAGGGTTCTGAGAATGCTTCTGTCTTCTTTTTATAGGAAGTTATTTCCTTTACTACGGTACTCCTCAAAGAGTGCAATTATCCCCTTGCAGTTTCTACAGAAAGAGTGTTTCAAACCTGAACTATCAAAGAAAGGTTCCACACTGTGAGTTGAATGCAGACATCACGAAGAAGGTTCTGAGAATGCTTCTGTTTAGTCAGCTGAAATTATCCCGTTTCCAACGAATTCCTCACAGAGGTCCAAATATGCACTTGCAGATTCTGCAGAAAGTGTGTTTCTAAACTGCTACATCGCAAGGAATGCTCAGCTCTGTGAGTTCAACTCAATCATCCCAAAGAATTTTCTGAGAAAGCTTCTGTCTAGATGTCATGTGAAGATATACCCGTTTCGAACGAAGGACACAGAGTGGTCCAAATATCCACTTGTAGATCCTGCAAAAAGAGTGTTTCAAACGTGAACTTTGAAAGGAAAGTTCAACTCGGGGATTTGAATGCAAACATCACAAAGAAGATTCTGAGACTGCTTCTGTATAGTTTTTATGTGAAGATGATTCCGTTTCCAACGAAATCTTCAAAGAGGTCTACATGTCCCCTTGCAGATGCCACAGAAAGAGAGTTTCAAAACTGCGCTCTCAAAAGGAGTGTTCAACTCCGTGAGTTGAATGCAGTCATCACAGAGAAGCTTCTGAGGATGCTTCTATCTAGTATTTAGGTGAAGATATTTCCTTTTCCACCACAAACCACAAAGCCCTCCAAACGTCCACTTGCAGATTCTAGAAAAACAGTGTTTCATAGCTGCTCTTTCCAAAGGAAAGTTCAACTCTGGGAGTTGAATACAAACATCACCAAAAAGTTCCTGAGAATGCATCTGTCTAGTTTTTCTATGAAGCTATTCCCTTTACTACCATAGGCCTCAAAGCGCTCCAAATCTCCACTTGCACATTCCACAACAAGAGTGTTTCCAAACTGCTCTATCAATAGGAATGTTCAACTCTGTGAGGTGAATGCAATCATCACAAAGCAGTTTCTGAGAATGCTTCCGTTTAGTTAGGTGCAGTTATCCCGTTTCCAACGAAATCCTCAGAGAGGTCCAAATATCCACTTGTAGATTCTACAAAAGGTGTGTCTCAAACCTGCTCCATCCAAAGGAATGTTCAGCTCTGTGAGTTAAACTCAATCATCACAAAGTATTTTCTGAGAATGCTTCTGTCTAGATTTTATGCGAAGATATACCCGTTTCGAACGAAGGCCACAGAGTGGTCCAAATAGCCACTTGCAGATCCTACAGAAAGAGTGTTTCAAACCTGAACTATCAAAGGAAGGTTCAACTCTGGGATTTGAATGCAAACATCACCAAGAAGTTTCTGAGAATGCTTCTGTTTAGTTTTTATGTGAAGATATTCCCGTTTCCAAAGACATCTTCGGAGAGGTCCACATATCCACTTGCAGATTCCACAAAAAGAGAGTTTCAACACTGCTCTATCCATAGGAGGGTTCAACTCTGTGAGTTGAATGCAATCATCACAGAGAAGTTTCTGAGAAGGCTCTCTCCAGTTTTTATGTGACCATAATTCGTTTTCCACCACAGGCCTGAAAGCGCTCCAAATGTCCACTTGCAGACACTACGAAAAGCATGTTTCAGAACTACTCTATGAAAAGCAACGTGAAACTCTGGGAGTTGAACACAAACATCACAGAGAAGTTTCTGAGAATGCTTCTGTTTTAGTTCTGTGCGTTTTATCCCGTTTCCAACGAAATCCTCAGAGAGGCCCAAATATCCACTTGCAGATTCCACAGAAAGAGTGATTGGAAACTGCTGTTTGAAAAGGAACCTTCAACTCTGTGAGTTGAATGCAATCATCACAAAGAAGTTTCTGACAATGCTTCTGTTTTAGTTCTGTGCGGTTTATCCCGTTTCCAACGAAATCCTCAGAGAGGACCAAATATCCACTTGCAGTTTCTACAAAAAGAGTGTTTCAAAGCTGCACTATCAAAGAAAGGTTCAGCACTGTGAGTTGAATGCAAACATCACGAAGAGGGCTCTGAGAATGCTTCTGTTTAGTTCTGTGCGGTTTATCCCGTTTCCAACGAAATCCTCAGAGAGGACCAAATATCCACTTGCAGTTTCTACAAGAAGAGTGTTTCAAAGCTGAACTATCAAAGAAAGGTTCAGCACTGTGAGTTGAATGCAAACATCACGAAGAGGGTTCTGAGAATGCTTCTGTCTTCTTTCTATAGGAAGTTATTTCCTTTACTACGGTAGGCCTCAAAGAAGTGCAATTATCCCCTTGCAGTTTCTACAAAAAGAGTGTTTCAAACCTGAACTATCAAAGAAAGGTTCCACACTGTGAGTTGAATGCAGACATCACGAAGAAGGTTCTGAGAATGCTTCTGTTTAGTCAGCTGAAATTATCCCGTTTCCAACGAATTCCTCAGAGAGGTCCAAATATGCACTTGCAGATTCTGCAGAAAGTGTGTTTCTAAACTGCTACATCGCAAGGAATGTTCAGCTCTGTGAGTTCCACTCAATCATCCCAAAGAATTTTCTGAGAAAGCTTCTGTCTAGATGTCGTGTGAAGATATACCCGTTTCGAACGAAGGACACAGAGTGGTCCAAATATCCACTTGTAGATCCTGCAAAAAGAGTGTTTCAAACGTGAACTTTGAAAGGAAAGTTCAACTCTGGGATTTGAATGCAAACATCACAAAGAAGATTCTGAGACTGCTTCTGTATAGTTTTTATGTGAAGATGATTCCGTTTCCAACGAAATCTTCAAAGAGGTCTACATGTCCCCTTGCAGATGCCACAGAAAGAGAGTTTCAAAACTGCGCTCTCAAAAGGAGTGTTCAACTCCGTGAGTTGAATGCAGTCATCACAGAGAAGCTTCTGAGAATGCTTCTATCTAGTATTTAGGTGAAGATATTTCCTTTTCCACCACAAACCACAAAGCCCTCCAAACGTCCACTTGCAGATTCTAGAAAAAGAGTGTTTCATAGCTGCTCTTTCCAAAGGAAAGTTCAACTCTGGGAGTTGAATACAAACATCACCAAAAAGTTCCTGAGAATGCATCTGTCTAGTTTTTCTATGAAGCTATTCCCTTTACTACCACAGGCCTCAAAGCGCTCCAAATCTCCACTTGCACATTCCACAACAAGAGTGTTTCCAAACTGCTCTATCAATAGGAATGTTCAACTCTGTGAGGTGAATGCAATCATCACAAAGCAGTTTCTGAGAATGCTTCCGTTTAGTTAGGTGCAGTTATCCCGTTTCCAACGAAATCCTCAGAGAGGTCCAAATATCCACTTGTAGATTCTACAAAAAGTGTGTCTCAAACCTGCTCCATCCAAAGGAATGGTCAGCTCTGTGATTTAAACTCAATCATCACAAAGTATTTTCTGAGAATGCTTCTGTCTAGATTTTATGCGAAGATATACCCGTTTCGAACGAAGGCCACAGAGTGGTCCAAATAGCCACTTGCAGATCCTACAGAAAGAGTGTTTCAAACCTGAACTATCAAAGGAAGGTTCAACTCTGGGATTTGAATGCAAACATCACCAAGAAGTTTCTGAGAATGCTTCTGTTTAGTTTTTATGTGAAGATATTCCCGTTTCCAAAGACATCTTCGGAGAGGTCCACATATCCACTTGCAGATTCCACAAAAAGAGAGTTTCAACACTGCTCTATCCATAGGAGGGTTCAACTCTGTGAGTTGAATGCAATCATCACAGAGAAGTTTCTGAGAAGGCTTCTCTCCAGTTTTTATGTGACCATAATTCGTTTTCCACCACAGGCCTGAAAGCGCTCCAAATGTCCACTTGCAGACACTACGAAAAGCATGTTTCAGAACTACTCTATGAAAAGCAACGTGAAACTCTGGGAGTTGAACACAAACATCACAGAGAAGTTTCTGAGAATGCTTCTGTTTTAGTTCTGTGCGTTTTATCCCGTTTCCAACGAAATCCTCAGAGAGGCCCAAATATCCACTTGCAGATTCCACAGAAAGAGTGATTGGAAACTGCTGTTTGAAAAGGAACCTTCAACTCTGTGAGTTGAATGCAATCATCACAAAGAAGTTTCTGACAATGCTTCTGTTTTAGTTCTGTGCGGTTTATCCCGTTTCCAACGAAATCCTCAGAGAGGACCAAACATCCACTTGCAGTTTCTACAAAAAGAGTGTTTCAAAGCTGCACTATCAAAGAAAGGTTCAGCACTGTGAGTTGAATGCAAACATCACGAAGAGGGCTCTGAGAATTCTTCTGTTTAGTTCTGTGCGGTTTATCCCGTTTCCAACGAAATCCTCAGAGAGGACCAAATATCCACTTGCAGTTTCTACAAGAAGAGTGTTTCAAAGCTGAACTATCAAAGAAAGGTTCAGCACTGTGAGTTGAATGCAAACATCACGAAGAGGGTTCTGAGAATGCTTCTGTCTTCTTTCTATAGGAAGTTATTTCCTTTACTACGGTAGGCCTCAAAGAAGTGCAATTATCCCCTTGCAGTTTCTACAAAAAGAGTGTTTCAAACCTGAACTATCAAAGAAAGGTTCCACACTGTGAGTTGAATGCAGACATCACGAAGAAGGTTCTGAGAATGCTTCTGTTTAGTCAGCTGAAATTATCCCGTTTCCAACGAATTCCTCAGAGAGGTCCAAATATGCACTTGCAGATTCTGCAGAAAGTGTGTTTCTAAACTGCTACATCGCAAGGAATGTTCAGCTCTGTGAGTTCCACTCAATCATCCCAAAGAATTTTCTGAGAAAGCTTCTGTCTAGATGTCGTGTGAAGTTATACCCGTTTCGAACGAAGGACACAGAGTGGTCCAAATATCCACTTGTAGATCCTGCAAAAAGAGTGTTTCAAACGTGAACTTTGAAAGGAAAGTTCAACTCTGGGATTTGAATGCAAACATCACAAAGAAGATTCTGAGACTGCTTCTGTATAGTTTTTATGTGAAGATGATTCCGTTTCCAACGAAATCTTCAAAGAGGTCTACATGTCCCCTTGCAGATGCCACAGAAAGAGATTTTCAAAACTGCGCTCTCAAAAGGAGTGTTCAACTCCGTGAGTTGAATGCAGTCATCACAGAGAAGCTTCTGAGAATGCTTCTATCTAGTATTTAGGTGAAGATATTTCCTTTTCCACCACAAACCACAAAGCCCTCCAAACGTCCACTTGCAGATTCTAGAAAAAGAGTGTTTCATAGCTGCTCTTTCCAAAGGAAAGTTCAACTCTGGGAGTTGAATACAAACATCACCAAAAAGTTCCTGAGAATGCATCTGTCTAGTTTTTCTATGAAGCTATTCCCTTTACTACCATAGACCTCAAAGCGCTCCAAATCTCCACTTGCACATTCCACAACAAGAGTGTTTCCAAACTGCTCTATCAATAGGAATGTTCAACTCTGTGAGGTGAATGCAATCATCACAAAGCAGTTTCTGAGAATGCTTCCGTTTAGTTAGGTGCAGTTATCGCGTTTCCAACGAAATCCTCAGAGAGGTCCAAATATCCACTTGTAGATTCTACAAAAAGTGTGTCTCAAACCTGCTCCATCCAAAGGAATGTTCAGCTCTGTGAGTTAAACTCAATCATCACAAAGTATTTTCTGAGAATGCTTCTGTCTAGATTTTATGCGAAGATATACCCGTTTCGAACGAAGGCCACAGAGTGGTCCAAATATCCACTTGCAGAACCTACAAAAAGAGTGTTTCAAACCTGAACTATCAAAGGAAGGTTCAACTCTGGGATTTGAATGCAAACATCACCAAGAAGTTTCTGAGAATGCTTCTGTTTAGTTTTTATGTGAAGATATTCCCGTTTCCAAAGACATCTTCGGAGAGGTCCACATATCCACTTGCAGATTCCACAAAAAGAGAGTTTCAACACTGCTCTATCCATAGGAGGGTTCAACTCTGTGAGTTGAATGCAATCATCACAGAGAAGTTTCTGAGAAGGCTTCTCTCCAGTTTTTATGTGACCATAATTCGTTTTCCACCACAGGCCTGAAAGCGCTCCAAATGTCCACTTGTAGACACTACGAAAAGCATGTTTCAGAACTACTCTATGAAAAGCAATGTGAAACTCTGGGAGTTGAACACAAACATCACAGAGAAGTTTCTGAGAATGCTTCTGTTTAGCTTTCCTGTGAAGATTCTCCCGTTTCCAACGAAATCTTCAAAATAGGTCCAAATATCCACTTGCAGATTCCACACAAAGAGTGATTGGAAACTGCTCTTTGAAAAGGAACCTTCAACTCTGTGAGTTGAATGCAATCATCACAAAGAAGTTTCTGACAATGCTTCTATCTAGCTTTTACGGGAAGATAATTCCTTTTCCACCACAGGCCTCAAAGCCCTCCAAATGTCCACTTGCAGATTCTGGAAAAAGAGTGTTTCAAAGCTTCTCTCTCGAAAGGAAAGTTCAACTCTGTGAGTTGAATGCAAGCATCACAAAGAAGTTTCTGAGAATGCTACTGTCTAGCTTTTATATGAAGCTATTTCCTTTACTACCATAGGCCTCAAAGCGGTCCATATCTCCACTTGCAGATTCTACACAAAGAGAGTTTCCAAACTGCTCTGTCAAAGGGAATGTTCAACTCTGTGACTTGAATGCAATCATCACAAAGTAGTTTCTGAGAATGCTTCTGTTTAGTTCTGTGCGGTTTATCCCGTTTCCAACGAAATCCTCAGAGAGGCCCAAATATCCACTTGCACATTCTACAAATAGTGTGTTTCGAAACTGCTCCATCCAAAGGAATGTTCAGCTCTGTGAGTTAAACTCAGTCGTCACCAAGAGTTTTCTGTGAATGCTTCTGTTTTAGTTCTGTGCGGGTTATCCCGTTTCCAACGAAATCCTCAGAGAGGTCCAAATATCTACTTGCAGTTTCTACAGAAAGACCGTTTCAAACCTGAACTATCAAAGAAAGGTTCCACACTGTGAGTTGAATGCAAACATCACGAAGAAGGTTCTGAGAATGCTTCTGTTTAGTTCTGTGCAGTTTATCCCGTTTCCAACGAAATCCTCAGAGAGGACCAAATATCCACTTGCAGTTTCTACAAAAAGAGTGTTTCAAAGCTGAACTATCAAAGAAAGGTTCAGCACTGTGAGTTGAATGCAAACACCACGAAGAGGGTTCTGAGAATGCTTCTGTCTTCTTTTTATAGGAAGTTATTTCCTTTACTACGGTACTCCTCAAAGAGTGCAATTATCCCCTTGCAGTTTCTACAGAAAGAGTGTTTCAAACCTGAACTATCAAAGAAAGGTTCCACACTGTGAGTTGAATGCAGACATCACGAAGAAGGTTCTGAGAATGCTTCTGTTTAGTCAGCTGAAATTATCCCGTTTCCAACGAATTCCTCACAGAGGTCCAAATATGCACTTGCAGATTCTGCAGAAAGTGTGTTTCTAAACTGCTACATCGCAAGGAATGCTCAGCTCTGTGAGTTCAACTCAATCATCCCAAAGAATTTTCTGAGAAAGCTTCTGTCTAGATGTCATGTGAAGATATACCCGTTTCGAACGAAGGACACAGAGTGGTCCAAATATCCACTTGTAGATCCTGCAAAAAGAGTGTTTCAAACGTGAACTTTGAAAGGAAAGTTCAACTCGGGGATTTGAATGCAAACATCACAAAGAAGATTCTGAGACTGCTTCTGTATAGTTTTTATGTGAAGATGATTCCGTTTCCAACGAAATCTTCAAAGAGGTCTACATGTCCCCTTGCAGATGCCACAGAAAGAGAGTTTCAAAACTGCGCTCTCAAAAGGAGTGTTCAACTCCGTGAGTTGAATGCAGTCATCACAGAGAAGCTTCTGAGGATGCTTCTATCTAGTATTTAGGTGAAGATATTTCCTTTTCCACCACAAACCACAAAGCCCTCCAAACGTCCACTTGCAGATTCTAGAAAAACAGTGTTTCATAGCTGCTCTTTCCAAAGGAAAGTTCAACTCTGGGAGTTGAATACAAACATCACCAAAAAGTTCCTGAGAATGCATCTGTCTAGTTTTTCTATGAAGCTATTCCCTTTACTACCATAGGCCTCAAAGCGCTCCAAATCTCCACTTGCACATTCCACAACAAGAGTGTTTCCAAACTGCTCTATCAATAGGAATGTTCAACTCTGTGAGGTGAATGCAATCATCACAAAGCAGTTTCTGAGAATGCTTCCGTTTAGTTAGGTGCAGTTATCCCGTTTCCAACGAAATCCTCAGAGAGGTCCAAATATCCACTTGTAGATTCTACAAAAGGTGTGTCTCAAACCTGCTCCATCCAAAGGAATGTTCAGCTCTGTGAGTTAAACTCAATCATCACAAAGTATTTTCTGAGAATGCTTCTGTCTAGATTTTATGCGAAGATGTACCCGTTTCGAACGAAGGCCACAGAGTGGTCCAAATATCCACTTGCAGATCCTACAAAAAGAGTGTTTCAAACCTGAACTATCAAAGGAAGGTTCAACTCTGGGATTTGAATGCAAACATCACCAAGAAGTTTCTGAGAATGCTTCTGTTTAGTTTTTATGTGAAGATATTCCCGTTTCCAAAGACATCTTCGGAGAGGTCCACATATCCACTTGCAGATTCCACAAAAAGAGAGTTTCAACACTGCTCTATCCATAGGAGGGTTCAACTCTGTGAGTTGAATGCAATCATCACAGAGAAGTTTCTGAGAAGGCTTCTCTCCAGTTTTTATGTGACCATAATTCGTTTTCCACCACAGGCCTGAAAGCGCTCCAAATGTCCACTTGCAGACACTACGAAAAGCATGTTTCAGAACTACTCTATGAAAAGCAACGTGAAACTCTGGGAGTTGAACACAAACATCACAGAGAAGTTTTCTGAGAATGCTTCTGTTTTAGTTCTGTGCGTTTTATCCCGTTTCCAACGAAATCCTCAGAGAGGCCCAAATATCCACTTGCAGATTCCACAGAAAGAGTGATTGGAAACTGCTGTTTGAAAAGGAACCTTCAACTCTGTGAGTTGAATGCAATCATCACAAAGAAGTTTCTGACAATGCTTCTGTTTTAGTTCTGTGCGGTTTATCCCGTTTCCAACGAAATCCTCAGAGAGGACCAAATATCCACTTGCAGTTTCTACAAAAAGAGTGTTTCAAAGCTGCACTATCAAAGAAAGGTTCAGCACTGTGAGTTGAATGCAAACATCACGAAGAGGGCTCTGAGAATGCTTCTGTTTAGTTCTGTGCGGTTTATCCCGTTTCCAACGAAATCCTCAGAGAGGACCAAATATCCACTTGCAGTTTCTACAAGAAGAGTGTTTCAAAGCTGAACTATCAAAGAAAGGTTCAGCACTGTGAGTTGAATGCAAACATCACGAAGAGGGTTCTGAGAATGCTTCTGTCTTCTTTCTATAGGAAGTTATTTCCTTTACTACGGTAGGCCTCAAAGAAGTGCAATTATCCCCTTGCAGTTTCTACAAAAAGAGTGTTTCAAACCTGAACTATCAAAGAAAGGTTCCACACTGTGAGTTGAATGCAGACATCACGAAGAAGGTTCTGAGAATGCTTCTGTTTAGTCAGCTGAAATTATCCCGTTTCCAACGAATTCCTCAGAGAGGTCCAAATATGCACTTGCAGATTCTGCAGAAAGTGTGTTTCTAAACTGCTCCATCGCAAGGAATGTTCAGCTCTGTGAGTTCCACTCAATCATCCCAAAGAATTTTCTGAGAAAGCTTCTGTCTAGATGTCGTGTGAAGATATACCCGTTTCGAACGAAGGACACAGAGTGGTCCAAATATCCACTTGTAGATCCTGCAAAAAGAGTGTTTCAAACGTGAACTTTGAAAGGAAAGTTCAACTCTGGGATTTGAATGCAAACATCACAAAGAAGATTCTGAGACTGCTTCTGTATAGTTTTTATGTGAAGATGATTCCGTTTCCAACGAAATCTTCAAAGAGGTCCACATGTCCCCTTGCAGATGCCACAGAAAGAGAGTTTCAAAACTGCGCTCTCAAAAGGAGTGTTCAACTCCGTGAGTTGAATGCAGTCATCACAGAGAAGCTTCTGAGAATGCTTCTGTCTAGTATTTAGGTGAAGATATTTCCTTTTCCACCACAAACCACAAAGCCCTCCAAACGTCCACTTGCAGATTCTAGAAAAAGAGTGTTTCATAGCTGCTCTTTCCAAAGGAAAGTTCAACTGCTGGGAGTTGAATACAAACATCACCAAAAAGTTACCTGAGAATGCATCTGTCTAGTTTTTCTATGAAGCTATTCCCTTTACTACCATAGGCCCCAAAGCGCTCCAAATCTCCACTTGCACATTCCACAAGAAGAGTGTTTCCAAACTGCTCTATCAATACGAATGTTCAACTCTGTGAGGTGAATGCAATCATCACAAAGCAGTTTCTGAGAATGCTTCCGTTTAGTTAGGTGCAGTTATCCCGTTTCCAACGAAATCCTCAGAGAGGTCCAAATATCCACTTGTAGATTCTACAAAAAGTGTGTCTCAAACCTGCTCCATCCAAAGGAATGTTCAGCTCTGTGAGTTCAACTCAATCATCACAAAGTATTTTCTGAGAATGCTTCTGTCTAGATTTTATGCGAAGATGTACCCGTTTCGAACGAAGGCCACAGAGTGGTCCAAATATCCACTTGCAGATCCTACAAAAAGAGTGTTTCAAACCTGAACTCTCAAAGGAAGGTTCAACTCTGGGATTTGAATGCAAACATCACGAAGAAGTTTCTGAGAATGCTTCTGTTTAGTTTTTATGTGAAGATATTCCCGTTTCCAAAGACATCTTCGGAGAGGTCCACATATCCGCTTGCAGATTCCACAAAAAGAGAGTTTCAACACTGCTCTATCCATAGGAGGGTTCAACTCTGTGAGTTGAATGCAATCATCACAGAGAAGTTTCTGAGAAGGCTTCTCTCCAGTTTTTATGTGACCATAATTCGTTTTCCACCACAGGCCTGAAAGCGCTCCAAATGTCCACTTGCAGACACTACGAAAAGCATGTTTCAGAACTACTCTATGAGAAGCAATGTGAAACTCTGGGAGTTGAACACAAACATCACAGAGAAGTTTCTGAGAATGCTTCTGTTTAGCTTTTCTGTGAAGATTCTCCCGTTTCCAACGAAATCTTCAAAGAGGTCCAAATATCCACTTGCAGATTCCACAGAAAGAGTGATTGGAAACTGCTCTTTGAAAAGGAACCTTCAACTCTGTGACTTGAATGCAATTATCACAAAGAAGTTTCTGACAATGCTTCTATCTAGCTTTTACGGGAAGATAATTCCTTTTCCACCACAGGCCTCAAAGCCCTCCAAATGTCCACTTGCAGATTCTGGAAAAAGAGTGTTTCAAAGCTTCTCTCTCGAAAGGAAAGTTCAACTCTGTGAGTTGAATGCAAGCATCACAAAGAAGTTTCTCAGAATGCTACTGTCTAGCTTTTATATGAAGCTATTTCCTTTACTACCATAGGCCTCAAAGCGGTCCATATCTCCACTTGCAGATTCTACACAAAGAGAGTTTCCAAACTGCTCTGTCAAAGGGAATGTTCAACTCTGTGACTTGAATGCAATCATCACAAAGTAGTTTCTGAGAATGCTTCTGTTTAGTTCTGTGCGGTTTATCCCGTTTCCAACGAAATCCTCAGAGAGGCCCACATATCCACTTGCACATTCTACAAATAGTGTGTTTCGAAACTGCTCCATCCAAAGGAATGTTCAGCTCTGTGAGTTAAACTCAGTCGTCACCAAGAGTTTTCTGTGAATGCTTCTGTTTTAGTTCTGTGCGGTTTATCCCGTTTCCAACGAAATCCTCAGAGAGGTCCAAATATCTACTTGCAGTTTCTACAGAAAGACCGTTTCAAACCTGAACTATCAAAGAAAGGTTCAACACTGTGAGTTGAATGCAAACATCACGAAGAAGGTTCTGAGAATGCTTCTGTTTTAGTTCTGTGCGGTTTATCCCGTTTCCAACGAAATCCTCAGGGAGGACAAAACATCCACTTGCAGTTTCTACAAAAAGAGTGTTTCAAAGCTGCACTATCAAAGAAAGGTTCAGCACTGTGAGTTGAATGCAAACATCACGAAGAGGGCTCTGAGAATGCTTCTGTTTAGTTCTGTGCGGTTTATCCCGTTTCCAACGAAATCCTCAGAGAGGACCAAATATCCACTTGCAGTTTCTACAAGAAGAGTGTTTCAAAGCTGAACTATCAAAGAAAGGTTCAGCACTGTGAGTTGAATGCAAACATCACGAAGAGGGTTCTGAGAATGCTTCTGTCTTCTTTCTATAGGAAGTTATTTCCTTTACTACGGTAGGCCTCAAAGAAGTGCAATTATCCCCTTGCAGTTTCTACAAAAAGAGTGTTTCAAACCTGAACTATCAAAGAAAGGTTCCACACTGTGAGTTGAATGCAGACATCACGAAGAAGGTTCTGAGAATGCGTCTGTTTAGTCAGCTGAAATTATCCCGTTTCCAACGAATTCCTCAGAGAGGTCCAAATATGTACTTGCAGATTCTGCAGAAAGTGTGTTTCTAAACTGCTACATCGCAAGGAATGTTCAGCTCTGTGAGTTCCACTCAATCATCCCAAAGAATTTTCTGAGAAAGCTTCTGTGTAGATGTCATGTGAAGATATACCCGTTTCGAACGAAGGACACAGAGTGGTCCAAATATCCACTTGTAGATCCTGCAAAAAGAGTGTTTCAAACGTGAACTTTGAAAGGAAAGTTCAACTCTGGGATTTGAATGCAAACATCACAAAGAAGATTCTGAGACTGCTTCTGTATAGTTTTGATGTGAAGATGATTCCGTTTCCAACGAAATCTTCAAAGAGGTCCACATGTCCCCTTGCGGATGCCACAGAAAGAGAGTTTCAAAACTGCGCTCTCAAAAGGAGTGTTCAACTCCATGAGTTGAATGCAGTCATCACAGAGAAGCTTCTGAGAATGCTTCTATCTAGTATTTAGGTGAAGATATTTCCTTTCCACCACAAACCACAAAGCCCTCCAAACGTCCACTTGCAGATTCTAGAAAAAGAGTGTTTCATAGCTGCTCTTTCCAAAGGAAAGTTCAACTCTGGGAGTTGAATACAAACATCACCAAAAAGTTCCTGAGAATGCATCTGTCTAGTTTTTCTATGAAGCTATTCCCTTTACTACCATAAGCCTCAAAGCGCTCCAAATCTCCACTTGCACATTCCACAACAAGAGTGTTTCCAAACTGCTCTATCAATAGGAATGTTCAACCCTGTGAGGTGAATGCAATCATCACAAAGCAGTTTCTGAGAATGCTTCCGTTTAGTTAGGTGCAGTTATCCCGTTTCCAACGAAATCCTCAGAGAGGTCCAAATATCCACTTGTAGATTCTACAAAAAGTGTGTCTCAAACCTGCTCCATCCAAAGGAATGTTCAGCTCTGTGAGTTCAACTCAATCATCACAAAGTATTTTCTGAGAATGCTTCTGTCTAGATTTTATGCGAAGATGTACCCGTTTCGAACGAAGGCCACAGGGTGGTCCAAATATCCACTTGCAGATCCTACAAAAAGAGTGTTTCAAACCTGAACTCTCAAAGGAAGGTTCAACTCTGGGATTTGAATGCAAACATCACCAAGAAGTTTCTGAGAATGCTTCTGTTTAGTTTTTATGTGAAGATATTCCCGTTTCCAAAGACATCTTCGGAGAGGTCCACATATCCACTTGCAGATTCCACAAAAAGAGAGTTTCAACACTGCTCTATCCATAGGAGGGTTCAACTCTGTGAGTTGAATGCAATCATCACAGAGAAGTTTCTGAGAAGGCTTCTCTCCAGTTTTTATGTGACCATAATTCGTTTTCCACCACAGGCCTGAAAGCGCTCCAAATGTCCACTTGCAGACACTACGAAAAGCATGTTTCAGAACTACTCTATGAAAAGCAATGTGAAACTCTGGGAGTTGAACACAAACATCACAGAGAAGTTTCTGAGAATGCTTCTGTTTAGCTTTTCTGTGAAGATTCTCCCGTTTCCAACGAAATCTTCAAAGAGGTCCAAATATCCACTTGCAGATTCCACAGAAAGAGTGTTTGGAAACTGCTGTTTGTAAAGGAACCTTCATCTCTGTGAGTTGAATGCAATCATCACAAAGAAGTTTCTGACAATGCTTCTATCTAGCTTTTACGGGAAGTTAATTCCTTTTCCACCACAGGCCTCAAAGCCCTCCAAATGTCCACTTGCAGATTCTGGAAAAAGAGTGTTTCAAAGCTTCTCTCTCGAAAGGAAAGTTCAACTCTGTGAGTTGAATGCAAGCATCACAAAGAAGTTTCTGAGAATGCTACTGTCTAGCTTTTATATGAAGCTATTTCCTTTACTACCATAGGCCTCAAAGCGGTCCATATCTCCACTTGCAGATTCTACACAAAGAGAGTTTCCAAACTGCTCTGTCAAAGGGAATGTTCAACTCTGTGACTTGAATGCAATCGTCACAAAGTAGTTTCTGAGAATGCTTCTTTTTAGTTCTGTGCGGTTTATCCCGTTTCCAACGAAATCCTCAGAGAGGCCCAAATATCCACTTGCACATTCTACAAATAGTGTGTTTCGAAACTGCTCCATCCAAAGGAATGTTCAGCTCTGTGAGTTAAACTCAGTCGTCACCAAGAGTTTTCTGTGAATGCTTCTGTTTTAGTTCTGTGCGGGTTATCCCGTTTCCAACGAAATCCTCAGAGAGGTCCAAATATCTACTTGCAGTTTCTACAGAAAGACCGTTTCAAACCTGAACTATCAAAGAAAGGTTCAACACTGTGAGTTGAATGCAAACATCACGAAGAAGTTCTGAGAATGCTTCTGTTTAGTTCTGTGCAGTTTATCCCGTTTCCAACGAATTCCTCAGAGAGGACCAAATATCCACTTGCAGTTTCTACAAAAAGAGTGTTTCAAAGCTGAACTATCAAAGAAAGGTTCAGCACTGTGAGTTGAATGCAAACATCACGAAGAGGGTTCTGAGAATGCTTCTGTCTTCTTTTTATAGGAAGTTATTTCCTTTACTACGGTACTCCTCAAAGAGTGCAATTATCCCCTTGCAGTTTCTACAAAAAGAGTGTTTCAAACCTGAACTATCAAAGAAAGGTTCCACACTGTGAGTTGAATGCAGACATCACGAAGAAGGTTCTGAGAATGCTTCTGTTTAGTCAGCTGAAATTATCCCGTTTCCAACGAATTCCTCACAGAGGTCCAAATATGCACTTGCAGATTCTGCAGAAAGTGTGTTTCTAAACTGCTACATCGCAAGGAATGCTCAGCTCTGTGAGTTCAACTCAATCATCCCAAAGAATTTTCTGAGAAAGCTTCTGTCTAGATGTCATGTGAAGATATACCCGTTTCGAACGAAGGACACAGAGTGGTCCAAATATCCACTTGTAGATCCTGCAAAAAGAGTGTTTCAAACGTGAACTTTGAAAGGAAAGTTCAACTCGGGGATTTGAATGCAAACATCACAAAGAAGATTCTGAGACTGCTTCTGTATAGTTTTTATGTGAAGATGATTCCGTTTCCAACGAAATCTTCAAAGAGGTCTACATGTCCCCTTGCAGATGCCACAGAAAGAGAGTTTCAAAACTGCGCTCTCAAAAGGAGTGTTCAACTCCGTGAGTTGAATGCAGTCATCACAGAGAAGCTTCTGAGGATGCTTCTATCTAGTATTTAGGTGAAGATATTTCCTTTTCCACCACAAACCACAAAGCCCTCCAAACGTCCACTTGCAGATTCTAGAAAAAGAGTGTTTCATAGCTGCTCTTTCCAAAGGAAAGTTCAACTCTGGGAGTTGAATACAAACATCACCAAAAAGTTCCTGAGAATGCATCTGTCTAGTTTTTCTATGAAGCTATTCCCTTTACTACCACAGGCCTCAAAGCGCTCCAAATCTCCACTTGCACATTCCACAACAAGAGTGTTTCCAAACTGCTCTATCAATAGGAATGTTCAACTCCTGTGAGGTGAATGCAATCATCACAAAGCAGTTTCTGAGAATGCTTTCCGTTTAGTTAGGTGCAGTTATCCCGTTTCCAACGAAATCCTCAGAGAGGTCCAAATATCCACTTGTAGATTCTACAAAAAGTGTGTCTCAAACCTGCTCCATCCAAAGGAATGGTCAGCTCTGTGATTTAAACTCAATCATCACAAAGTATTTTCTGAGAATGCTTCTGTCTAGATTTTATGCGAAGATATACCCGTTTCGAACGAAGGCCACAGAGTGGTCCAAATAGCCACTTGCAGATCCTACAGAAAGAGTGTTTCAAACCTGAACTATCAAAGGAAGGTTCAACTCTGGGATTTGAATGCAAACATCACCAAGAAGTTTCTGAGAATGCTTCTGTTTAGTTTTTATGTGAAGATATTCCCGTTTCCAAAGACATCTTCGGAGAGGTCCACATATCCACTTGCAGATTCCACAAAAAGAGAGTTTCAACACTGCTCTACCCATAGGAGGGTTCAACTCTGTGAGTTGAATGCAATCATCACAGAGAAGTTTCTGAGAAGGCTTCTCTCCAGTTTTTATGTGACCATAATTCGTTTTCCACCACAGGCCTGAAAGCGCTCCAAATGTCCACTTGCAGACACTACGAAAAGCATGTTTCAGAACTACTCTATGAAAAGCAACGTGAAACTCTGGGAGTTGAACACAAACATCACAGAGAAGTTTCTGAGAATGCTTCTGTTTTAGTTCTGTGCGTTTTATCCCGTTTCCAACGAAATCCTCAGAGAGGCCCAAATATCCACTTGCAGATTCCACAGAAAGAGTGATTGGAAACTGCTGTTTGAAAAGGAACCTTCAACTCTGTGAGTTGAATGCAATCATCACAAAGAAGTTTCTGACAATGCTTCTGTTTAGTTCTGTGCGGTTTATCCCGTTTCCAACGAAATCCTCAGAGAGGACCAAATATCCACTTGCAGTTTCTACAAAAAGAGTGTTTCAAAGCTGCACTATCAAAGAAAGGTTCAGCACTGTGAGTTGAATGCAAACATCACGAAGAGGGCTCTGAGAATTCTTCTGTCTTCTTTCTATAGGAAGTTATTTCCTTTACTACGGTAGGCCTCAAAGAAGTGCAATTATCCCCTTGCAGTTTCTACAAAAAGAGTGTTTCAAACCTGAACTATCAAAGAAAGGTTCCACACTGTGAGTTGAATGCACACATCACGAAGAAGGTTCTGAGAATGCTTCTGTTTAGTCAGCTGAAATTATCCCGTTTCCAACGAATTCCTCAGAGAGGTCCAAATATGCACTTGCAGATTCTGCAGAAAGTGTGTTTCTAAACTGCTACATCGCAAGGAATGTTCAGCTCTGTTGAGTTCCACTCAATCATCCCAAAGAATTTTCTGAGAAAGCTTCTGTCTAGATGTCATGTGAAGATATGCCGTTTCGAACGAAGGACACAGAGTGGTCCAAATATCCACTTGTAGATCCTGCAAAAAGAGTGTTTCAAACGTGAACTTTGAAAGGAAAGTTCAACTCTGGGATTTGAATGCAAACATCACAAAGAAGATTCTGAGACTGCTTCTGTATAGTTTTTATGTGAAGATGATTCCGTTTCCAACGAAATCTTCAAAGAGGTCTACATGTCCCCTTGCAGATGCCACAGAAAGAGAGTTTCAAAACTGCGCTCTCAAAAGGAGTGCTCAACTCCGTGAGTTGAATGCAGTCATCACAGAGAAGCTTCTGAGAATGCTTCTATCTAGTATTTAGGTGAAGATATTTCCTTTTCCACCACAAACCACAAAGCCCTCCAAACGTCCACTTGCAGATTCTAGAAAAAGAGTGTTTCATAGCTGCTCTTTCCAAAGGAAAGTTCAACTCTGGGAGTTGAATACAAACATCACCAAAAAGTTCCTGAGAATGCATCTGTCTAGTTTTTCTATGAAGCTATTCCCTTTACTACCATAGGCCTCAAAGCGCTCCAAATCTCCACTTGCACATTCCACAACAAGAGTGTTTCCAAACTGCTCTATCAATAGGAATGTTCAACTCTGTGAGGTGAATGCAATCATCACAAAGCAGTTTCTGAGAATGCTTCCGTTTAGTTAGGTGCAGTTATCCCGTTTCCAACGAAATCCTCCGAGAGGTCCAAATATCCACTTGTAGATTCTACAAAAAGTGTGTCTCAAACCTGCTCCATCCAAAGGAATGTTCAGCTCTGTGATTTAAACTCAATCATCACAAAGTATTTTCTGAGAATGCTTCTGTCTAGATTTTATGCGAAGATATACCCGTTTCGAACGAAGGCCACAGAGTGGTCCAAATAGCCACTTGCAGATCCTACAAAAAGAGTGTTTCAAACCTGAACTATCAAAGGAAGGTTCAACTCTGGGATTTGAATGCAAACATCACCAAGAAGTTTCTGAGAATGCTTCTGTTTAGTTTTTATGTGAAGATATTCCCGTTTCCAAAGACATCTTCGGAGAGGTCCACATATCCACTTGCAGATTCCACAAAAAGAGAGTTTCAACACTGCTCTATCCATAGGAGGGTTCAACTCTGTGAGTTGAATGCAATCATCACAGAGAAGTTTCTGAGAAGGCTTCTCTCCAGTTTTTATGTGACCATAATTCGTTTTCCACCACAGGCCTGAAAGCGCTCCAAATGTCCACTTGCAGACACTACGAAAAGCATGTTTCAGAACTACTCTATGAAAAGGAACGTGAAACTCTGGGAGTTGAACACAAACATCACAGAGAAGTTTCTGAGAATGCTTCTGTTTAGCTTTTCTGTGAAGATTCTCCCGTTTCCAACGAAATCTTCAAAGAGGTCGAAATATCCACTTGCAGATTCCACAGAAAGAGTGATTGGAAACTGCTGTTTGAAAAGGAACCTTCAACTCTGTGAGTTGAATGCAATCATCACAAAGAAGTTTCTGACAATGCTTCTATCTAGCTTTTACGGGAAGATAATTCCTTTTCCTCCACAGGCCTCAAAGCTCCCCAAATGTCCACTTGCACATTCTGGAAAAAGAGTGTTTCAAAGCTTCTCTCTCGAAAGGAAAGTTCAACTCTGTGAGTTGAATGCAAGCATCACAAAGAAGTTTCTGAGAATGCTATTGTCTAGCTTTTATATGAACCTATTTCCATTACTACCATAGGCCCCAAAGCGGTCCATATCTCCACTTGCAGATTCTACACAAAGAGAGTTTCCAAACTGCTCTGTCAAAGGGAATGTTCAAGTCTGTGACTTGAATGCAATCATCACAAAGTAGTTTACTGAGAATGCTTCTGTTTAGTTCTGTGCGGTTTATCCCGTTTCCAACGAAATCCTCAGAGAGGCCCAAATATCCACTTGCACATTCTACAAATAGTGTGTTTCGAAACTGCTCCATCCAAAGGAATGTTCAGCTCTGTGAGTTAAACTCAGTCGTCACCAAGAGTTTTCTGTGAATGCTTCTGTTTAGTTCTGTGCGGTTTATCCCGTTTCCAACGAAATCCTCAGAGAGGACCAAATATCCACTTGCAGTTTCTACAAGAAGAGTGTTTCAAAGCTGAACTATCAAAGAAAGGTTCAGCACTGTGAGTTGAATGCAAACATCACGAAGAGGGTTCTGAGAATGCTTCTGTCTTCTTTCTATAGGAAGTTATTTCCTTTACTACGGTAGGCCTCAAAGAAGTGCAATTATCCCCTTGCAGTTTCTACAAAAAGAGTGTTTCAAACCTGAACTATCAAAGAAAGGTTCCACACTGTGAGTTGAATGCAGACATCACGAAGAAGGTTCTGAGAATGCTTCTGTTTAGTCAGCTGAAATTATCCCGTTTCCAACGAATTCCTCAGAGAGGTCCAAATATGCACTTGCAGATTCTGCAGAAAGTGTGTTTCTAAACTGCTACATCGCAAGGAATGTTCAGCTCTGTGAGTTCCACTCAATCATCCCAAAGAATTTTCTGAGAAAGCTTCTGTCTAGATGTCGTGTGAAGATATACCCGTTTCGAACGAAGGACACAGAGTGGTCCAAATATCCACTTGTAGATCCTGCAAAAAGAGTGTTTCAAACGTGAACTTTGAAAGGAAAGTTCAACTCTGGGATTTGAATGCAAACATCACAAAGAAGATTCTGAGACTGCTTCTGTACAGTTTTTATGTGAAGATGATTCCGTTTCCAACGAAATCTTCAAAGAGGTCCACATGTCCCCTTGCGGATGCCACAGAAAGAGAGTTTCAAAACTGCGCTCTCAAAAGGAGTGTTCAACTCCGTGAGTTGAATGCAGTCATCACAGAGAAGCTTCTGAGAATGCTTCTATCTAGTATTTAGGTGAAGATATTTCCTTTTCCACCACAAACCACAAAGCCCTCCAAACGTCCACTTGCAGATTCTAGAAAAAGAGTGTTTCATAGCTGCTCTTTCCAAAGGAAAGTTCAACTCTGGGAGTTGAATACAAACATCACCAAAAAGAAGTTCCTGAGAATGCATCTGTCTAGTTTTTCTATGAAGCTATTCCCTTTACTACCACAGGCCTCAAAGCGCTCCAAATCTCCACTTGCACATTCCACAACAAGAGTGTTTCCAAACTGCTCTATCAATAGGAATGTTCAACTCTGTGAGGTGAATGCAATCATCACAAAGCAGTTTCTGAGAATGCTTCCGTTTAGTTAGGTGCAGTTATCCCGTTTCCAACGAAATCCTCAGAGAGGTCCAAATATCCACTTGTAGATTCTACAAAAAGTGTGTCTCAAACCTGCTCCATCCAAAGGAATGGTCAGCTCTGTGATTTAAACTCAATCATCACAAAGTATTTTCTGAGAATGCTTCTGTCTAGATTTTATGCGAAGATATACCCGTTTCGAACGAAGGCCACAGAGTGGTCCAAATAGCCACTTGCAGATCCTACAGAAAGAGTGTTTCAAACCTGAACTATCAAAGGAAGGTTCAACTCTGGGATTTGAATGCAAACATCACCAAGAAGTTTCTGAGAATGCTTCTGTTTAGTTTTTATGTGAAGATATTCCCGTTTCCAAAGACATCTTCGGAGAGGTCCACATATCCACTTGCAGATTCCACAAAAAGAGAGTTTCAACACTGCTCTATCCATAGGAGGGTTCAACTCTGTGAGTTGAATGCAATCATCACAGAGAAGTTTCTGAGAAGGCTTCTCTCCAGTTTTTATGTGACCATAATTCGTTTTCCACCACAGGCCTGAAAGCGCTCCAAATGTCCACTTGCAGACACTACGAAAAGCATGTTTCAGAACTACTCTATGAAAAGCAACGTGAAACTCTGGGAGTTGAACACAAACATCACAGAGAAGTTTCTGAGAATGCTTCTGTTTTAGTTCTGTGCGTTTTATCCCGTTTCCAACGAAATCCTCAGAGAGGCCCAAATATCCACTTGCAGATTCCACAGAAAGAGTGATTGGAAACTGCTGTTTGAAAAGGAACCTTCAACTCTGTGAGTTGAATGCAATCATCACAAAGAAGTTTCTGACAATGCTTCTGTTTTAGTTCTGTGCGGTTTATCCCGTTTCCAACGAAATCCTCAGAGAGGACCAAACATCCACTTGCAGTTTCTACAAAAAGAGTGTTTCAAAGCTGCACTATCAAAGAAAGGTTCAGCACTGTGAGTTGAATGCAAACATCACGAAGAGGGCTCTGAGAATTCTTCTGTTTAGTTCTGTGCGGTTTATCCCGTTTCCAACGAAATCCTCAGAGAGGACCAAATATCCACTTGCAGTTTCTACAAGAAGAGTGTTTCAAAGCTGAACTATCAAAGAAAGGTTCAGCACTGTGAGTTGAATGCAAACATCACGAAGAGGGTTCTGAGAATGCTTCTGTCTTCTTTCTATAGGAAGTTATTTCCTTTACTACGGTAGGCCTCAAAGAAGTGCAATTATCCCCTTGCAGTTTCTACAAAAAGAGTGTTTCAAACCTGAACTATCAAAGAAAGGTTCCACACTGTGAGTTGAATGCAGACATCACGAAGAAGGTTCTGAGAATGCTTCTGTTTAGTCAGCTGAAATTATCCCGTTTCCAACGAATTCCTCAGAGAGGTCCAAATATGCACTTGCAGATTCTGCAGAAAGTGTGTTTCTAAACTGCTACATCGCAAGGAATGTTCAGCTCTGTGAGTTCCACTCAATCATCCCAAAGAATTTTCTGAGAAAGCTTCTGTCTAGATGTCGTGTGAAGATATACCCGTTTCGAACGAAGGACACAGAGTGGTCCAAATATCCACTTGTAGATCCTGCAAAAAGAGTGTTTCAAACGTGAACTTTGAAAGGAAAGTTCAACTCTGGGATTTGAATGCAAACATCACAAAGAAGATTCTGAGACTGCTTCTGTATAGTTTTTATGTGAAGATGATTCCGTTTCCAACGAAATCTTCAAAGAGGTCTACATGTCCCCTTGCAGATGCCACAGAAAGAGAGTTTCAAAACTGCGCTCTCAAAAGGAGTGTTCAACTCCGTGAGTTGAATGCAGTCATCACAGAGAAGCTTCTGAGAATGCTTCTATCTAGTATTTAGGTGAAGATATTTCCTTTCCACCACAAACCACAAAGCCCTCCAAACGTCCACTTGCAGATTCTAGAGAAACAGTGTCTCATAGCTGCTCTTTCCAAAGGAAAGTTCAACTCTGGGAGTTGAATACAAACATCACCAAAAAGTTCCTGAGAATGCATCTGTCTAGTTTTTCTATGAAGCTATTCCCTTTACTACCATAGGCCTCAAAGCGCTCCAAATCTCCACTTGCACATTCCACAACAAGAGTGTTTCCAAACTGCTCTATCAATAGGAATGTTCAACTGCTGTGAGGTGAATGCAATCATCACAAAGCAGTTTCTGAGAATGCTTCCGTTTAGTTAGGTGCAGTTATCCCGTTTCCAACGAAATCCTCAGAGAGGTCCAAATATCCACTTGTAGATTCTACAAAAAGTGTGTCTCAAACCTGCTCCATCCAAAGGAATGGTCAGCTCTGTGATTTAAACTCAATCATCACAAAGTATTTTCTGAGAATGCTTCTGTCTAGATTTTATGCGAAGATATACCCGTTTCGAACGAAGGCCACAGAGTGGTCCAAATAGCCACTTGCAGATCCTACAGAAAGAGTGTTTCAAACCTGAACTATCAAAGGAAGGTTCAACTCTGGGATTTGAATGCAAACATCACCAAGAAGTTTCTGAGAATGCTTCTGTTTAGTTTTTATGTGAAGATATTCCCGTTTCCAAAGACATCTTCGGAGAGGTCCACATATCCACTTGCAGATTCCACAAAAAGAGAGTTTCAACACTGCTCTATCCATAGGAGGGTTCAACTCTGTGAGTTGAATGCAATCATCACAGAGAAGTTTCTGAGAAGGCTTCTCTCCAGTTTTTATGTGACCATAATTCGTTTTCCACCACAGGCCTGAAAGCGCTCCAAATGTCCACTTGCAGACACTACGAAAAGCATGTTTCAGAACTACTCTATGAAAAGCAACGTGAAACTCTGGGAGTTGAACACAAACATCACAGAGAAGTTTCTGAGAATGCTTCTGTTTTAGTTCTGTGCGTTTTATCCCGTTTCCAACGAAATCCTCAGAGAGGCCCAAATATCCACTTGCAGATTCCACAGAAAGAGTGATTGGAAACTGCTGTTTGAAAAGGAACCTTCAACTCTGTGAGTTGAATGCAATCATCACAAAGAAGTTTCTGACAATGCTTCTGTTTTAGTTCTGTGCGGTTTATCCCGTTTCCAACGAAATCCTCAGAGAGGACCAAACATCCACTTGCAGTTTCTACAAAAAGAGTGTTTCAAAGCTGCACTATCAAAGAAAGGTTCAGCACTGTGAGTTGAATGCAAACATCACGAAGAGGGCTCTGAGAATTCTTCTGTTTAGTTCTGTGCGGTTTATCCCGTTTCCAACGAAATCCTCAGAGAGGACCAAATATCCACTTGCAGTTTCTACAAGAAGAGTGTTTCAAAGCTGAACTATCAAAGAAAGGTTCAGCACTGTGAGTTGAATGCAAACATCACGAAGAGGGTTCTGAGAATGCTTCTGTCTTCTTTCTATAGGAAGTTATTTCCTTTACTACGGTAGGCCTCAAAGAAGTGCAATTATCCCCTTGCAGTTTCTACAAAAAGAGTGTTTCAAACCTGAACTATCAAAGAAAGGTTCCACACTGTGAGTTGAATGCAGACATCACGAAGAAGGTTCTGAGAATGCTTCTGTTTAGTCAGCTGAAATTATCCCGTTTCCAACGAATTCCTCAGAGAGGTCCAAATATGCACTTGCAGATTCTGCAGAAAGTGTGTTTCTAAACTGCTACATCGCAAGGAATGTTCAGCTCTGTGAGTTCCACTCAATCATCCCAAAGAATTTTCTGAGAAAGCTTCTGTCTAGATGTCGTGTGAAGATATACCCGTTTCGAACGAAGGACACAGAGTGGTCCAAATATCCACTTGTAGATCCTGCAAAAAGAGTGTTTCAAACGTGAACTTTGAAAGGAAAGTTCAACTCTGGGATTTGAATGCAAACATCACAAAGAAGATTCTGAGACTGCTTCTGTATAGTTTTTATGTGAAGATGATTCCGTTTCCAACGAAATCTTCAAAGAGGTCTACATGTCCCCTTGCAGATGCCACAGAAAGAGAGTTTCAAAACTGCGCTCTCAAAAGGAGTGTTCAACTCCGTGAGTTGAATGCAGTCATCACAGAGAAGCTTCTGAGAATGCTTCTATCTAGTATTTAGGTGAAGATATTTCCTTTTCCACCACAAACCACAAAGCCCTCCAAACGTCCACTTGCAGATTCTAGAAAAAGAGTGTTTCATAGCTGCTCTTTCCAAAGGAAAGTTCAACTCTGGGAGTTGAATACAAACATCACCAAAAAGTTCCTGAGAATGCATCTGTCTAGTTTTTCTATGAAGCTATTCCCTTTACTACCATAGGCCTCAAAGCGCTCCAAATCTCCACTTGCACATTCCACAACAAGAGTGTTTCCAAACTGCTCTATCAATAGGAATGTTCAACTCTGTGAGGTGAATGCAATCATCACAAAGCAGTTTCTGAGAATGCTTCCGTTTAGTTAGGTGCAGTTATCGCGTTTCCAACGAAATCCTCAGAGAGGTCCAAATATCCACTTGTAGATTCTACAAAAAGTGTGTCTCAAACCTGCTCCATCCAAAGGAATGTTCAGCTCTGTGAGTTAAACTCAATCATCACAAAGTATTTTCTGAGAATGCTTCTGTCTAGATTTTATGTGAAGATGTACCCGTTTCGAACGAAGGCCACAGAGTGGTCCAAATATCCACTTGCAGATCCTACAAAAAGAGTGTTTCAAACCTGAACTATCACAGGAAGGTTCAACTCTGGGATTTGAATGCAAACATCACCAAGAAGTTTCTGAGAATGCTTCTGTTTAGTTTTTATGTGAAGATATTCCCGTTTCCAAAGTACATCTTCGGAGAGGTCCACATATCCACTTGCAGATTCCACAAAAAGAGAGTTTCAACAATGCTCTATCCATAGGAGGGTTCAAATCTGTGAGTTGAATGCAATCATCACAGAGAAGTTTCTGAGAAGGCTTCTCTCCAGTTTTTATGGGACCATAATTCGTTTTCCACCACAGGCCTGAAAGCGCTCCAAATGTCCACTTGCAGACACTACGAAAAGCATGTTTCAGAACTACTCTATGAAAAGCAATGTGAAACTCTGGGAGTTGAACACAAACATCACAGAGAAGTTTCTGAGAATGCTTCTGTTTAGCTTTTCTGTGAAGATTCTCCCGTTTCCAACGAAATCTTCAAAGAGGTCCAAATATCCACTTGCAGATTCCACAGAAAGAGTGTTTGGAAACTGCTGTTTGTAAAGGAACCTTCATCTCTGTGAGTTGAATGCAATCATCACAAAGAAGTTTCTGACAATGCTTCTATCTAGCTTTTAAGGGAAGTTAATTCCTTTTCCACCACAGGCCTCAAAGCCCTCCAAATGTCCACTTGCAGATTCTGGAAAAAGAGTGTTTCAAAGCTTCTCTCTCGAAAGGAAAGTTCAACTCTGTGAGTTGAATGCAAGCATCACAAAGAAGTTTCTGAGAATGCTACTGTCTAGCTTTTATATGAAGCTATTTCCTTTACTACCATAGGCCTCAAAGCGGTCCATATCTCCACTTGCAGATTCTACACAAAGAGAGTTTCCAAACTGCTCTGTCAAAGGGAATGTTCAACTCTGTGACTTGAATGCAATCATCACAAAGTAGTTTCTGAGAATGCTTCTGTTTAGTTCTGTGCGGTTTATCCCGTTTCCAACGAAATCCTCAGAGAGGCCTAAATATCCACTTGCACATTCTACAAATAGTGTGTTTCAAAACTGCTCCATCCAAAGGAATGTTCAGCTCTGTGAGTTAAACTCAGTCGTCACCAAGAGTTTTCTGTGAATGCTTCTGTTTTAGTTCTGTGCGGGTTATCCCGTTTCCAACGAAATCCTCAGAGAGGTCCAAATATCTACTTGCAGTTTCTACAGAAAGACCGTTTCAAACCTGAACTATCAAAGAAAGGTTCAACACTGTGAGTTGAATGCAAACATCACGAAGAAGGTTCTGAGAATGCTTCTGTTTAGTTCTGTGCAGTTTATCCCGTTTCCAACGAAATGCTCAGAGAGGACCAAATATCCACTTGCAGTTTCTACAAAAAGAGTGTTTCAAAGCTGAACTATCAAAGAAAGGTTCAGCACTGTGAGTTGAATGCAAACATCACGAAGAGGGTTCTGAGAATGCTTCTGTCTTCTTTTTATAGGAAGTTATTTCCTTTACTACGGTACTCCTCAAAGAGTGCAATTATCCCCTTGCAGTTTCTACAAAAAGAGTGTTTCAAACCTGAACTATCAAAGAAAGGTTCCACACTGTGAGTTGAATGCAGACATCACGAAGAAGGTTCTGAGAATGCTTCTGTTTAGTCAGCTGAAATTATCCCGTTTCCAACGAATTCCTCAGAGAGGTCCAAATATGCACTTGCAGATTCTGCAGAAAGTGTGTTTCTAAACTGCTACATCGCAAGGAATGTTCAGCTCTGTGAGTTCCACTCAATCATCCCAAAGAATTTTCTGAGAAAGCTTCTGTCTAGATGTCATGTGAAGATATACCCGTTTCGAACGAAGGACACAGAGTGGTCCAAATATCCACTTGTAGATCCTGCAAAAAGAGTGTTTCAAACGTGAACTTTGAAAGGAAAGTTCAACTCTGGGATTTGAATGCAAACACCACAAAGAAGATTCTGAGACTGCTTCTGTATAGTTTTTATGTGAAGATGATTCCGTTTCCAACGAAATCTTCAAAGAGGTCTACATGTCCCCTTGCAGATGCCACAGAAAGAGAGTTTCAAAACTGCGCTCTCAAAAGGAGTGTTCAACTCCGTGAGTTGAATGCAGTCATCACAGAGAAGCTTCTGAGAATGCTTCTATCTAGTATTTAGGTGAAGATATTTCCTTTTCCACCACAAACCACAAAGCCCTCCAAACGTCCACTTGCAGATTCTACAAAAAGAGTGTTTCATAGCTGCTCTTTCCAAAGGAAAGTTCAACTCTGGGAGTTGAATACAAACATCACCAAAAAGTTCCTGAGAATGCATCTGTCTAGTTTTTCTATGAAGCTATTCCCTTTACTACCATAGGCCTCAAAGCGCTCCAAATCTCCACTTGCACATTCCACAACAAGAGTGTTTCCAAACTGCTCTATCAATAGGAATGTTCAACTCTGTGAGGTGAATGCAATCATCACAAAGCAGTTTCTGAGAATGCTTCCGTTTAGTTAGGTGCAGTTATCCCGTTTCCAACGAAATCCTCAGAGAGGTCCAAATATCCACTTGTAGATTCTACAAAAAGTGTGTCTCAAACCTGCTCCATCCAAAGGAATGTTCAGCTCTGTGATTTAAACTCAATCATCACAAAGTATTTTCTGAGAATGCTTCTGTCTAGATTTTATGCGAAGATATACCAGTTTCGAACGAAGG
The DNA here is from genome assembly GCF_000001405.40 of Homo sapiens. Classification (NCBI taxonomy): domain Eukaryota; kingdom Metazoa; phylum Chordata; class Mammalia; order Primates; family Hominidae; genus Homo; species Homo sapiens. The sequence continues at coordinate 24,847,337 of NC_000017.11, read as the reverse complement.
CCACAGAGTGGTCCAAATAGCCACTTGCAGATCCTACAAAAAGAGTGTTTCAAACCTGAACTATCAAAGGAAGGTTCAACTCTGGGATTTGAATGCAAACATCACCAAGAAGTTTCTGAGAATGCTTCTGTTTAGTTTTTATGTGAAGATATTCCCGTTTCCAAAGACATCTTCGGAGAGGTCCACATATCCACTTGCAGATTCCACAAAAAGAGAGTTTCAACACTGCTCTATCCATAGGAGGGTTCAACTCTGTGAGTTGAATGCAATCATCACAGAGAAGTTTCTGAGAAGGCTTCTCTCCAGTTTTTATGTGACCATAATTCGTTTTCCACCACAGGCCTGAAAGCGCTCCAAATGTCCACTTGCAGACACTACGAAAAGCATGTTTCAGAACTACTCTATGAAAAGCAACGTGAAACTCTGGGAGTTGAACACAAACATCACAGAGAAGTTTCTGAGAATGCTTCTGTTTTAGTTCTGTGCGTTTTATCCCGTTTCCAACGAAATCCTCAGAGAGGCCCAAATATCCACTTGCAGATTCCACAGAAAGAGTGATTGGAAACTGCTGTTTGAAAAGGAACCTTCAACTCTGTGAGTTGAATGCAATCATCACAAAGAAGTTTCTGACAATGCTTCTGTTTTAGTTCTGTGCGGTTTATCCCGTTTCCAACGAAATCCTCAGAGAGGACCAAATATCCACTTGCAGTTTCTACAAAAAGAGTGTTTCAAAGCTGCACTATCAAAGAAAGGTTCAGCACTGTGAGTTGAATGCAAACATCACGAAGAGGGCTCTGAGAATTCTTCTGTTTAGTTCTGTGCGGTTTATCCCGTTTCCAACGAAATCCTCAGAGAGGACCAAATATCCACTTGCAGTTTCTACAAGAAGAGTGTTTCAAAGCTGAACTATCAAAGAAAGGTTCAGCACTGTGAGTTGAATGCAAACATCACGAAGAGGGTTCTGAGAATGCTTCTGTCTTCTTTCTATAGGAAGTTATTTCCTTTACTACGGTAGGCCTCAAAGAAGTGCAATTATCCCCTTGCAGTTTCTACAAAAAGAGTGTTTCAAACCTGAACTATCAAAGAAAGGTTCCACACTGTGAGTTGAATGCAGACATCACGAAGAAGGTTCTGAGAATGCTTCTGTTTAGTCAGCTGAAATTATCCCGTTTCCAACGAATTCCTCAGAGAGGTCCAAATATGCACTTGCAGATTCTGCAGAAAGTGTGTTTCTAAACTGCTACATCGCAAGGAATGTTCAGCTCTGTGAGTTCCACTCAATCATCCCAAAGAATTTTCTGAGAAAGCTTCTGTCTAGATGTCGTGTGAAGATATACCCGTTTCGAACGAAGGACACAGAGTGGTCCAAATATCCACTTGTAGATCCTGCAAAAAGAGTGTTTCAAACGTGAACTTTGAAAGGAAAGTTCAACTCTGGGATTTGAATGCAAACATCACAAAGAAGATTCTGAGACTGCTTCTGTATAGTTTTTATGTGAAGATGATTCCGTTTCCAACGAAATCTTCAAAGAGGTCTACATGTCCCCTTGCAGATGCCACAGAAAGAGAGTTTCAAAACTGCGCTCTCAAAAGGAGTGTTCAAATCCGTGAGTTGAATGCAGTCATCACAGAGAAGCTTCTGAGAATGCTTCTATCTAGTATTTAGGTGAAGATATTTCCTTTTCCACCACAAACCACAAAGCCCTCCAAACGTCCACTTGCAGATTCTAGAAAAAGAGTGTTTCATAGCTGCTCTTTCCAAAGGAAAGTTCAACTCTGGGAGTTGAATACAAACATCACCAAAAAGTTCCTGAGAATGCATCTGTCTAGTTTTTCTATGAAGCTATTCCCTTTACTACCACAGGCCTCAAAGCGCTCCAAATCTCCACTTGCACATTCCACAACAAGAGTGTTTCCAAACTGCTCTATCAATAGGAATGTTCAACTCTGTGAGGTGAATGCAATCATCACAAAGCAGTTTCTGAGAATGCTTCCGTTTAGTTAGGTGCAGTTATCCCGTTTCCAACGAAATCCTCAGAGAGGTCCAAATATCCACTTGTAGATTCTACAAAAAGTGTGTCTCAAACCTGCTCCATCCAAAGGAATGTTCAGCTCTGTGATTTTAACTCAATCATCACAAAGTATTTTCTGAGAATGCTTCTGTCTAGATTTTATGCGAAGATATACCCGTTTCGAACGAAGGCCACAGAGTGGTCCAAATAGCCACTTGCAGATCCTACAGAAAGAGTGTTTCAAACCTGAACTATCAAAGGAAGGTTCAACTCTGGGATTTGAATGCAAACATCACCAAGAAGTTTCTGAGAATGCTTCTGTTTAGTTTTTATGTGAAGATATTCCCGTTTCCAAAGACATCTTCGGAGAGGTCCACATATCCACTTGCAGGTTCCACAAAAAGAGAGTTTCAACACTGCTCTATCCATAGGAGGGTTCAACTCTGTGAGTTGAATGCAATCATCACAGAGAAGTTTCTGAGAAGGCTTCTCTCCAGTTTTTATGTGACCATAATTCGTTTTCCACCACAGGCCTGAAAGCGCTCCAAATGTCCACTTGCAGACACTACGAAAAGCATGTTTCAGAACTACTCTATGAAAAGCAACGTGAAACTCTGGGAGTTGAACACAAACATCACAGAGAAGTTTCTGAGAATGCTTCTGTTTTAGTTCTGTGCGTTTTATCCCGTTTCCAACGAAATCCTCAGAGAGGCCCAAATATCCACTTGCAGATTCCACAGAAAGAGTGATTGGAAACTGCTGTTTGAAAAGGAACCTTCAACTCTGTGAGTTGAATGCAATCATCACAAAGAAGTTTCTGACAATGCTTCTGTTTTAGTTCTGTGCGGTTTATCCCGTTTCCAACGAAATCCTCAGAGAGGACCAAACATCCACTTGCAGTTTCTACAAAAAGAGTGTTTCAAAGCTGCACTATCAAAGAAAGGTTCAGCACTGTGAGTTGAATGCAAACATCACGAAGAGGGCTCTGAGAATTCTTCTGTTTAGTTCTGTGCGGTTTATCCCGTTTCCAACGAAATCCTCAGAGAGGACCAAATATCCACTTGCAGTTTCTACAAGAAGAGTGTTTCAAAGCTGAACTATCAAAGAAAGGTTCAGCACTGTGAGTTGAATGCAAACATCACGAAGAGGGTTCTGAGAATGCTTCTGTCTTCTTTCTATAGGAAGTTATTTCCTTTACTACGGTAGGCCTCAAAGAAGTGCAATTATCCCCTTGCAGTTTCTACAAAAAGAGTGTTTCAAACCTGAACTATCAAAGAAAGGTTCCACACTGTGAGTTGAATGCAGACATCACGAAGAAGGTTCTGAGAATGCTTCTGTTTAGTCAGCTGAAATTATCCCGTTTCCAACGAATTCCTCAGAGAGGTCCAAATATGCACTTGCAGATTCTGCAGAAAGTGTGTTTCTAAACTGCTACATCGCAAGGAATGTTCAGCTCTGTGAGTTCCACTCAATCATCCCAAAGAATTTTCTGAGAAAGCTTCTGTCTAGATGTCGTGTGAAGATATACCCGTTTCGAACGAAGGACACAGAGTGGTCCAAATATCCACTTGTAGATCCTGCAAAAAGAGTGTTTCAAACGTGAACTTTGAAAGGAAAGTTCAACTCTGGGATTTGAATGCAAACATCACAAAGAAGATTCTGAGACTGCTTCTGTATAGTTTTTATGTGAAGATGATTCCGTTTCCAACGAAACCTTCAAAGAGGTCTACATGTCCCCTTGCAGATGCCACAGAAAGAGAGTTTCAAAACTGCGCTCTCAAAAGGAGTGTTCAACTCCGTGAGTTGAATGCAGTCATCACAGAGAAGCTTCTGAGAATGCTTCTATCTAGTATTTAGGTGAAGATATTTCCTTTTCCACCACAAACCACAAAGCCCTCCAAACGTCCACTTGCAGATTCTAGAAAAAGAGTGTTTCATAGCTGCTCTTTCCAAAGGAAAGTTCAACTCTGGGAGTTGAATACAAACATCACCAAAAAGTTCCTGAGAATGCATCTGTCTAGTTTTTCTATGAAGCTATTCCCTTTACTACCATAGGCCTCAAAGCGCTCCAAATCTCCACTTGCACATTCCACAACAAGAGTGTTTCCAAACTGCTCTATCAATAGGAATGTTCAACTCTGTGAGGTGAATGCAATCATCACAAAGCAGTTTCTGAGAATGCTTCCGTTTAGTTAGGTGCAGTTATCCCGTTTCCAACGAAATCCTCAGAGAGGTCCAAATATCCACTTGTAGATTCTACAAAAAGTGTGTCTCAAACCTGCTCCATCCAAAGGAATGTTCAGCTCTGTGATTTAAACTCAATCATCACAAAGTATTTTCTGAGAATGTTTCTGTCTAGATTTTATGCGAAGATGTACCCGTTTCGAACGAAGGCCACAGAGTGGTCCAAATATCCACTTGCAGATCCTACAAAAAGAGTGTTTCAAACCTGAACTATCAAAGGAAGGTTCAACTCTGGGATTTGAATGCAAACATCACCAAGAAGTTTCTGAGAATGCTTCTGTTTAGTTTTTATGTGAAGATATTCCCGTTTCCAAAGACATCTTCGGAGAGGTCCACATATCCACTTGCAGATTCCACAAAAAGAGAGTTTCAACACTGCTCTATCCATAGGAGGGTTCAACTCTGTGAGTTGAATGCAATCATCACAGAGAAGTTTCTGAGAAGGCTTCTCTCCAGTTTTTATGTGACCATAATTCGTTTTCCACCACAGGCCTGAAAGCGCTCCAAATGTCCACTTGTAGACACTACGAAAAGCATGTTTCAGAACTACTCTATGAAAAGCAATGTGAAACTCTGGGAGTTGAACACAAACATCACAGAGAAGTTTCTGAGAATGCTTCTGTTTAGCTTTTCTGTGAAGATTCTCCCGTTTCCAACGAAATCTTCAAAGAGGTCCAAATATCCACTTGCAGATTCCACAGAAAGAGTGATTGGAAACTGCTCTTTGAAAAGGAACCTTCAACCCTGTGAGTTGAATGCAATCATCACAAAGAAGTTTCTGACAATGCTTCTATCTAGCTTTTACGGGAAGATAATTCCTTTTCCACCACAGGCCTCAAAGCCCTCCAAATGTCCACTTGCAGATTCTGGAAAAAGAGTGTTTCAAAGCTTCTCTCTCGAAAGGAAAGTTCAACTCTGTGAGTTGAATGCAAGCATCACAAAGAAGTTTCTGAGAATGCTACTGTCTAGCTTTTATATGAAGCTATTTCCTTTACTACCATAGGCCTCAAAGCGGTCCATATCTCCACTTGCAGATTCTACACAAAGAGAGTTTCCAAACTGCTCTGTCAAAGGGAATGTTCAACTCTGTGACTTGAATGCAATCATCACAAAGTAGTTTCTGAGAATGCTTCTGTTTAGTTCTGTGCGGTTTATCCCGTTTCCAACGAAATCCTCAGAGAGGCCCAAATATCCACTTGCACATCCTACAAATAGTGTGTTTCGAAACTGCTCCATCCAAAGGAATGTTCAGCTCTGTGAGTTAAACTCAGTCGTCACCAAGAGTTTTCTGTGAATGCTTCTGTTTTAGTTCTGTGCGGGTTATCCCGTTTCCAACGAAATCCTCAGAGAGGTCCAAATATCTACTTGCAGTTTCTACAGAAAGACCGTTTCAAACCTGAACTATCAAAGAAAGGTTCAACACTGTGAGTTGAATGCAAACATCACGAAGAAGGTTCTGAGAATGCTTCTGTTTAGTTCTGTGCGGTTTATCCCGTTTCCAACGAAATCCTCAGAGAGGACCAAATATCCACTTGCAGTTTCTACAAGAAGAGTGTTTCAAAGCTGAACTATCAAAGAAAGATTCAGCACTGTGAGTTGAATGCAAACATCACGAAGAGGGTTCTGAGAATGCTTCTGTCTTCTTTCTATAGGAAGTTATTTCCTTTACTACGGTAGGCCTCAAAGAAGTGCAATTATCCCCTTGCAGTTTCTACAAAAAGAGTGTTTCAAACCTGAACTATCAAAGAAAGGTTCCACACTGTGAGTTGAATGCAGACATCACGAAGAAGGTTCTGAGAATGCTTCTGTTTAGTCAGCTGAAATTATCCCGTTTCCAACGAATTCCTCAGAGAGGTCCAAATATGCACTTGCAGATTCTGCAGAAAGTGTGTTTCTAAACTGCTACATCGCAAGGAATGTTCAGCTCTGTGAGTTCCACTCAATCATCCCAAAGAATTTTCTGAGAAAGCTTCTGTCTAGATGTCGTGTGAAGATATACCCGTTTCGAACGAAGGACACAGAGTGGTCCAAATATCCACTTGTAGATCCTGCAAAAAGAGTGTTTCAAACGTGAACTTTGAAAGGAAAGTTCAACTCTGGGATTTGAATGCAAACATCACAAAGAAGATTCTGAGACTGCTTCTGTATAGTTTTTATGTGAAGATGATTCCGTTTCCAACGAAATCTTCAAAGAGGTCTACATGTCCCCTTGCAGATGCCACAGAAAGAGAGTTTCAAAACTACGCTCTCAAAAGGAGTGTTCAACTCCGTGAGTTGAATGCAGTCATCACAGAGAAGCTTCTGAGAATGCTTCTATCTAGTATTTAGGTGAAGATATTTCCTTTTCCACCACAAACCACAAAGCCCTCCAAACGTCCACTTGCAGATTCTAGAAAAAGAGTGTTTCATAGCTGCTCTTTCCAAAGGAAAGTTCAACTCTGGGAGTTGAATACAAACATCACCAAAAAGTTCCTGAGAATGCATCTGTCTAGTTTTTCTATGAAGCTATTCCCTTTACTACCATAGGCCTCAAAGCGCTCCAAATCTCCACTTGCACATTCCACAACAAGAGTGTTTCCAAACTGCTCTATCAATAGGAATGTTCAACTCTGTGAGGTGAATGCAATCATCACAAAGCAGTTTCTGAGAATGCTTCCGTTTAGTTAGGTGCAGTTATCCCGTTTCCAACGAAATCCTCAGAGAGGTCCAAATATCCACTTGTAGATTCTACAAAAAGTGTGTCTCAAACCTGCTCCATCCAAAGGAATGGTCAGCTCTGTGATTTAAACTCAATCATCACAAAGTATTTTCTGAGAATGCTTCTGTCTAGATTTTATGCGAAGATATACCCGTTTCGAACGAAGGCCACAGAGTGGTCCAAATAGCCACTTGCAGATCCTACAGAAAGAGTGTTTCAAACCTGAACTATCAAAGGAAGGTTCAACTCTGGGATTTGAATGCAAACATCACCAAGAAGTTTCTGAGAATGCTTCTGTTTAGTTTTTATGTGAAGATATTCCCGTTTCCAAAGACATCTTCGGAGAGGTCCACATATCCACTTGCAGATTCCACAAAAAGAGAGTTTCAACACTGCTCTATCCATAGGAGGGTTCAACTCTGTGAGTTGAATGCAATCATCACAGAGAAGTTTCTGAGAAGGCTTCTCTCCAGTTTTTATGTGACCATAATTCGTTTTCCACCACAGGCCTGAAAGCGCTCCAAATGTCCACTTGCAGACACTACGAAAAGCATGTTTCAGAACTACTCTATGAAAAGCAACGTGAAACTCTGGGAGTTGAACACAAACATCACAGAGAAGTTTCTGAGAATGCTTCTGTTTTAGTTCTGTGCGTTTTATCCCGTTTCCAACGAAATCCTCAGAGAGGCCCAAATATCCACTTGCAGATTCCACAGAAAGAGTGATTGGAAACTGCTGTTTGAAAAGGAACCTTCAACTCTGTGAGTTGAATGCAATCATCACAAAGAAGTTTCTGACAATGCTTCTGTTTTAGTTCTGTGCGGTTTATCCCGTTTCCAACGAAATCCTCAGAGAGGACCAAATATCCACTTGCAGTTTCTACAAAAAGAGTGTTTCAAAGCTGCACTATCAAAGAAAGGTTCAGCACTGTGAGTTGAATGCAAACATCACGAAGAGGGCTCTGAGAATTCTTCTGTTTAGTTCTGTGCGGTTTATCCCGTTTCCAACGAAATCCTCAGAGAGGACCAAATATCCACTTGCAGTTTCTACAAGAAGAGTGTTTCAAAGCTGAACTATCAAAGAAAGGTTCAGCACTGTGAGTTGAATGCAAACATCACGAAGAGGGTTCTGAGAATGCTTCTGTCTTCTTTCTATAGGAAGTTATTTCCTTTACTACGGTAGGCCTCAAAGAAGTGCAATTATCCCCTTGCAGTTTCTACAAAAAGAGTGTTTCAAACCTGAACTATCAAAGAAAGGTTCCACACTGTGAGTTGAATGCAGACATCATGAAGAAGGTTCTGAGAATGCTTCTGTTTAGTCAGCTAAAATTATCCCGTTTCCAACGAATTCCTCAGAGAGGTCCAAATATGCAGTTGCAGATTCTGCAGAAAGTGTGTTTCTAAACTGCTACATCGCAAGGAATGTTCAGCTCTGTGAGTTCCACTCAATCATCCCAAAGAATTTTCTGAGAAAGCTTCTGTCTAGATGTCGTGTGAAGATATACCCGTTTCGAACGAAGGACACAGAGTGGTCCAAATATCCACTTGTAGATCCTGCAAAAAGAGTGTTTCAAACGTGAACTTTGAAAGGAAAGTTCAACTCTGGGATTTGAATGCAAACATCACAAAGAAGATTCTGAGACTGCTTCTGTATAGTTTTTATGTGAAGATGATTCCGTTTCCAACGAAATCTTCAAAGAGGTCTACATGTCCCCTTGCAGATGCCACAGAAAGAGAGTTTCAAAACTGCGCTCTCAAAAGGAGTGTTCAACTCCGTGAGTTGAATGCAGTCATCACAGAGAAGCTTCTGAGAATGCTTCTATCTAGTATTTAGGTGAAGATATTTCCTTTTCCACCACAAACCACAAAGCCCTCCAAACGTCCACTTGCAGATTCTAGAAAAAGAGTGTTTCATAGCTGCTCTTTCCAAAGGAAAGTTCAACTCTGGGAGTTGAATACAAACATCACCAAAAGGTTCCTGAGAATGCATCTGTCTAGTTTTTCTATGAAGCTATTCCCTTTACTACCATAGGCCTCAAAGCGCTCCAAATCTCCACTTGCACATTCCACAACAAGAGTGTTTCCAAACTGCTCTATCAATAGGAATGTTCAACTCTGTGAGGTGAATGCAATCATCACAAAGCAGTTTCTGAGAATGCTTCCGTTTAGTTAGGTGCAGTTATCCCGTTTCCAACGAAATCCTCAGAGAGGTCCAAATATCCACTTGTAGATTCTACAAAAAGTGTGTCTCAAACCTGCTCCATCCAAAGGAATGGTCAGCTCTGTGATTTAAACTCAATCATCACAAAGTATTTTCTGAGAATGCTTCTGTCTAGATGTTATGTGAAGATGTACCCGTTTCGAACGAAGGCCACAGAGTGGTCCAAATATCCACTTGCAGATCGTACAGAAAGAGTGTTTCAAACCTGACCTATCAAAGGAAGTTTCAACTCTGGGATTTGAATGCAAACATCACCAAGAAGTTTCTGAGAATGCTTCTGTTTAGTTTTTATGTGAAGATATTCCCGTTTCCAAAGACATCTTCGGAGAGGTCCACATATCCACTTGCAGATTCCACAAAAAGAGAGTTTCAACACTGCTCTGTCCATAGGAGGGTTCAACTCCGTGAGTTGAATGCAATCATCACAGAGAAGTTTCTGAGAAGGCTTCTCTCCAGTTTTTATGTGACCATAATTCGTTTTCCACCACAGGCCTGAAAGCGCTCCAAATGTCCACTTGCAGACACTACGAAAAGCATGTTTCAGAACTACTCTATGAAAAGCAATGTGAAACTCTGGGAGTTGAACACAAACATCACAGAGAAGTTTCTGAGAATGCTTCTGTTTAGCTTTTCTGTGAAGATTCTCCCGTTTCCAACGAAATCTTCAAAGAGGTCCAAATATCCACTTTCAGATTCCACAGAAAGAGTGATTGGAAACTGCTCTTTGAAAAGGAACCTTCAACTCTGTGTGTTGAATGCAATCATCACAAAGGAAGTTTCTGACAATGCTTCTATCTAGCTTTTACGGGAAGATAATTCCTTTTCCACCACAGGCCTCAAAGCCCTCCAAATGTCCACTTGCAGATTCTGGAAAAAGAGTGTTTCAAAGCTTCTCTCTCGAAAGGAAAGTTCAACTCTGTGAGTTGAATGCAAGCATCACAAAGAAGTTTCTGAGAATGCTACTGTCTAGCTTTTATATGAAGCTATTTCCTTTACTACCATAGGCCTCAAAGCGGTCCATATCTCCACTTGCAGATTCTACACAAAGAGAGTTTCCAAACTGCTCTGTCAAAGGGAATGTTCAACTCTGTGACTTGAATGCAATCATCACAAAGTAGTTTCTGAGAATGCTTCTGTTTTAGTTCTGTGCGTTTTATCCCGTTTCCAACGAAATCCTCAGAGAGGCCCAAATATCCACTTGCAGATTCTACAAATAGTGTGTTTCGAAACTGCTCCATCCAAAGGAATGTTCAGCTCTGTGAGTTAAACTCAGTCGTCACCAAGAGTTTTACTGTGAATGCTATCTGTTTAGTTCTGTGCGGTTTATCCCGTTTCCAACGAAATCCTCAGAGAGGACCAAATATCCACTTGCAGTTTCTACAAGAAGAGTGTTTCAAAGCTGAACTATCAAAGAAAGGTTCAGCACTGTGAGTTGAATGCAAACATCACGAAGAGGGTTCTGAGAATGCTTCTGTCTTCTTTCTATAGGAAGTTATTTCCTTTACTACGGTAGGCCTCAAAGAAGTGCAATTATCCCCTTGCAGTTTCTACAAAAAGAGTGTTTCAAACCTGAACTATCAAAGAAAGGTTCCACACTGTGAGTTGAATGCAGACATCACGAAGAAGGTTCTGAGAATGCTTCTGTTTAGTCAGCTGAAATTATCCCGTTTCCAACGAATTCCTCAGAGAGGTCCAAATATGCACTTGCAGATTCTGCAGAAAGTGTGTTTCTAAACTGCTACATCGCAAGGAATGTTCAGCTCTGTGAGTTCCACTCAATCATCCCAAAGAATTTTCTGAGAAAGCTTCTGTCTAGATGTCGTGTGAAGATATACCCGTTTCGAACGAAGGACACAGAGTGGTCCAAATATCCACTTGTAGATCCTGCAAAAAGAGTGTTTCAAACGTGAACTTTGAAAGGAAAGTTCAACTCTGGGATTTGAATGCAAACATCACAAAGAAGATTCTGAGACTGCTTCTGTATAGTTTTTATGTGAAGATGATTCCGTTTCCAACGAAATCTTCAAAGAGGTCTACATGTCCCCTTGCAGATGCCACAGAAAGAGAGTTTCAAAACTGCGCTCTCAAAAGGAGTGTTCAACTCCGTGAGTTGAATGCAGTCATCACAGAGAAGCTTCTGAGAATGCTTCTATCTAGTATTTAGGTGAAGATATTTCCTTTTCCACCACAAACCACAAAGCCCTCCAAACGTCCACTTGCAGATTCTAGAAAAAGAGTGTTTCATAGCTGCTCTTTCCAAAGGAAAGTTCAACTCTGGGAGTTGAATACAAACATCACCAAAAAGTTCCTGAGAATGCATCTGTCTAGTTTTTCTATGAAGCTATTCCCTTTACTACCATAGGCCTCAAAGCGCTCCAAATCTCCACTTGCACATTCCACAACAAGAGTGTTTCCAAACTGCTCTATCAATAGGAATGTTCAACTCTGTGAGGTGAATGCAATCATCACAAAGCAGTTTCTGAGAATGCTTCCGTTTAGTTAGGTGCAGTTATCCCGTTTCCAACGAAATCCTCAGAGAGGTCCAAATATCCACTTGTAGATTCTACAAAAGGTGTGTCTCAAACCTGCTCCATCCAAAGGAATGTTCAGCTCTGTGAGTTAAACTCAATCATCACAAAGTATTTTCTGAGAATGCTTCTGTCTAGATTTTATGCGAAGATGTACCCGTTTCGAACGAAGGCCACAGAGTGGTCCAAATATCCACTTGCAGATCCTACAAAAAGAGTGTTTCAAACCTGAACTATCAAAGGAAGGTTCAACTCTGGGATTTGAATGCAAACATCACCAAGAAGTTTCTGAGAATGCTTCTGTTTAGTTTTTATGTGAAGATATTCCCGTTTCCAAAGACATCTTCGGAGAGGTCCACATATCCACTTGCAGATTCCACAAAAAGAGAGTTTCAACACTGCTCTATCCATAGGAGGGTTCAACTCTGTGAGTTGAATGCAATCATCACAGAGAAGTTTCTGAGAAGGCTTCTCTCCAGTTTTTATGTGACCATAATTCGTTTTCCACCACAGGCCTGAAAGCGCTCCAAATGTCCACTTGCAGACACTACGAAAAGCATGTTTCAGAACTACTCTATGAAAAGCAACGTGAAACTCTGGGAGTTGAACACAAACATCACAGAGAAGTTTCTGAGAATGCTTCTGTTTTAGTTCTGTGCGTTTTATCCCGTTTCCAACGAAATCCTCAGAGAGGCCCAAATATCCACTTGCAGATTCCACAGAAAGAGTGATTGGAAACTGCTGTTTGAAAAGGAACCTTCAACTCTGTGAGTTGAATGCAATCATCACAAAGAAGTTTCTGACAATGCTTCTGTTTTAGTTCTGTGCGGTTTATCCCGTTTCCAACGAAATCCTCAGAGAGGACCAAACATCCACTTGCAGTTTCTACAAAAAGAGTGTTTCAAAGCTGCACTATCAAAGAAAGGTTCAGCACTGTGAGTTGAATGCAAACATCACGAAGAGGGCTCTGAGAATTCTTCTGTTTAGTTCTGTGCGGTTTATCCCGTTTCCAACGAAATCCTCAGAGAGGACCAAATATCCACTTGCAGTTTCTACAAGAAGAGTGTTTCAAAGCTGAACTATCAAAGAAAGGTTCAGCACTGTGAGTTGAATGCAAACATCACGAAGAGGGTTCTGAGAATGCTTCTGTCTTCTTTCTATAGGAAGTTATTTCCTTTACTACGGTAGGCCTCAAAGAAGTGCAATTATCCCCTTGCAGTTTCTACAAAAAGAGTGTTTCAAACCTGAACTATCAAAGAAAGGTTCCACACTGTGAGTTGAATGCAGACATCACGAAGAAGGTTCTGAGAATGCTTCTGTTTAGTCAGCTGAAATTATCCCGTTTCCAACGAATTCCTCAGAGAGGTCCAAATATGCACTTGCAGATTCTGCAGAAAGTGTGTTTCTAAACTGCTACATCGCAAGGAATGTTCAGCTCTGTGAGTTCCACTCAATCATCCCAAAGAATTTTCTGAGAAAGCTTCTGTCTAGACGTCATGTGAAGATATACCCGTTTCGAACGAAGGACACAGAGTGGTCCAAATATCCACTTGTAGATCCTGCAAAAAGAGTGTTTCAAACGTGAAATTTGAAACGAAAGTTCAACTCTGGGATTTGAATGCAAACATCACAAAGAAGATTCTGAGACTGCTTCTGTATAGTTTTTATGTGAAGATGATTCCGTTTCCAACGAAATCTTCAAAGAGGTCTACATGTCCCCTTGCAGATGCCACAGAAAGAGAGTTTCAAAACTGCGCTCTCAAAAGGAGTGTTCAACTCCGTGAGTTGAATGCAGTCATCACAGAGAAGCTTCTGAGAATGCTTCTATCTAGTATTTAGGTGAAGATATTTCCTTTTCCACCACAAACCACAAAGCCCTCCAAACGTCCACTTGCAGATTCTAGAAAAAGAGTGTTTCATAGCTGCTCTTTCCAAAGGAAAGTTCAACTCTGGGAGTTGAATACAAACATCACCAAAAAGTTCCTGAGAATGCATCTGTCTAGTTTTTCTATGAAGCTATTCCCTTTACTACCATAGGCCTCAAAGCGCTCCAAATCTCCACTTGCAAATTCCACAACAAGAGTGTTTCCAAACTGCTCTATCAATAGGAATGTTCAACTCTGTGAGGTGAATGCAATCATCACAAAGCAGTTTCTGAGAATGCTTCCGTTTAGTTAGGTGCAGTTATCCCGTTTCCAACGAAATCCTCAGAGAGGTCCAAATATCCACTTGTAGATTCTACAAAAAGTGTGTCTCAAACCTGCTCCATCCAAAGGAATGTTCAGCTCTGTGAGTTAAACTCAATCATCACAAAGTATTTTCTGAGAATGCTTCTGTCTAGATTTTATGCGAAGATATACCCGTTTCGAACGAAGGCCACAGAGTGGTCCAAATATCCACTTGCAGATCCTACAAAAAGAGTGTTTCAAACCTGAACTATCAAAGGAAGGTTCAACTCTGGGATTTGAATGCAAACATCACCAAGAAGTTTCTGAGAATGCTTCTGTTTAGTTTTTATGTGAAGATATTCCCGTTTCCAAAGACATCTTCGGAGAGGTCCACGTATCCACTTGCAGATTCCACAAAAAGAGAGTTTCAACACTGCTCTATCCATAGGAGGGTTCAACTCTGTGAGTTGAATGCAATCATCACAGAGAAGTTTCTGAGAAGGCTTCTCTCCAGTTTTTATGTGACCATATTCGTTTTCCACCACAGGCCTGAAAGCGCTCCAAATGTCCACTTGCAGACACTACGAAAAGCATGTTTCAGAACTACTCTATGAGAAGCAATGTGAAACTCTGGGAGTTGAACACAAACATCACAGAGAAGTTTCTGAGAATGCTTCTGTTTAGCTTTTCTGTGAAGATTCTCCCGTTTCCAACGAAATCTTCAAAGAGGTCGAAATATCCACTTGCAGATTCCACAGAAAGAGTGATTGGAAACTGCTCTTTGAAAAGGAACCTTCAACTCTGTGAGTTGAATGCAATCATCACAAAGAAGTTTCTGACAATGCTTCTATCTAGCTTTTACGGGAAGATAATTCCTTTTCCACCACAGGCCTCAAAGCTCCCCAAATGTCCACTTGCACATTCTGGAAAAAGAGTGTTTCAAAGCTTCTCTCTCGAAAGGAAAGTTCAACTCTGTGAGTTGAATGCAAGCATCACAAAGAAGTTTCTGAGAATGCTACTGTCTAGCTTTTATATGAAGCTATTTCCTTTACTACCATAGGCCTCAAAGCGGTCCATATCTCCACTTGCAGATTCTACACAAAGAGAGTTTCCAAACTGCTCTGTCAAAGGGAATGTTCAACTCTGTGACTTGAATGCAATCATCACAAAGTAGTTTCTGAGAATGCTTCTGTTTTAGTTCTGTGCGTTTTATCCCGTTTCCATCGAAATCCTCAGAGTAGGCTCAAATATCCACTTGCAGATTCTACAAATAGTGTGTTTCGAAACTGCTCCATCCAAAGGAATGTTCAGCTCTGTGAGTTAAACTCAGTCGTCACCAAGAGTTTTCTGTGAATGCTTCTGTTTTAGTTCTGTGCGGTTTATCCCGTTTCCAACGAAATCCTCAGAGGAGGTCCAAATATCTACTTGCAGTTTCTACAGAAAGACCGTTTCCAACCTGAACTATCAAAGAAAGGTTCAACACTGTGAGTTGAATGCAATCATCACGAAGAAGATTCTGAGAATGCTTCTGTTTAGTTCTCTGCGGTTTATCCCGTTTCCAACGAAATCCTCAGAGAGGACCAAATATCCACTTGCAGTTTCTACAAGAAGAGTGTTTCAAAGCTGAACTATCAAAGAAAGGTTCAGCACTGTGAGTTGAATGCAAACATCACGAAGAGGGTTCTGAGAATGCTTCTGTCTTCTTTCTATAGGAAGTTATTTCCTTTACTACGGTAGGCCTCAAAGAAGTGCAATTATCCCCTTGCAGTTTCTACAAAAAGAGTGTTTCAAACCTGAACTATCAAAGAAAGGTTCCACACTGTGAGTTGAATGCAGACATCACGAAGAAGGTTCTGAGAATGCTTCTGTTTAGTCAGCTGAAATTATCCCGTTTCCAACGAATTCCTCAGAGAGGTCCAAATATGCACTTGCAGATTCTGCAGAAAGTGTGTTTCTAAACTGCTACATCGCAAGGAATGTTCAGCTCTGTGAGTTCCACTCAATCATCCCAAAGAATTTTCTGAGAAAGCTTCTGTCTAGATGTCGTGTGAAGATATACCCGTTTCGAACGAAGGACACAGAGTGGTCCAAATATCCACTTGTAGATCCTGCAAAAAGAGTGTTTCAAACGTGAACTTTGAAAGGAAAGTTCAACTCTGGGATTTGAATGCAAACATCACAAAGAAGATTCTGAGACTGCTTCTGTATAGTTTTATGTGAAGATGATTCCGTTTCCAACGAAATCTTCAAAGAGGTCTACATGTCCCCTTGCAGATGCCACAGAAAGAGAGTTTCAAAACTGCGCTCTCAAAAGGAGTGTTCAACTCCGTGAGTTGAATGCAGTCATCACAGAGAAGCTTCTGAGAATGCTTCTGTCTAGTATTTAGGTGAAGATATTTCCTTTTCCACCACAAACCACAAAGCCCTCCAAACGTCCACTTGCAGATTCTAGAAAAAGAGTGTTTCATAGCTGCTCTTTCCAAAGGAAAGTTCAACTCTGGGAGTTGAATACAAACATCACCAAAAAGTTCCTGAGAATGCATTCTGTCTAGTTTTTCTATGAAGCTATTCCCTTTACTACCACAGGCCTCAAAGCGCTCCAAATCTCCACTTGCACATTCCACAACAAGAGTGTTTCCAAACTGCTCTATCAATAGGAATGTTCAACTCTGTGAGGTGAATGCAATCATCACAAAGCAGTTTCTGAGAATGCTTCCGTTTAGTTAGGTGCAGTTATCCCGTTTCCAACGAAATCCTCAGAGAGGTCCAAATATCCACTTGTAGATTCTACAAAAAGTGTGTCTCAAACCTGCTCCATCCAAAGGAATGGTCAGCTCTGTGATTTAAACTCAATCATCACAAAGTATTTTCTGAGAATGCTTCTGTCTAGATTTTATGCGAAGATATACCCGTTTCGAATGAAGGCCACAGAGTGGTCCAAATAGCCAATTGCAGATCCTACAAAAAGAGTGTTTCAAACCTGAACTATCAAAGGAAGGTTCAACTCTGGGATTTGAATGCAAACATCACCAAGAAGTTTCTGAGAATGCTTCTGTTTAGTTTTTATGTGAAGATATTCCCGTTTCCAAAGACATCTTCGGAGAGGTCCACATATCCACTTGCAGATTCCACAAAAAGAGAGTTTCAACACTGCTCTATCCATAGGAGGGTTCAACTCTGTGAGTTGAATGCAATCATCACAGAGAAGTTTCTGAGAAGGCTTCTCTCCAGTTTTTATGTGACCATAATTCGTTTTCCACCACAGGCCTGAAAGCGCTCCAAATGTCCACTTGCAGACACTACGAAAAGCATGTTTCAGAACTACTCTATGAAAAGCAACGTGAAACTCTGGGAGTTGAACACAAACATCACAGAGAAGTTTCTGAGAATGCTTCTGTTTTAGTTCTGTGCGTTTTATCCCGTTTCCAACGAAATCCTCAGAGAGGCCCTAATATCCACTTGCAGATTCCACAGAAAGAGTGATTGGAAACTGCTGTTTGAAAAGGAACCTTCAACTCTGTGAGTTGAATGCAATCATCACAAAGAAGTTTCTGACAATGCTTCTGTTTTAGTTCTGTGCGGTTTATCCCGTTTCCAACGAAATCCTCAGAGAGGACCAAACATCCACTTGCAGTTTCTACAAAAAGAGTGTTTCAAAGCTGCACTATCAAAGAAAGGTTCAGCACTGTGAGTTGAATGCAAACATCACGAAGAGGGCTCTGAGAATTCTTCTGTTTAGTTCTGTGCGGTTTATCCCGTTTCCAACGAAATCCTCAGAGAGGACCAAATATCCACTTGCAGTTTCTACAAGAAGAGTGTTTCAAAGCTGAACTATCAAAGAAAGGTTCAGCACTGTGAGTTGAATGCAAACATCACGAAGAGGGTTCTGAGAATGCTTCTGTCTTCTTTTTATAGGAAGTTATTTCCTTTACTACGGTAGGCCTCAAAGCAGTGCAATTATCCCCTTGCAGTTTCTACAAAAAGAGTGTTTCAAACCTGAACTATCAAAGAAAGGTTCCACACTGTGAGTTGAATGCAGACATCACGAAGAACGTTCTGAGAATGCTTCTGTTTAGTCAGCTGAAATTATCCCGTTTCCAACGAATTCCTCAGAGAGATCCAAATATGCACTTGCAGATTCTGCAGAAAGTGTGTTTCTAAACTGCTACATCGCAAGGAATGTTCAGCTCTGTGAGTTCCACTCAATCATCCCAAAGAATTTTCTGAGAAAGCTTCTGTCTAGATGTCATGTGAAGATATACCCGTTTCGAACGAAGGACACAGAGTGGTCCAAATATCCACTTGTAGATCCTGCAAAAAGAGTGTTTCAAACGTGAACTTTGAAAGGAAAGTTCAACTCTGGGATTTGAATGCAAACATCACAAAGAAGATTCTGAGACTGCTTCTGTATAGTTTTTATGTGAAGATGATTCCGTTTCCAACGAAATCTTCAAAGAGGTCTACATGTCCCCTTGCAGATGCCACAGAAAGAGAGTTTCAAAACTGCGCTCTCAAAAGGAGTGTTCAACTCCGTGAGTTGAATGCAGTCATCACAGAGAAGCTTCTGAGAATGCTTCTATCTAGTATTTAGGTGAAGATATTTCCTTTTCCACCACAAACCACAAAGCCCTCCAAACGTCCACTTGCAGATTCTAGAAAAAGAGTGTTTCATAGCTGCTCTTTCCAAAGGAAAGTTCAACTCTGGGAGTTGAATACAAACATCACCAAAAAGTTCCTGAGAATGCATCTGTCTAGTTTTTCTATGAAGCTATTCCCTTTACTACCATAGGCCTCAAAGCGCTCCAAATCTCCACTTGCACATTCCACAACAAGAGGGTTTCCAAACTGCTCTATCAATAGGAATGTTCAACTCTGTGAGGTGAATGCAATCATCACAAAGCAGTTTCTGAGAATGCTTCCGTTTAGTTAGGGGCAGTTATCGCGTTTCCAACGAAATCCTCAGAGAGGTCCAAATATCCACTTGTAGATTCTACAAATGTGTGTCTCAAACCTGCTCCATCCAAAGGAATGTTCAGCTCTGTGAGTTAAACTCAATCATCACAAAGTATTTTCTGAGAATGCTTCTGTCTAGATTTTATGCGAAGATATACCCGTTTCGAACGAAGGCCACAGAGTGGTCCAAATAGCCACTTGCAGATCCTACAGAAACAGTGTTTCAAACCTGAACTATCAAAGGAAGGTTCAACTCTGGGATTTGAATGCAAACATCACCAAGAAGTTTCTGAGAATGCTTCTGTTTAGTTTTTATGTGAAGATATTCCCGTTTCCAAAGACATCTTCGGAGAGGTCCACATATCCACTTGCAGGTTCCACAAAAAGAGAGTTTCAACACTGCTCTATCCATAGGAGGGTTCAACTCTGTGAGTTGAATGCAATCATCACAGAGAAGTTTCTGAGAAGGCTTCTCTCCAGTTTTTATGTGACCATAATTCGTTTTCCACCACAGGCCTGAAAGCGCTCCAAATGTCCACTTGCAGACACTACGAAAAGCATGTTTCAGAACTACTCTATGAAAAGCAACGTGAAACTCTGGGAGTTGAACACAAACATCACAGAGAAGTTTCTGAGAATGCTTCTGTTTTAGTTCTGTGCGTTTTATCCCGTTTCCAACGAAATCCTCAGAGAGGCCCAAATATCCACTTGCAGATTCCACAGAAAGAGTGATTGGAAACTGCTGTTTGAAAAGGAACCTTCAACTCTGTGAGTTGAATGCAATCATCACAAAGAAGTTTCTGACAATGCTTCTGTTTTAGTTCTGTGCGGTTTATCCCGTTTCCAACGAAATCCTCAGAGAGGACCAAACATCCACTTGCAGTTTCTACAAAAAGAGTGTTTCAAAGCTGCACTATCAAAGAAAGGTTCAGCACTGTGAGTTGAATGCAAACATCACGAAGAGGGCTCTGAGAATTCTTCTGTTTAGTTCTGTGCGGTTTATCCCGTTTCCAACGAAATCCTCAGAGAGGACCAAATATCCACTTGCAGTTTCTACAAGAAGAGTGTTTCAAAGCTGAACTATCAAAGAAAGGTTCAGCACTGTGAGTTGAATGCAAACATCACGAAGAGGGTTCTGAGAATGCTTCTGTCTTCTTTCTATAGGAAGTTATTTCCTTTACTACGGTAGGCCTCAAAGAAGTGCAATTATCCCCTTGCAGTTTCTACAAAAAGAGTGTTTCAAACCTGAACTATCAAAGAAAGGTTCCACACTGTGAGTTGAATGCAGACATCACGAAGAAGGTTCTGAGAATGCTTCTGTTTAGTCAGCTGAAATTATCCCGTTTCCAACGAATTCCTCAGAGAGGTCCAAATATGCACTTGCAGATTCTGCAGAAAGTGTGTTTCTAAACTGCTACATCGCAAGGAATGTTCAGCTCTGTGAGTTCCACTCAATCATCCCAAAGAATTTTCTGAGAAAGCTTCTGTCTAGATGTCGTGTGAAGATATACCCGTTTCGAACGAAGGACACAGAGTGGTCCAAATATCCACTTGTAGATCCTGCAAAAAGAGTGTTTCAAACGTGAACTTTGAAAGGAAAGTTCAACTCTGGGATTTGAATGCAAACATCACAAAGAAGATTCTGAGACTGCTTCTGTATAGTTTTTATGTGAAGATGATTCCGTTTCCAACGAAATCTTCAAAGAGGTCTACATGTCCCCTTGCAGATGCCACAGAAAGAGAGTTTCAAAACTGCGCTCTCAAAAGGAGTGTTCAACTCCGTGAGTTGAATGCAGTCATCACAGAGAAGCTTCTGAGAATGCTTCTGTCTAGTATTTAGGTGAAGATATTTCCTTTTCCACCACAAACCACAAAGCCCTCCAAACGTCCACTTGCAGATTCTAGAAAAAGGGTGTTTCATAGCTGCTCTTTCCAAAGGAAAGTTCAACTCTGGGAGTTGAATACAAACATCACCAAAAAGTTCCTGAGAATGCATCTGTCTAGTTTTTCTATGAAGCTATTCCCTTTACTACCATAGGCCTCAAAGCGCTCCAAATCTCCACTTGCACATTCCACAACAAGAGTGTTTCCAAACTGCTCTATCAATAGGAATGGTCAACTCTGTGAGGTGAATGCAATCATCACAAAGCAGTTTCTGAGAATGCTTCCGTTTAGTTAGGTGCAGTTATCCCGTTTCCAACGAAATCCTCAGAGAGGTCCAAATATCCACTTGTAGATTCTACAAAAAGTGTGTCTCAAACCTGCTCCATCCAAAGGAATGGTCAGCTCTGTGATTTAAACTCAATCATCACAAAGTATTTTCTGAGAATGCTTCTGTCTAGATTTTATGCGAAGATATACCCATTTCGAACGAAGGCCACAGAGTGGTCCAAATAGCCACTTGCAGATCCTACAGAAAGAGTGTTTCAAACCTGAACTATCAAAGGAAGGTTCAACTCTGGGATTTGAATGCAAACATCACCAAGAAGTTTCTGAGAATGCTTCTGTTTAGTTTTTATGTGAAGATATTCCCGTTTCCAAAGACATCTTCGGAGAGGTCCACATATCCACTTGCAGATTCCACAAAAAGAGAGTTTCAACACTGCTCTATCCATAGGAGGGTTCAACTCTGTGAGTTGAATGCAATCATCACAGAGAAGTTTCTGAGAAGGCTTCTCTCCAGTTTTTATGTGACCATAATTCGTTTTCCACCACAGGCCTGAAAGCGCTCCAAATGTCCACTTGCAGACACTACGAAAAGCATGTTTCAGAACTACTCTATGAAAAGCAACGTGAAACTCTGGGAGTTGAACACAAACATCACAGAGAAGTTTCTGAGAATGCTTCTGTTTTAGTTCTGTGCGTTTTATCCCGTTTCCAACGAAATCCTCAGAGAGGCCCAAATATCCACTTGCAGATTCCACAGAAAGAGTGATTGGAAACTGCTGTTTGAAAAGGAACCTTCAACTCTGTGAGTTGAATGCAATCATCACAAAGAAGTTTCTGACAATGCTTCTGTTTTAGTTCTGTGCGGTTTATCCCGTTTCCAACGAAATCCTCAGAGAGGACCAAACATCCACTTGCAGTTTCTACAAAAAGAGTGTTTCAAAGCTGCACTATCAAAGAAAGGTTCAGCACTGTGAGTTGAATGCAAACATCACGAAGAGGGCTCTGAGAATTCTTCTGTTTAGTTCTGTGCGGTTTATCCCGTTTCCAACGAAATCCTCAGAGAGGACCAAATATCCACTTGCAGTTTCTACAAAAAGAGTGTTTCAAAGCTGAACTATCAAAGAAAGGTTCAGCACTGTGAGTTGAATGCAAACATCACGAAGAGGGTTCTGAGAATGCTTCTGTCTTCTTTCTATAGGAAGTTATTTCCTTTACTACGGTAGGCCTCAAAGAAGTGCAATTATCCCCTTGCAGTTTCTACAAAAAGAGTGTTTCAAACCTGAACTATCAAAGAAAGGTTCCACACTGTGAGTTGAATGCAGACATCACGAAGAAGGTTCTGAGAATGCTTCTGTTTAGTCAGCTGAAATTATCCCGTTTCCAACGAATTCCTCAGAGAGGTCCAAATATGCACTTGCAGATTCTGCAGAAAGTGTGTTTCTAAACTGCTACATCGCAAGGAATGTTCAGCTCTGTGAGTTCCACTCAATCATCCCAAAGAATTTTCTGAGAAAGCTTCTGTCTAGATGTCATGTGAAGATATACCCGTTTCGAAAGAAGGACACAGAGTGGTCCAAATATCCACTTGTAGATCCTGCAAAAAGAGTGTTTCAAACGTGAACTTTGAAAGGAAAGTTCAACTCTGGGATTTGAATGCAAACATCACAAAGAAGATTCTGAGACTGCTTCTGTATAGTTTTTATGTGAAGATGATTCCGTTTCCAACGAAATCTTCAAAGAGGTCTACATGTCCCCTTGCAGATGCCACAGAAAGAGAGTTTCAAAACTACGCTCTCAAAAGGAGTGTTCAACTCCGTGAGTTGAATGCAGTCATCACAGAGAAGCTTCTGAGAATGCTTCTATCTAGTATTTAGGTGAAGATATTTCCTTTTCCACCACAAACCACAAAGCCCTCCAAACGTCCACTTGCAGATTCTAGAAAAACAGTGTTTCATAGCTGCTCTTTCCAAAGGAAAGTTCAACTCTGGGAGTTGAATACAAACATCACCAAAAAGTTCCTGAGAATGCATCTGTCTAGTTTTTCTATGAAGCTATTCCCTTTACTACCATAGGCCTCAAAGCGCTCCAAATCTCCACTTGCACATTCCACAACAAGAGTGTTTCCAAACTGCTCTATCAATAGGAATGTTCAACTCTGTGAGGTGAATGCAATCATCACAAAGCAGTTTCTGAGAATGCTTCTGTTTTAGTTCTGTGCGGGTTATCCCGTTTCCAACGAAATCCTCAGAGAGGTCCAAATATCCACTTGTAGATTCTACAAAAAGTGTGTCTCAAACCTGCTCCATCCAAAGGAATGTTCAGCTCTGTGAGTTAAACTCAATCATCACAAAGTATTTTCTGAGAATGCTTCTGTTTAGTTCTGTGCAGTTTATCCCGTTTCCAACGAAATGCTCAGAGAGGACCAAATATCCACTTGCAGTTTCTACAAAAAGAGTGTTTCAAAGCTGAACTATCAAAGAAAGGTTCAGCACTGTGAGTTGAATGCAAACATCACGAAGAGGGTTCTGAGAATGCTTCTGTCTTCTTTTTATAGGAAGTTATTTCCTTTACTACGGTACTCCTCAAAGAGTGCAATGATCCCCTTGCAGTTTCTACAAAAAGAGTGTTTCAAACCTGAACTATCAAAGAAAGGTTCCACACTGTGAGTTGAATGCAGACATCACGAAGAAGGTTCTGAGAATGCTTCTGTTTAGTCAGCTGAAATTATCCCGTTTCCAACGAATTCCTCAGAGAGGTCCAAATATGCACTTGCAGATTCTGCAGAAAGTGTGTTTCTAAACTGCTACATCGCAAGGAATGCTCAGCTCTGTGAGTTCAACTCAATCATCCCAAAGAATTTTCTGAGAAAGCTTCTGTCTAGATGTCATGTGAAGATATACCCGTTTCGAACGAAGGACACAGAGTGGTCCAAATATCCACTTGTAGATCCTGCAAAAAGAGTGTTTCAAACGTGAACTTTGAAAGGAAAGTTCAACTCTGGGATTTGAATGCAAACATCACAAAGAAGATTCTGAGACTGCTTCTGTATAGTTTTTATGTGAAGATGATTCCGTTTCCATCGAAATCTTCAAAGAGGTCTACATGTCCCCTTGCAGATGCCACAGAAAGAGAGTTTCAAAACTGCGCTCTCAAAAGGAGTGTTCAACTCCGTGAGTTGAATGCAGTCATCACAGAGAAGCTTCTGAGAATGCTTCTCTCTAGGATTTAGGTGAAGATATTTCCTTTTCCACCACAAACCACAAAGCCCTCCAAACGTCCACTTGCAGATTCTAGAAAAAGAGTGTTTCATAGCTGCTCTTTCCAAAGGAAAGTTCAACTCTGGGAGTTGAATACAAACATCACCAAAAAGTTCCTGAGAATGCATCTGTCTAGTTTTTCTATGAAGCTATTCCCTTTACTACCATAGGCCACAAAGCGCTCCAAATCTCCACTTGCACATTCCACAACAAGAGTGTTTCCAAACTGCTCTATCAATAGTAATGTTCAACTCTGTGAGGTGAATGCAATCATCACAAAGCAGTTTCTGAGAATGCTTCCGTTTAGTTAGGTGCAGTTATCCCGTTTCCAACGAAATCCTCAGAGAGGTCCAAATATCCACTTGTAGATTCTACAAAAAGTGTGTCTCAAACCTGCTCCATCCAAAGGAATGTTCAGCTCTGTGAGTTAAACTCAATCATCACAAAGTATTTTCTGAGAATGCTTCTGTCTAGATTTTATGCGAAGATATACCCGTTTCGAACGAAGGCCACAGAGTGGTCCAAATATCCACTTGCAGATCCTACAAAAAGAGTGTTTCAAACCTGAACTATCAAAGGAAGGTTCAACTCTGGGATTTGAATGCAAACATCACCAAGAAGTTTCTGAGAATGCTTCTGTATAGTTTTTATGTGAAGATATTCCCGTTTCCAAAGACATCTACGGCGAGGTCCACATATCCACTTGCAGATTACACAAAAAGAGAGTTTCAACACTGCTCTATCCATAGGAGGGTTCAACTCTGTGAGTTGAATGCAATCATCACAGAGAAGTTTCTGAGAAGGCTTCTCTCCAGTTTTTATGTGACCATAATTCGTTTTCCACCACAGGCCTGAAAGCGCTCCAAATGTCCACTTGTAGACACTACGAAAAGCATGTTTCAGAACTACTCTATGAAAAGCAATGTGAAACACTGGGAGTTGAACACAAACATCACAGAGAAGTTTCTGAGAATGCTTCTGTTTAGCTTTTCTGTGAAGATTCTCCCGTTTCCAACGAAATCTTCAAAATAGGTCCAAATATCCACTTGCATATTCCACAGAAAGAGTGATTGGAAACTGCTCTTTGAAAAGGAACCTTCAACTCTGTGAGTTGAATGCAATCATCACAAAGAAGTTTCTGACAATGCTTCTATCTAGCTTTTACGGGAAGATAATTCCTTTTCCACCACAGGCCTCAAAGCCCTCCAAATGTCCACTTGCAGATTCTGGAAAAAGAGTGTTTCAAAGCTTCTCTCTCGAAAGGAAAGTTCAACTCTGTGAGTTGAATGCAAGCATCACAAAGAAGTTTCTGAGAATGCTACTGTCTAGCTTTTATATGAAGCTATTTCCTTTACTACCATAGGCCTCAACGCGGTCCATATCTCCACTTGCAGATTCTACACAAAGAGAGTTTCCAAACTGCTCTGTCAAAGGGAATGTTCAACTCTGTGACTTGAATGCAATCATCACAAAGTAGTTTCTGAGAATGCTTCTGTTTTAGTTCTGTGCGGTTTATCCCGTTTCCAACGAAATCCTCAGAGAGGCCCAAATATCCACTTGCAGATTCTACAAATAGTGTGTTTCGAAACTGCTCCATCCAAAGGAATGTTCAGCTCTGTGAGTTAAACTCAGTCGTCACCAAGAGTTTTCTGTGAATGCTTCTGTTTTAGTTCTGTGCGGTTTATCCCGTTTCCAACGAAATCCTCAGAGAGGACCAAATATCCACTTGCAGTTTCTACAAAAAGAGTGTTTCAAAGCTGCACTATCAAAGAAAGGTTCAGCACTGTGAGTTGAATGCAAACATCACGAAGAGGGCTCTGAGAATTCTTCTGTTTAGTTCTGTGCGGTTTATCCCGTTTCCAACGAAATCCTCAGAGAGGACCAAAAATCCACTTGCAGTTTCTACAAGAAGAGTGTTTCAAAGCTGAACTATCAAAGAAAGGTTCAGCACTGTGAGTTGAATGCAAACATCACGAAGAGGGTTCTGAGAATGCTTCTGTCTTCTTTCTATAGGAAGTTATTTCCTTTACTACGGTAGGCCTCAAAGAAGTGCCATTATCCCCTTGCAGTTTCTACAAAAAGAGTGTTTCAAACCTGAACTATCAAAGAAAGGTTCCACACTGTGAGTTGAATGCAGACATCACGAAGAAGGTTCTGAGAATGCTTCTGTTTAGTCAGCTGAAATTATCCCGTTTCCAACGAATTCCTCGGAGAGGTCCAAATATGCACTTGCAGATTCTGCAGAAAGTGTGTTTCTAAACTGCTACATCGCAAGGAATGTTCAGCTCTGTGAGTTCCACTCAATCATCCCAAAGAATTTTCTGAGAAAGCTTCTGTCTAGATGTCATGTGAAGATATACCCGTTTCGAACGAAGGACACAGAGTGGTCCAAATATCCACTTGTAGATCCTGCAAAAAGAGTGTTTCAAACGTGAACTTTGAAAGGAAAGTTCAACTCTGGGATTTGAATGCAAACATCACAAAGAAGATTCTGAGACTGCTTCTGTATAGTTTTTATGTGAAGATGATTCCGTTTCCAACGAAATCTTCAAAGAGGTCTACATGTCCCCTTGCAGATGCCACAGAAAGAGAGTTTCAAAACTGCGCTCTCAAAAGGAGTGTTGAACTCCGTGAGTTGAATGCAGTCATCACAGAGAAGCTTCTGAGAATGCTTCTATCTAGTATTTAGGTGAAGATATTTCCTTTTCCACCACAAACCACAAAGCCCTCCAAACGTCCACTTGCAGATTCTAGAGAAACAGTGTTTCATAGCTGCTCTTTCCAAAGGAAAGTTCAACTCTGGGAGTTGAATACAAACATCACCAAAAAGTTCCTGAGAATGCATCTGTCTAGTTTTTCTATGAAGCTATTCCCTTTACTACCATAGGCCTCAAAGCGCTCCAAATCTCCACTTGCACATTCCACAACAAGAGTGTTTCCAAACTGCTCTATCAATAGGAATGTTCAACTCTGTGAGGTGAATGCAATCATCACAAAGCAGTTTCTGAGAATGCTTCCGTTTAGTTAGGTGCAGTTATCCCGTTTCCAACGAAATCCTCAGAGAGGTCCATATATCCACTTGTAGATTCTACAAAAAGTGTGTCTCAAACCTGCTCCATCCAAAGGAATGTTCAGCTCTGTGAGTTCAACTCAATCATCACAAAGTATTTTCTCAGAATGCTTCTGTCTAGATTTTATGCGAAGATGTACCCGTTTCGAACGAAGGCCACAGAGTGGTCCAAATATCCACTTTCAGATCCTACAAAAAGAGTGTTTCAAACCTGAACTCTCAAAGGAAGGTTCAACTCTGGGATTTGAATGCAAACATCACCAAGAAGTTTCTGAGAATGCTTCTGTTTAGTTTTTATGTGAAGATATTCCCGTTTCCAAAGACATCTTCGGAGAGGTCCACATATCCACTTGCAGATTCCACAAAAAGAGAGTTTCAACACTGCTCTATCCATAGGGAGGGTTCAACTCTGTGAGTTGAATGCAATCATCACAGAGAAGTTTCTGAGAAGGCTTCTCTCCAGTTTTTATGTGACCATAATTCGTTTTCCACCACAGGCCTGAAAGCGCTCCAAATGTCCACTTGCAGACACTACGAAAAGCATGTTTCAGAACTACTCTATGAAAAGCAACGTGAAACTCTGGGAGTTGAACACAAACATCACAGAGAAGTTTCTGAGAATGCTTCTGTTTTAGTTCTGTGCGTTTTATCCCGTTTCCAACGAAATCCTCAGAGAGGCCCAAATATCCACTTGCAGATTCCACAGAAAGAGTGATTGGAAACTGCTGTTTGAAAAGGAACCTTCAACTCTGTGAGTTGAATGCAATCATCACAAAGAAGTTTCTGACAATGCTTCTGTTTTAGTTCTGTGCGGTTTATCCCGGTTTCCAACGAAATCCTCAGAGAGGACCAAACATCCACTTGCAGTTTCTACAAAAAGAGTGTTTCAAAGCTGCACTATCAAAGAAAGGTTCAGCACTGTGAGTTGAATGCAAACATCACGAAGAGGGCTCTGAGAATTCTTCTGTCTTCTTTCTATAGGAAGTTATTTCCTTTACTACGGTAGGCCTCAAAGAAGTGCAATTATCCCCTTGCAGTTTCTACAAAAAGAGTGTTTCAAACCTGAACTATCAAAGAAAGGTTCCACACTGTGAGTTGAATGCAGACATCACGAAGAAGGTTCTGAGAATGCTTCTGTTTAGTCAGCTGAAATTATCCCGTTTCCAACGAATTCCTCAGAGAGGTCCAAATATGCACTTGCAGATTCTGCAGAAAGTGTGTTTCTAAACTGCTACATCGCAAGGAATGTTCAGCTCTGTGAGTTCCACTCAATCATCCCAAAGAATTTTCTGAGAAAGCTTCTGTCTAGATGTCGTGTGAAGATATACCCGTTTCGAACGAAGGACACAGAGTGGTCCAAATATCCACTTGTAGATCCTGCAAAAAGAGTGTTTCAAACGTGAACTTTGAAAGGAAAGTTCAACTCTGGGATTTGAATGCAAACATCACAAAGAAGATTCTGAGACTGCTTCTGTATAGTTTTTATGTGAAGATGATTCCGTTTCCAACGAAATCTTCAAAGAGGTCTACATGTCCCCTTGCAGATGCCACAGAAAGAGAGTTTCAAAACTGCGCTCTCAAAAGGAGTGTTCAACTCCGTGAGTTGAATGCAGTCATCACAGAGAAGCTTCTGAGAATGCTTCTATCTAGTATTTAGGTGAAGATATTTCCTTTTCCACCACAAACCACAAAGCCCTCCAAACGTCCACTTGCAGATTCTAGAAAAAGAGTGTTTCATAGCTGCTCTTTCCAAAGGAAAGTTCAACTCTGGGAGTTGAATACAAACATCACCAAAAAGTTCCTGAGAATGCATCTGTCTAGTTTTTCTATGAAGCTATTCCCTTTACTACCATAGGCCTCAAAGCGCTCCAAATCTCCACTTGCACATTCCACAAGAAGAGTGTTTCCAAACTGCTCTATCAATAGGAATGTTCAACTCTGTGAGGTGAATGCAATCATCACAAAGCAGTTTCTGAGAATGCTTCCGTTTAGTTAGGTGCAGTTATCCCGTTTCCAACGAAATCCTCAGAGAGGTCCAAATATCCACTTGTAGATTCTACAAAAAGTGTGTCTCAAACCTGCTCCATCCAAAGGAATGTTCAGCTCTGTGAGTTCAACTCAATCATCACAAAGTATTTTCTGAGAATGCTTCTGTCTAGATTTTATGCGAAGATGTACCCGTTTCGAACGAAGGCCACAGAGTGGTCCAAATATCCACTTGCAGATCCTACAAAAAGAGTGTTTCAAACCTGAACTCTCAAAGGAAGGTTCAACTCTGGGATTTGAATGCAAACATCACGAAGAAGTTTCTGAGAATGCTTCTGTTTAGTTTTTATGTGAAGATATTCCCGTTTCCAAAGACATCTTCGGAGAGGTCCACATATCCGCTTGCAGATTCCACAAAAAGAGAGTTTCAACACTGCTCTATCCATAGGAGGGTTCAACTCTGTGAGTTGAATGCAATCATCACAGAGAAGTTTCTGAGAAGGCTTCTCTCCAGTTTTTATGTGACCATAATTCGTTTTCCACCACAGGCCTGAAAGCGCTCCAAATGTCCACTTGCAGACACTACGAAAAGCATGTTTCAGAACTACTCTATGAAAAGCAATGTGAAACTCTGGGAGTTGAACACAAACATCACAGAGAAGTTTCTGAGAATGCTTCTGTTTAGCTTTTCTGTGAAGATTCTCCCGTTTCCAACGAAATCTTCAAAGAGGTCCAAATATCCACTTGCAGATTCCACAGAAAGAGTGATTGGAAACTGCTCTTTGAAAAGGAACCTTCAACTCTGTGACTTGTATGCAATCATCACAAAGAAGTTTCTGACAATGCTTCTATCTAGCTTTTACGGGAAGATAATTCCTTTTCCACCACAGGCCTCAAAGCCCTCCAAATGTCCACTTGCAGATTCTGGAAAAAGAGTGTTTCAAAGCTTCTCTCTCGAAAGGAAAGTTCAACTCTGTGAGTTGAATGCAAGCATCACAAAGAAGTTTCTGAGAATGCTACTGTCTAGCTTTTATATGAAGCTATTTCCTTTACTACCATAGGCCTCAAAGCGGTCCATATCTCCACTTGCAGATTCTACACAAAGAGAGTTTCCAAACTGCTCTGTCAAAGGGAATGTTCAACTCTGTGACTTGAATGCAATCATCACAAAGTAGTTTCTGAGAATGCTTCTGTTTAGTTCTGTGCGGTTTATCCCGTTTCCAACGAAATCCTCAGAGAGGCCCACATATCCACTTGCACCTTCTAGAAATAGTGTGTTTCGAAACTGCTCCATCCAAAGGAATGTTCAGCTCTGTGATTTAAACTCAGTCGTCACCAAGAGTTTTCTGTGAATGCTTCTGTTTTAGTTCTGTGCGGGTTATCCCGTTTCCAACGAAATCCTCAGAGAGGTCCAAA
The DNA here is from genome assembly GCF_000001405.40 of Homo sapiens. NCBI lineage: Eukaryota > Metazoa > Chordata > Mammalia > Primates > Hominidae > Homo > Homo sapiens. The sequence goes on along the minus strand of NC_000017.11, from coordinate 24,816,616 downwards.
TATCTACTTGCAGTTTCTACAGAAAGACCGTTTCAAACCTGAACTATCAAAGAAAGGTTCAACACTGTGAGTTGAATGCAAACATCACGAAGAAGGTTCTGAGAATGCTTCTGTTTAGTTCTGTGCAGTTTATCCCGTTTCCAACGAAATGCTCAGAGAGGACCAAATATCCACTTGCAGTTTCTACAAAAAGAGTGTTTCAAAGCTGAACTATCAAAGAAAGGTTCAGCACTGTGAGTTGAATGCAAACATCACGAAGAGGGTTCTGAGAATGCTTCTGTCTTCTTTTTATAGGAAGTTATTTCCTTTACTACGGTACTCCTCAAAGAGTGCAATTATCCCCTTGCAGTTTCTACAAAAAGAGTGTTTCAAACCTGAACTATCAAAGAAAGGTTCCACACTGTGAGTTGAATGCAGACATCACGAAGAAGGTTCTGAGAATGCTTCTGTTTAGTCAGCTGAAATTATCCCGTTTCCAACGAATTCCTCACAGAGGTCCAAATATGCACTTGCAGATTCTGCAGAAAGTGTGTTTCTAAACTGCTACATCGCAAGGAATGCTCAGCTCTGTGAGTTCAACTCAATCATCCCAAAGAATTTTCTGAGAAAGCTTCTGTCTAGATGTCATGTGAAGATATACCCGTTTCGAACGAAGGACACAGAGTGGTCCAAATATCCACTTGTAGATCCTGCAAAAAGAGTGTTTCAAACGTGAACTTTGAAAGGAAAGTTCAACTCGGGGATTTGAATGCAAACATCACAAAGAAGATTCTGAGACTGCTTCTGTATAGTTTTTATGTGAAGATGATTCCGTTTCCAACGAAATCTTCAAAGAGGTCTACATGTCCCCTTGCAGATGCCACAGAAAGAGAGTTTCAAAACTGCGCTCTCAAAAGGAGTGTTCAACTCCGTGAGTTGAATGCAGTCATCACAGAGAAGCTTCTGAGGATGCTTCTATCTAGTATTTAGGTGAAGATATTTCCTTTTCCACCACAAACCACAAAGCCCTCCAAACGTCCACTAGCAGATTCTAGAAAAAGAGTGTTTCATAGCTGCTCTTTCCAAAGGAAAGTTCAACTCTGGGAGTTGAATACAAACATCACCAAAAAGTTCCTGAGAATGCATCTGTCTAGTTTTTCTATGAAGCTATTCCCTTTACTACCATAGGCCTCAAAATGCTCCAAGTCTCCACTTGCACATTCCACAACAAGAGTGTTTCCAAACTGCTCTATCAATAGGAATGTTCAACTCTGTGAGGTGAATGCAATCATCACAAAGCAGTTTCTGAGAATGCTTCCGTTTAATTAGGTGCAGTTATCGCGTTTCCAACGAAATCCTCAGAGAGGTCCAAATATCCACTTGTAGTTTCTACAAAAAGTGTGTCTCAAACCTGCTCCATCCAAAGGAATGTTCAGCTCTGTGAGTTAAACTCAATCATCACAAAGTATTTTCTGAGAATGCTTCTGTCTAGATTTTATGCGAAGATGTACCCGTTTTGAACGAAGGCCACAGAATGGTCCAAATATCCACTTGCAGATCGTACAAAAAGAGTGTTTCAAACCTGAACTATCAAAGGAAGGTTCAACTCTGGGATTTGAATGCAAACATCACCAAGAAGTTTCTGAGAATGCTTCTGTTTAGTTTTTATGTGAAGATATTCCCGTTTCCAAAGACATCTTCGGAGAGGTCCACATATCCACTTGCAGATTCCACAAAAAGAGAGTTTCAACAATGCTCTATCCATAGGAGGGTTCAACTCTGTGAGTTGAATGCAATCATCACAGAGAAGTTTCTGAGAAGGCTTCTCTCCAGTTTTTATGGGACCATAATTCGTTTTCCACCACAGGCCTGAAAGCGCTCCAAATGTCCACTTGCAGACACTACGAAAAGCATGTTTCAGAACTACTCTATGAAAAGCAATGTGAAACTCTGGGAGTTGAACACAAACATCACAGAGAAGTTTCTGAGAATGCTTCTGTTTAGCTTTTCTGTGAAGATTCTCCCGTTTCCAACGAAATCTTCAAAGAGGTCCAAATATCCACTTGCAGATTCCACAGAAAGAGTGTTTGGAAACTGCTGTTTGTAAAGGAATCTTCATCTCTGTGAGTTGAATGCAATCATCACAAAGAAGTTTCTGACAATGCTTCTATCTAGCTTTTACGGGAAGTTAATTCCTTTTCCACCACAGGCCTCAAAGCCCTCCAAATGTCCACTTGCAGATTCTGGAAAAAGAGTGTTTCAAAGCTTCTCTCTCGAAAGGAAAGTTCAACTCTGTGAGTTGAATGCAAGCATCACAAAGAAGTTTCTGAGAATGCTACTGTCTAGCTTTCATATGAAGCTATTACCTTTACTACCATAGGCCTCAAAGCGGTCCATATCTCCACTTGCAGATTCTACACAAAGAGAGTTTCCAAACTGCTCTGTCAAAGGGAATGTTCAACTCTGTGACTTGAATGCAATCGTCACAAAGTAGTTTCTGAGAATGCTTCTGTTTAGTTCTGTGCGGTTTATCCCGTTTCCAACGAAATCCTCAGAGAGGCCCAAATATCCACTTGCACATTCTACAAATAGTGTGTTTCGAAACTGCTCCATCCAAAGGAATGTTCAGCTCTGTGAGTTAAACTCAGTCGTCACCAAGAGTTTTCTGTGAATGCTTCCGTTTAGTTAGGTGCAGTTATCCCGTTTCCAACGAAATCCTCAGAGAGGTCCAAATGTCTACTTGCAGTTTCTACAGAAAGACCGTTTCAAACCTGAACTATCAAAGAAAGGTTCAACACTGTGAGTTGAATGCAAACATCATGAAGAAGGTTCTGAGAATGCTTCTGTCTAGATTTTATGCGAAGATATACCCGTTTCGAACGAAGGCCACAGAGTGGTCCAAATATCCACTTGCAGATCCTACAAAAAGAGTGTTTCAAACCTGAACTATCAAAGGAAGGTTCAACTCTGGGATTTGAATGCAAACATCACCAAGAAGTTTCTGAGAATGCTTCTGTTTAGTTTTTATGTGAAGATATTCCCGTTTCCAAAGACATCTTCGGAGAGGTCCACATATCCACTTGCAGATTCCACAAAAAGAGAGTTTCAACACTGCTCTATCCATAGGAGGGTTCAACTCTGTGAGTTGAATGCAATCATCACAGAGAAGTTTCTGAGAAGGCTTCTCTCCAGTTTTTATGTGACCATAATTCGTTTTCCACCACAGGCCTGAAAGCGCTCCAAATGTCCACTTGTAGACACTACGAAAAGCATGTTTCAGAACTACTCTATGAAAAGCAATGTGAAACTCTGGGAGTTGAACACAAACATCACAGAGAAGTTTCTGAGAATGCTTCTGTTTAGCTTTCCTGTGAAGATTCTCCCGTTTCCAACGAAATCTTCAAAATAGGTCCAAATATCCACTTGCAGATTCCACAGAAAGAGTGATTGGAAACTGCTCTTTGAAAAGGAACCTTCAACTCTGTGAGTTGAATGCAATCATCACAAAGAAGTTTCTGACAATGCTTCTATCTAGCTTTTACGGGAAGATAATTCCTTTTCCACCACAGGCCTCAAAGCCCTCCAAATGTCCACTTGCAGATTCTGGAAAAAGAGTGTTTCAAAGCTTCTCTCTCGAAAGGAAAGTTCAACTCTGTGAGTTGAATGCAAGCATCACAAAGAAGTTTCTGAGAATGCTACTGTCTAGCTTTTATATGAAGCTATTTCCTTTACTACCATAGGCCTCAAAGCGGTCCATATCTCCACTTGCAGATTCTACACAAAGAGAGTTTCCAAACTGCTCTGTCAAAGGGAATGTTCAACTCTGTGACTTGAATGCAATCATCACAAAGTAGTTTCTGAGAATGCTTCTGTTTAGTTCTGTGCGGTTTATCCCGTTTCCAACGAAATCCTCAGAGAGGCCCAAATATCCACTTGCACATTCTACAAATAGTGTGTTTCGAAACTGCTCCATCCAAAGGAATGTTCAGCTCTGTGAGTTAAACTCAGTCGTCACCAAGAGTTTTCTGTGAATGCTTCTGTTTTAGTTCTGTGCGGTTTATCCCGTTTCCAACGAAATCCTCAGAGAGGTCCAAATATCTACTTGCAGTTTCTACAGAAAGACCGTTTCCAACCTGAACTATCAAAGAAAGGTTCAACACTGTGAGTTGAATGCAAACATCACGAAGAAGGTTCTGAGAATGCTTCTGTTTAGTTCTGTGCGGTTTATCCCGTTTCCAACGAAATCCTCAGAGAGGACCAAATATCCACTTGCAGTTTCTACAAGAAGAGTGTTTCAAAGCTGAACTATCAAAGAAAGGTTCAGCACTGTGAGTTGAATGCAAACATCACGAAGAGGGTTCTGAGAATGCTTCTGTCTTCTTTCTATAGGAAGTTATTTCCTTTACTACGGTAGGCCTCAAAGAAGTGCAATTATCCCCTTGCAGTTTCTACAAAAAGAGTGTTTCAAACCTGAACTATCAAAGAAAGGTTCCACACTGTGAGTTGAATGCAGACATCACGAAGAAGGTTCTGAGAATGCTTCTGTTTAGTCAGCTGAAATTATCCCGTTTCCAACGAATTCCTCAGAGAGGTCCAAATATGCACTTGCAGATTCTGCAGAAAGTGTGTTTCTAAACTGCTACATCGCAAGGAATGTTCAGCTCTGTGAGTTCCACTCAATCATCCCAAAGAATTTTCTGAGAAAGCTTCTGTCTAGATGTCATGTGAAGATATACCCGTTTCGAACGAAGGACACAGAGTGGTCCAAATATCCACTTGTAGATCGTGCAAAAAGAGTGTTTCAAACGTGAACTTTGAAAGGAAAGTTCAACTCTGGGATTTGAATGCAAACATCACAAAGAAGATTCTGAGACTGCTTCTGTATAGTTTTTATGTGAAGATGATTCCGTTTCCAACGAAATCTTCAAAGAGGTCTACATGTCCCCTTGCAGATGCCACAGAAAGAGAGTTTCAAAACTGCGCTCTCAAAAGGAGTGTTCAACTCCGTGAGTTGAATGCAGTCATCACAGAGAAGCTTCTGAGAATGCTTCTATCTAGTATTTAGGTGAAGATATTTCCTTTTCCACCACAAACCACAAAGCCCTCCAAACGTCCACTTGCAGATTCTAGAAAAAGAGTGTTTCATAGCTGCTCTTTCCAAAGGAAAGTTCAACTCTGGGAGTTGAATACAAACATCACCAAAAAGTTCCTGAGAATGCATCTGTCTAGTTTTTCTATGAAGCTATTCCCTTTACTACCATAGGCCTCAAAGCGCTCCAAATCTCCACTTGCACATTCCACAACAAGAGTGTTTCCAAACTGCTCTATCAATAGGAATGTTCAACTCTGTGAGGTGAATACAATCATCACAAAGCAGTTTCTGAGAATGCTTCCGTTTAGTTAGGTGCAGTTATCCCGTTTCCAACGAAATCCTCAGAGAGGTCCAAATATCCACTTGTAGATTCTACAAAAAGTGTGTCTCAAACCTGCTCCATCCAAAGGAATGGTCAGCTCTGTGATTTAAACTCAATCATCACAAAGTATTTTCTGAGAATGCTTCTGTCTAGATTTTATGCGAAGATATACCCGTTTCGAACGAAGGCCACAGAGTGGTCCAAATAGCCACTTGCAGATCCTACAGAAAGAGTGTTTCAAACCTGAACTATCAAAGGAAGGTTCAACTCTGGGATTTGAATGCAAACATCACCAAGAAGTTTCTGAGAATGCTTCTGTTTAGTTTTTATGTGAAGATATTCCCGTTTCCAAAGACATCTTCGGAGAGGTCCACATATCCACTTGCAGATTCCACAAAAAGAGAGTTTCAACACTGCTCTATCCATAGGAGGGTTCAACTCTGTGAGTTGAATGCAATCATCACAGAGAAGTTTCTGAGAAGGCTTCTCTCCAGTTTTTATGTGACCATAATTCGTTTTCCACCACAGGCCTGAAAGCGCTCCAAATGTCCACTTGCAGACACTACGAAAAGCATGTTTCAGAACTACTCTATGAAAAGCAACGTGAAACTCTGGGAGTTGAACACAAACATCACAGAGAAGTTTCTGAGAATGCTTCTGTTTAGCTTTTCTGTGAAGATTCTCCCGTTTCCAACGAAATCTTCAAAGAGGTCGAAATATCCACTTGCAGATTCCACAGAAAGAGTGATTGGAAACTGCTGTTTGAAAAGGAACCTTCAACTCTGTGAGTTGAATGCAATCATCTCAAAGAAGTTTCTGACAATGCTTCTATCTAGCTTTTACGGGAAGATAATTCCTTTTCCTCCACAGGCCTCAAAGCTCCCCAAATGTCCACTTGCACATTCTGGAAAAAGAGTGTTTCAAAGCTTCTCTCTCGAAAGGAAAGTTCAACTCTGTGAGTTGAATGCAAGCATCACAAAGAAGTTTCTGAGAATGCTACTGTCTAGCTTTTATATGAAGCTATTTCCTTTACTACCATAGGCCTCAAAGCGGTCCATATCTCCACTTGCAGATTCTACACAAAGAGAGTTTCCAAACTGCTCTGTCAAAGGGAATGTTCAACTCTGTGACTTGAATGCAATCATCACAAAGTAGTTTCTGAGAATGCTTCTGTTTTAATTCTGTGCGTTTTATCCCGTTTCCAAGGAAATCCTCAGAGAGGCCCAAATATCCACTTGCAGATTCTACAAATAGTGTGTTTCGAAACTGCTCCATCCAAAGGAATGTTCAGCTCTGTGAGTTAAACTCAGTCGTCACCAAGAGTTTTCTGTGAATGCTTCTGTTTTAGTTCTGTGCGGTTTATCCCGTTTCCAACGAAATCCTCAGAGAGGACCAAATATCCACTTGCAGTTTCTACAAAAAGAGTGTTTCAAAGCTGCACTATCAAAGAAAGGTTCAGCACTGTGAGTTGAATGCAAACATCACGAAGAGGGCTCTGAGAATTCTTCTGTTTAGTTCTGTGCGGTTTATCCCGTTTCCAACGAAATCCTCAGAGAGGACCAAATATCCACTTGCAGTTTCTACAAGAAGAGTGTTTCAAAGCTGAACTATCAAAGAAAGGTTCAGCACTGTGAGTTGAATGCAAACATCACGAAGAGGGTTCTGAGAATGCTTCTGTCTTCTTTCTATAGGAAGTTATTTCCTTTACTACGGTAGGCCTCAAAGAAGTGCAATTATCCCCTTGCAGTTTCTACAAAAAGAGTGTTTCAAACCTGAACTATCAAAGAAAGGTTCCACACTGTGAGTTGAATGCAGACATCACGAAGAAGGTTCTGAGAATGCTTCTGTTTAGTCAGCTGAAATTATCCCGTTTCCAACGAATTCCTCAGAGAGGTCCAAATATGCACTTGCAGATTCTGCAGAAAGTGTGTTTCTAAACTGCTACATCGCAAGGAATGTTCAGCTCTGTGAGTTCCACTCAATCATCCCAAAGAATTTTCTGAGAAAGCTTCTGTCTAGATGTCGTGTGAAGATATACCCGTTTCGAACGAAGGACACAGAGTGGTCCAAATATCCACTTGTAGATCCTGCAAAAAGAGTGTTTCAAACGTGAACTTTGAAAGGAAAGTTCAACTCTGGGATTTGAATGCAAACATCACAAAGAAGATTCTGAGACTGCTCTGTGTAGTTTTTATGTGAAGATGATTCCGTTTCCAACGAAATCTTCAAAGAGGTCTACATGTCCCCTTGCAGATGCCACAGAAAGAGAGTTTCAAAACTGCGCTCTCAAAAGGAGTGTTCAACTCCGTGAGTTGAATGCAGTAATCACAGAGAAGCTTCTGAGGATGCTTTCTATCTAGTATTTAGGTGAAGATATTTCCTTTTCCACCACAAACCACAAAGCCCTCCAAACGTCCACTTGCAGATTCTAGAAAAAGAGTGTTTCATAGCTGCTCTTTCCAAAGGAAAGTTCAACTCTGGGAGTTGAATACAAACATCACCAAAAAGTTCCTGAGAATGCATCTGTCTAGTTTTTCTATGAAGCTATTCCCTTTACTAACATAGGCCTCAAAGCGCTCCAAATCTCCACTTGCACATTCCACAACAAGAGTGTTTCCAAACTGCTCTATCAATAGGAATGTTCAACTCTGTGAGGTGAATGCAATCATCACAAAGCAGTTTCTGAGAATGCTTCCGTTTAGTTAGGTGCAGTTATCCCGTTTCCAACGAAATCCTCAGAGAGGTCCAAATATCCACTTGTAGATTCTACAAAAAGTGTGTCTCAAACCTGCTCCATCCAAAGGAATGGTCAGCTCTGTGATTTAAACTCAATCATCACAAAGTATTTTCTGAGAATGCTTCTGTCTAGATTTTATGCGAAGATATACCCGTTTCGAACGAAGGCCACAGAGTGGTCCAAATAGCCACTTGCAGATCCTACAGAAAGAGTGTTTCAAACCTGAACTATCAAAGGAAGGTTCAACTCTGGGATTTGAATGCAAACATCACCAAGAAGTTTCTGAGAATGCTTCTGTTTAGTTTTTATGTGAAGATATTCCCGTTTCCAAAGACATCTTCGGAGAGGTCCACATATCCACTTGCAGATTCCACAAAAAGAGAGTTTCAACACTGCTCTATCCATAGGAGGGTTCAACTCTGTGAGTTGAATGCAATCATCACAGAGAAGTTTCTGAGAAGGCTTCTCTCCAGTTTTTATGTGACCATAATTCGTTTTCCACCACAGGCCTGAAAGCGCTCCAAATGTCCACTTGCAGACACTACGAAAAGCATGTTTCAGAACTACTCTATGAAAAGCAACGTGAAACTCTGGGAGTTGAACACAAACATCACAGAGAAGTTTCTGAGAATGCTTCTGTTTTAGTTCTGTGCGTTTTATCCCGTTTCCAACGAAATCCTCAGAGAGGCCCAAATATCCACTTGCAGATTCCACAGAAAGAGTGATTGGAAACTGCTGTTTGAAAAGGAACCTTCAACTACTGTGAGTTGAATGCAATCATCACAAAGAAGTTTCTGACAATGCTTCTGTTTTAGTTCTGTGCGGTTTATCCCGTTTCCAACGAAATCCTCAGAGAGGACCAAACATCCACTTGCAGTTTCTACAAAAAGAGTGTTTCAAAGCTGCACTATCAAAGAAAGGTTCAGCACTGTGAGTTGAATGCAAACATCACGAAGAGGGCTCTGAGAATTCTTCTGTTTAGTTCTGTGCGGTTTATCCCGTTTCCAACGAAATCCTCAGAGAGGACCAAATATCCACTTGCAGTTTCTACAAGAAGAGTGTTTCAAAGCTGAACTATCAAAGAAAGGTTCAGCACTGTGAGTTGAATGCAAACATCACGAAGAGGGTTCTGAGAATGCTTCTGTCTTCTTTCTATAGGAAGTTATTTCCTTTACTACGGTAGGCCTCAAAGAAGTGAAATTATCCCCTTGCAGTTTCTACAAAAAGAGTGTTTCAAACCTGAACTATCAAAGAAAGGTTCCACACTGTGAGTTGAATGCAGACATCACGAAGAAGGTTCTGAGAATGCTTCTGTTTAGTCAGCTGAAATTATCCCGTTTCCAACGAATTCCTCAGAGAGGTCCAAATATGCACTTGCAGATTCTGCAGAAAGTGTGTTTCTAAACTGCTACATCGCAAGGAATGTTCAGCTCTGTGAGTTCCACTCAATCATCCCAAAGAATTTTGCTGAGAAAGCTTCTGTCTAGATGTCGTGTGAAGATATACCCGTTTCGAACGAAGGACACAGAGTGGTCCAAATATCCACTTGTAGATCCTGCAAAAAGAGTGTTTCAAACGTGAACTTTGAAAGGAAAGTTCAACTCTGGGATTTGAATGCAAACATCACAAAGAAGATTCTGAGACTGCTTCTGTATAGTTTTTATGTGAAGATGATTCCGTTTCCAACGAAATCTTCAAAGAGGTCTACATGTCCCCTTGCAGATGCCACAGAAAGAGAGTTTCAAAACTGCGCTCTCAAAAGGAGTGTTCAACTCCGTGAGTTGAATGCAGTCATCACAGAGAAGCTTCTGAGAATGCTTCTGTCTAGTATTTAGGTGAAGATATTTCCTTTTCCACCACAAACCACAAAGCCCTCCAAACGTCCACTTGCAGATTCTAGAAAAAGAGTGTTTCATAGCTGCTCTTTCCAAAGGAAAGTTCAACTCTGGGAGTTGAATACAAACATCACCAAAAAGTTCCTGAGAATGCATCTGTCTAGTTTTTCTATGAAGCTATTCCCTTTACTACCATAGGCCTCAAAGCGCTCCAAATCTCCACTTGCACATTCCACAACAAGAGTGTTTCCAAACTGCTCTATCAATAGGAATTTTCAACTCTGTGAGGTGAATGCAATCATCACAAAGCAGTTTCTGAGAATGCTTCCGTTTAGTTAGGTGCAGTTATCCCGTTTCCAACGAAATCCTCAGAGAGGTCCAAATATCCACTTGTAGATTCTACAAAAAGTGTGTCTCAAACCTGCTCCATCCAAAGGAATGGTCAGCTCTGTGATTTAAACTCAATCATCACAAAGTATTTTCTGAGAATGCTTCTGTCTAGATTTTATGCGAAGATATACCCGTTTCGAACGAAGGCCACAGAGTGGTCCAAATAGCCACTTGCAGATCCTACAGAAAGAGTGTTTCAAACCTGAACTATCAAAGGAAGGTTCAACTCTGGGATTTGAATGCAAACATCACCAAGAAGTTTCTGAGAATGCTTCTGTTTAGTTTTTATGTGAAGATATTCCCGTTTCCAAAGACATCTTCGGAGAGGTCCACATATCCACTTGCAGATTCCACAAAAAGAGAGTTTCAACACTGCTCTATCCATAGGAGGGTTCAACTCTGTGAGTTGAATGCAATAATCACAGAGAAGTTTCTGAGAAGGCTTCTCTCCAGTTTTTATGTGACCATAATTCGTTTTCCACCACAGGCCTGAAAGCGCTCCAAATGTCCACTTGCAGACACTACGAAAAGCATGTTTCAGAACTACTCTATGAAAAGCAACGTGAAACTCTGGGAGTTGAACACAAACATCACAGAGAAGTTTCTGAGAATGCTTCTGTTTTAGTTCTGTGCGTTTTATCCCGTTTCCAACGAAATCCTCAGAGAGGCCCAAATATCCACTTGCAGATTCCACAGAAAGAGTGATTGGAAACTGCTGTTTGAAAAGGAACCTTCAACTCTGTGAGTTGAATGCAATCATCACAAAGAAGTTTCTGACAATGCTTCTGTTTAGTTCTGTGCGGTTTATCCCGTTTCCAACGAAATCCTCAGAGAGGACCAAATATCCACTTGCAGTTTCTACAAGAAGAGTGTTTCAAAGCTGAACTATCAAAGAAAGGTTCAGCACTGTGAGTTGAATGCAAACATCACGAAGAGGGTTCTGAGAATGCTTCTGTCTTCTTTCTATAGGAAGTTATTTCCTTTACTACGGTAGGCCTCAAAGAAGTGCAATTATCCCCTTGCAGTTTCTACAAAAAGAGTGTTTCAAACCTGAACTATCAAAGAAAGGTTCCACACTGTGAGTTGAATGCAGACATCACGAAGAAGGTTCTGAGAATGCTTCTGTTTAGTCAGCTGAAATTATCCCGTTTCCAACGAATTCCTCAGAGAGGTCCAAATATGCACTTGCAGATTCTGCAGAAAGTGTGTTTCTAAACTGCTCCATCGCAAGGAATGTTCAGCTCTGTGAGTTCCACTCAATCATCCCAAAGAATTTTCTGAGAAAGCTTCTGTCTAGATGTCGTGTGAAGATATACCCGTTTCGAACGAAGGACACAGAGTGGTCCAAATATCCACTTGTAGATCCTGCAAAAAGAGTGTTTCAAACGTGAACTTTGAAAGGAAAGTTCAACTCTGGGATTTGAATGCAAACATCACAAAGAAGATTCTGAGACTGCTTCTGTATAGTTTTTATGTGAAGATGATTCCGTTTCCAACGAAATCTTCAAAGAGGTCTACATGTCCCCTTGCAGATGCCACAGAAAGAGAGTTTCAAAACTGCGCTCTCAAAAGGAGTGTTCAACTCCGTGAGTTGAATGCAGTCATCACAGAGAAGCTTCTGAGAATGCTTCTATCTAGTATTTAGGTGAAGATATTTCCTTTTCCACCACAAACCACAAAGCCCTCCAAACGTCCACTTGCAGATTCTAGAAAAAGAGTGTTTCATAGCTGCTCTTTCCAAAGGAAAGTTCAACTCTGGGAGTTGAATACAAACATCACCAAAAGGTTCCTGAGAATGCATCTGTCTAGTTTTTCTATGAAGCTATTCCCTTTACTACCATAGGCCTCAAAGCGCTCCAAATCTCCACTTGCACATTCCACAACAAGAGTGTTTCCAAACTGCTCTATCAATAGGAATGTTCAACTCTGTGAGGTGAATGCAATCATCACAAAGCAGTTTCTGAGAATGCTTCCGTTTAGTTAGGTGCAGTTATCCCGTTTCCAACGAAATCCTCAGAGAGGTCCAAATATCCACTTGTAGATTCTACAAAAAGTGTGTCTCAAACCTGCTCCATCCAAAGGAATGGTCAGCTCTGTGATTTAAACTCAATCATCACAAAGTATTTTCTGAGAATGCTTCTGTCTAGATTTTATGCGAAGATATACCCGTTTCGAACGAAGGCCACAGAGTGGTCCAAATAGCCACTTGCAGATCCTACAGAAAGAGTGTTTCAAACCTGAACTATCAAAGGAAGGTTCAACTCTGGGATTTGAATGCAAACATCACCAAGAAGTTTCTGAGAATGCTTCTGTTTAGTTTTTATGTGAAGATATTCCCGTTTCCAAAGACATCTTCGGAGAGGTCCACATATCCACTTGCAGATTCCACAAAAAGAGAGTTTCAACACTGCTCTATCCATAGGAGGGTTCAACTCTGTGAGTTGAATGCAATCATCACAGAGAAGTTTCTGAGAAGGCTTCTCTCCAGTTTTTATGTGACCATAATTCGTTTTCCACCACAGGCCTGAAAGCGCTCCAAATGTCCACTTGCAGACACTACGAAAAGCATGTTTCAGAACTACTCTATGAAAAGCAACGTGAAACTCTGGGAGTTGAACACAAACATCACAGAGAAGTTTCTGAGAATGCTTCTGTTTTAGTTCTGTGCGTTTTATCCCGTTTCCAACGAAATCCTCAGAGAGGCCCAAATATCCACTTGCAGATTCCACAGAAAGAGTGATTGGAAACTGCTGTTTGAAAAGGAACCTTCAACTCTGTGAGTTGAATGCAATCATCACAAAGAAGTTTCTGACAATGCTTCTGTTTTAGTTCTGTGCGGTTTATCCCGTTTCCAACGAAATCCTCAGAGAGGACCAAACATCCACTTGCAGTTTCTACAAAAAGAGTGTTTCAAAGCTGCACTATCAAAGAAAGGTTCAGCACTGTGAGTTGAATGCAAACATCACGAAGAGGGCTCTGAGAATTCTTCTGTTTAGTTCTGTGCGGTTTATCCCGTTTCCAACGAAATCCTCAGAGAGGACCAAATATCCACTTGCAGTTTCTACAAGAAGAGTGTTTCAAAGCTGAACTATCAAAGAAAGGTTCAGCACTGTGAGTTGAATGCAAACATCACGAAGAGGGTTCTGAGAATGCTTCTGTCTTCTTTCTATAGGAAGTTATTTCCTTTACTACGGTAGGCCTCAAAGAAGTGCAATTATCCCCTTGCAGTTTCTACAAAAAGAGTGTTTCAAACCTGAACTATCAAAGAAAGGTTCCACACTGTGAGTTGAATGCAGACATCACGAAGAAGGTTCTGAGAATGCTTCTGTTTAGTCAGCTGAAATTATCCCGTTTCCAACGAATTCCTCAGAGAGGTCCAAATATGCACTTGCAGATTCTGCAGAAAGTGTGTTTCTAAACTGCTACATCGCAAGGAATGTTCAGCTCTGTGAGTTCCACTCAATCATCCCAAAGAATTTTCTGAGAAAGCTTCTGTCTAGATGTCGTGTGAAGATATACCCGTTTCGAACGAAGGACACAGAGTGGTCCAAATATCCACTTGTAGATCCTGCAAAAAGAGTGTTTCAAACGTGAACTTTGAAAGGAAAGTTCAACTCTGGGATTTGAATGCAAACATCACAAAGAAGATTCTGAGACTGCTTCTGTATAGTTTTTATGTGAAGATGATTCCGTTTCCAACGAAATCTTCAAAGAGGTCTACATGTCCCCTTGCAGATGCCACAGAAAGAGAGTTTCAAAACTGCGCTCTCAAAAGGAGTGTTCAACTCCGTGAGTTGAATGCAGTCATCACAGAGAAGCTTCTGAGAATGCTTCTGTCTAGTATTTAGGTGAAGATATTTCCTTTTCCACCACAAACCACAAAGCCCTCCAAACGTCCACTTGCAGATTCTAGAAAAAGTGTGTTTCATAGCTGCTCTTTCCAAAGGAAAGTTCAACTCTGGGAGTTGAATACAAACATCACCAAAAAGTTCCTGAGAATGCATCTGTCTAGTTTTTCTATGAAGCTATTCCCTTTACTACCATAGGCCTCAAAGCGCTCCAAATCTCCACTTGCACATTCCACAACAAGAGTGTTTCCAAACTGCTCTATCAATAGGAATGTTCAACTCTGTGAGGTGAATGCAATCATCACAAAGCAGTTTCTGAGAATGCTTCCGTTTAGTTAGGTGCAGTTATCCCGTTTCCAACGAAATCCTCAGAGAGGTCCAAATATCCACTTGTAGATTCTACAAAAAGTGTGTCTCAAACCTGCTCCATCCAAAGGAATGTTCAGCTCTGTGATTTAAACTCAATCATCACAAAGTATTTTCTGAGAATGCTTCTGTCTAGATTTTATGCGAAGATATACCCGTTTCGAACGAAGGCCACAGAGTGGTCCAAATAGCCACTTGCAGATCCTACAAAAAGAGTGTTTCAAACCTGAACTATCAAAGGAAGGTTCAACTCTGGGATTTGAATGCAAACATCACCAAGAAGTTTCTGAGAATGCTTCTGTTTAGTTTTTATGTGAAGATATTCCCGTTTCCAAAGACATCTTCGGAGAGGTCCACATATCCACTTGCAGATTCCACAAAAAGAGAGTTTCAACACTGCTCTATCCATAGGAGGGTTCAACTCTGTGAGTTGAATGCAATCATCACAGAGAAGTTTCTGAGAAGGCTTCTCTCCAGTTTTTATGTGACCATAATTCGTTTTCCACCACAGGCCTGAAAGCGCTCCAAATGTCCACTTGCAGACACTACGAAAAGCATGTTTCAGAACTACTCTATGAAAAGCAACGTGAAACTCTGGGAGTTGAACACAAACATCACAGAGAAGTTTCTGAGAATGCTTCTGTTTAGCTTTCCTGTGATGATTCTCCCGTTTCCAACGAAATCTTCAAAATAGGTCCAAATATCCACTTGCAGATTCCACAGAAAGAGTGATTGGAAACTGCTCTTTGAAAAGGAACCTTCAACTCTGTGAGTTGAATGCAATCATCACAAAGAAGTTTCTGACAATGCTTCTATCTAGCTTTTACGGGAAGATAATTCCTTTTCCACCACAGACCTCAAAGCCCTCCAAATGTCCACTTGCAGATTCTGGAAAAAGAGTGTTTCAAAGCTTCTCTCTCGAAAGGAAAGTTCAACTCAGTGAGTTGAATGCAAGCATCACAAAGAAGTTTCTGAGAATGCTACTGTCTAGCTTTTATATGAAGCTATTTCCTTTACTACCATAGTCCTCAAATCATTCCATATCTCCACTTGCAGATTCTACACAAAGAGAGTTTCCAAACTGCTCTGTCAAAGGGAATGTTCAACTCTGTGACTTGAATGCAATCATCACAAAGTAGTTTCTGAGAATGCTTCTGTTTAGTTCTGTGCGGTTTATCCCGTTTCCAACGAAATCCTCAGAGAGGCCCACATATCCACTTGCACCTTCTAGAAATAGTGTGTTTCGAAACTGCTCCATCCAAAGGAATGTTCAGCTCTGTGAGTTAAACTCAGTCGTCACCAAGAGTTTTCTGTGAATGCTTCTGTTTTAGTTCTGTGCGGTTTATCCCGTTTCCAACGAAATCCTCAGAGAGGTCCAAATATCTACTTGCAGTTTCTACAGAAAGACCGTTTCAAACCTGAACTATCAAAGGAAGGTTCAACACTGTGAGTTGAATGCAAACATCACGAAGAAGGTTCTGAGAATGCTTCCGTTTAGTTCTGTGCGGTTTATCCCGTTTCCAACGAAATCCTCAGAGAGGACAAAATATTCACTTGCAGTTTCTACAAGAAGAGTGTTTCAAAGCTGAACTATCAAAGAAAGGTTCAGCACTGTGAGTTGAATGCAAACATCACGAAGAGGGTTCTGAGAATGCTTTTGTCTTCTTTCTATAGGAAGTTATTTCCTTTACTACGGTAGGCCTCAAAGAAGTGCAATTATCCCCTTGCAGTTTCTACAAAAAGAGTGTTTCAAAGCTGAACTATCAAAGAAAGGTTCCACACTGTGAGTTGAATGCAGACATCACGAAGAAGGTTCTGAGAATGCTTCTGTTTAGTCAGCTGAAATTATCCCGTTTCCAACGAATTCCTCAGAGAGGTCCAAATATGCACTTGCAGATTCTGCAGAAAGTGTGTTTCTAAACTGCTACATCGCAAGGAATGTTCAGCTCTGTGAGTTCCACTCAATCATCCCAAAGAATTTTCTGAGAAAGCTTCTGTCTAGATGTCATGTGAAGATATACCCGTTTCGAACGAAGGACACAGAGTGGTCCAAATATCCACTTGTAGATCCTGCAAAAAGAGTGTTTCAAACGTGAACTTTGAAAGGAAAGTTCAACTCTGGGATTTGAATGCAAACATCACAAAGAAGATTCTGAGACTGCTTCTGTATAGTTTTTATGTGAAGATGATTCCGTTTCCAACGAAATCTTCAAAGAGGTCTACATGTCCCCTTGCGAATGCCACAGAAGGAGAGTTTCAAAACTGCGCTCTCAAAAGGAGTGTTCAACTCCGTGAGTTGAATGCAGTCATCACAGAGAAGCTTCTGAGAATGCTTCTCTCTAGTATTTAGGTGAAGATATTTCCTTTTCCACCACAAACCACAAAGCCCTCCAAACGTCCACTTGCAGATTCTAGAAAAAGAGTGCTTCATAGCTGCTCTTTCCAAAGGAAAGTTCAACTCTGGGAGTTGAATACAAACATCACCAAAAAGTTCCTGAGAATGCATTCTGTCTAGTTTTTCTATGAAGCTATTCCCTTTACTACCATAGGCCTCAAAGCGCTCCAAATCTCCACTTGCACATTCCACAACAAGAGTGTTTCCAAACTGCTCTATCAATAGGAATGTTCAACTCTGTGAGGTGAATGCAATCATCACAAAGCAGTTTCTGAGAATGCTTCCGTTTAGTTAGGTGCAGTTATCCCGTTTCCAACGAAATCCTCAGAGAGGTCCAAATATCCACTTGTAGATTCTACAAAAAGTGTGTCTCAAACCTGCTCCATCCAAAGGAATGGTCAGCTCTGTGATTTAAACTCAATCATCACAAAGTATTTTCTGAGAATGCTTCTGTCTAGATTTTATGCGAAGATATACCCGTTTCGAACGAAGGCCACAGAGTGGTCCAAATAGCCACTTGCAGATCCTACAGAAAGAGTGTTTCAAACCTGAACTATCAAAGGAAGGTTCAACTCTGGGATTTGAATGCAAACATCACCAAGAAGTTTCTGAGAATGCTTCTGTTTAGTTTTTATGTGAAGATATTCCCGTTTCCAAAGACATCTTCGGAGAGGTCCACATATCCACTTGCAGATTCCACAAAAAGAGAGTTTCAACACTGCTCTATCCATAGGAGGGTTCAACTCTGTGAGTTGAATGCAATCATCACAGAGAAGTTTCTGAGAAGGCTTCTCTCCAGTTTTTATGTGACCATAATTCGTTTTCCACCACAGGCCTGAAAGCGCTCCAAATGTCCACTTGCAGACACTACGAAAAGCATGTTTCAGAACTACTCTATGAAAAGCAACGTGAAACTCTGGGAGTTGAACACAAACATCACAGAGAAGTTTCTGAGAATGCTTCTGTTTTAGTTCTGTGCGTTTTATCCCGTTTCCAACGAAATCCTCAGAGAGGCCCAAATATCCACTTGCAGATTCCACAGAAAGAGTGATTGGAAACTGCTGTTTGAAAAGGAACCTTCAACTCTGTGAGTTGAATGCAATCATCACAAAGAAGTTTCTGACAATGCTTCTGTTTTAGTTCTGTGCGGTTTATCCCGTTTCCAACGAAATCCTCAGAGAGGACCAAACATCCACTTGCAGTTTCTACAAAAAGAGTGTTTCAAAGCTGCACTATCAAAGAAAGGTTCAGCACTGTGAGTTGAATGCAAACATCACGAAGAGGGCTCTGAGAATTCTTCTGTTTAGTTCTGTGCGGTTTATCCCGTTTCCAACGAAATCCTCAGAGAGGACCAAATATCCACTTGCAGTTTCTACAAGAAGAGTGTTTCAAAGCTGAACTATCAAAGAAAGGTTCAGCACTGTGAGTTGAATGCAAACATCACGAAGAGGGTTCTGAGAATGCTTCTGTCTTCTTTCTATAGGAAGTTATTTCCTTTACTACGGTAGGCCTCAAAGAAGTGCAATTATCCCCTTGCAGTTTCTACAAAAAGAGTGTTTCAAACCTGAACTATCAAAGAAAGGTTCCACACTGTGAGTTGAATGCAGACATCACGAAGAAGGTTCTGAGAATGCTTCTGTTTAGTCAGCTGAAATTATCCCGTTTCCAACGAATTCCTCAGAGAGGTCCAAATATGCACTTGCAGATTCTGCAGAAAGTGTGTTTCTAAACTGCTACATCGCAAGGAATGTTCAGCTCTGTGAGTTCCACTCAATCATCCCAAAGAATTTTCTGAGAAAGCTTCTGTCTAGATGTCGTGTGAAAGATATACCCGTTTCGAACGAAGGACACAGAGTGGTCCAAATATCCACTTGTAGATCCTGCAAAAAGAGTGTTTCAAACGTGAACTTTGAAAGGAAAGTTCAACTCTGGGATTTGAATGCAAACATCACAAAGAAGATTCTGAGACTGCTTCTGTATAGTTTTTATGTGAAGATGATTCCGTTTCCAACGAAATCTTCAAAGAGGTCTACATGTCCCCTTGCAGATGCCACAGAAAGAGAGTTTCAAAACTGCGCTCTCAAAAGGAGTGTTCAACTCCGTGAGTTGAATGCAGTCATCACAGAGAAGCTTCTGAGAATGCTTCTATCTAGTATTTAGGTGAAGATATTTCCTTTTCCACCACAAACCACAAAGCCCTCCAAACGTCCACTTGCAGATTCTAGAAAAAGAGTGTTTCATAGCTGCTCTTTCCAAAGGAAAGTTCAACTCTGGGAGTTGAATACAAACATCACCAAAAAGTTCCTGAGAATGCATCTGTCTAGTTTTTCTATGAAGCTATTCCCTTTACTACCATAGGCCTCAAAACGCTCCAAGTCTCCACTTGCACATTCCACAACAAGAGTGTTTCCAAACTGCTCTATCAATAGGAATGTTCAACTCTGTGAGGTGAATGCAATCATCACAAAGCAGTTTCTGAGAATGCTTCCGTTTAATTAGGTGCAGTTATCGCGTTTCCAACGAAATCCTCAGAGAGGTCCAAATATCCACTTGTAGTTTCTACAAAAAGTGTGTCTCAAACCTGCTCCATCCAAAGGAATGTTCAGCTCTGTGAGTTAAACTCAATCATCACAAAGTATTTTCTGAGAATGCTTCTGTCTAGATTTTATGCGAAGATATACCCGTTTCGAACGAAGGCCACAGAGTGGTCCAAATATCCACTTGCAGATCCTACAAAAAGAGTGTTTCAAACCTGAACTATCAAAGGAAGGTTCAACTCTGGGATTTGAATGCAAACATCACCAAGAAGTTTCTGAGAATGCTTCTGTTTAGTTTTTATGTGAAGATATTCCCGTTTCCAAAGACATCTTCGGAGAGGTCCACATATCCACTTGCAGATTCCACAAAAAGAGAGTTTCAACAATGCTCTATCCATAGGAGGGTTCAACTCTGTGAGTTGAATGCAATCATCACAGAGAAGTTTCTGAGAAGGCTTCTCTCCAGTTTTTATGGGACCATAATTCGTTTTCCACCACAGGCCTGAAAGCGCTCCAAATGTCCACTTGCAGACACTACGAAAAGCATGTTTCAGAACTACTCTATGAAAAGCAATGTGAAACTCTGCGAGTTGAACACAAACATCACAGAGAAGTTTCTGAGAATGCTTCTGTTTAGCTTTTCTGTGAAGATTCTCCCGTTTCCAACGAAATCTTCAAAGAGGTCCAAATATCCACTTGCAGATTCCACAGAAAGAGTGTTTGGAAACTGCTGTTTGTAAAGGAACCTTCATCTCTGTGAGTTGAATGCAATCATCACAAAGAAGTTTCTGACAATGCTTCTGTCTAGCTTTTACGGGAAGATAATTCCTTTTCCACCACAGGCCTCAAAGCCCTCCAAATGTCCACTTGCAGATTCTGGAAAAGAGTGTTTCAAAGCTACTCTCTCGAAAGGAAAGTTCAACTCTGTGAGTTGAATGCAAGCATCACAAAGAAGTTTCTGAGAATGCTACTGTCTAGCTTTTATATGAAGCTATTTCCTTTACTACCATAGGCCTCAAAGCTGTCCATATCTCCACTTGCAGATTCTACACAAAGAGAGTTTCCAAACTGCTCTGTCAAAGGGAATGTTCAACTCTGTGACTTGAATGCAATCATCACAAAGTAGTTTCTGAGAATGCTTCTGTTTAGTTCTGTGCGGTTTATCCTGTTTCCAACGAAATCCTCAGAGAGGCCCAAATATCCACTTGCACATTCTACAAATAGTGTGTTTCGAAACTGCTCCATCCAAAGGAATGTTCAGCTCTGTGAGTTAAACTCAGTCGTCACCAAGAGTTTTCTGTGAATGCTTCTGTTTTAGTTCTGTGCGGTTTATCCCGTTTCCAACGAAATCCTCAGAGAGGTCCAAATATCTACTTGCAGTTTCTACAGAAAGACCGTTTCAAACCTGAACTATCAAAGAAAGGTTCAACACTGTGAGTTGAATGCAAACATCACGAAGAAGGTTCTGAGAATGCTTCTGTTTAGTTCTGTGCGGTTTATCCCGTTTCCAATGAAATCCTCAGAGAGGACCAAATATCCACTTGCAGTTTCTACAAAAAGAGTGTTTCAAAGCTGAACTATCAAAGAAAGGTTCAGCACCGTGGGTTGAATGCAAACATCACGAAGAGGGTTCTGAGAATGCTTCTGTCTTCTTTCTATAGGAAGTTATTTCCTTTACTACGGTAGGCCTCAAAGAAGTGCAATTATCCCCTTGCAGTTTCTACAAAAAGAGTGTTTCAAACCTGAACTATCAAAGAAAGGTTCCACACTGTGAGTTGAATGCAGACATCACGAAGAAGGTTCTGAGAATGCTTCTGTTTAGTCAGCTGAAATTATCCCGTTTCCAACGAATTCCTCAGAGAGGTCCAAATATGCACTTGCAGATTCTGCAGAAAGTGTGTTTCTAAACTGCTACATCGCAAGGAATGTTCAGCTCTGTTGAGTTCCACTCAATCATCCCAAAGAATTTTCTGAGAAAGCTTCTGTCTAGATGTCATGTGAAGATATACCCGTTTCGAACGAAGGACACAGAGTGGTCCAAATATCCACTTGTAGATCCTGCAAAAAGAGTGTTTCAAACGTGAACTTTGAAAGGAAAGTTCAACTCTGGGATTTGAATGCAAACATCACAAAGAAGATTCTGAGACTGCTTCTGTATAGTTTTGATGTGAAGATGATTCCGTTTCCAACGAAATCTTCAAAGAGGTCTACATGTCCCCTTGCAGATGCCACAGAAAGAGAGTTTCAAAACTGCACTCTCAAAAGGAGTGTTCAACTCCGTGAGTTGAATGCAGTCATCACAGAGAAGCTTCTGAGAATGCTTCTATCTAGTATTTAGGTGAAGATATTTCCTTTTCCACCACAAACCACAAAGCCCTCCAAACGTCCACTTGCAGATTCTAGAAAAAGAGTGTTTCATAGCTGCTCTTTCCAAAGGAAAGTTCAACTCTGGGAGTTGAATACAAACATCACCAAAAAGTTCCTGAGAATGCATCTGTCTAGTTTTTCTATGAAGCTATTCCCTTTACTACCACAGGCCTCAAAGCGCTCCAAATCTCCACTTGCACATTCCACAACAAGAGTGTTTCCAAACTGCTCTATCAATAGGAATGTTCAACTCTGTGAGGTGAATGCAATCATCACAAAGCAGTTTCTGAGAATGCCTCCGTTTAGTTAGGTGCAGTTATCCCGTTTCCAACGAAATCCTCAGAGAGGTCCAAATATCCACTTGTAGATTCTACAAAAAGTGTGTCTCAAACCTGCTCCATCCAAAGGAATGGTCAGCTCTGTGATTTAAACTCAATCATCACAAAGTATTTTCTGAGAATGCTTCTGTCTAGATTTTATGCGAAGATATACCCGTTTCGAACGAAGGCCACAGAGTGGTCCAAATAGCCACTTGCAGATCCTACAGAAAGAGTGTTTCAAACCTGAACTATCAAAGGAAGGTTCAACTCTGGGATTTGAATGCAAACATCACCAAGAAGTTTCTGAGAATGCTTCTGTTTAGTTTTTATGTGAAGATATACCCGTTTCCAAAGACATCTTCGGAGAGGTCCACATATCCACTTGCAGATTCCACAAAAAGAGAGTTTCAACACTGCTCTATCCATAGGAGGGTTCAACTCTGTGAGTTGAATGCAATCATCACAGAGAAGTTTCTGAGAAGGCTTCTCTCCAGTTTTTATGTGACCATAATTCGTTTTCCACCACAGGCCTGAAAGCGCTCCAAATGTCCACTTGCAGACACTACGAAAAGCATGTTTCAGAACTACTCTATGAAAAGCAACGTGAAACTCTGGGAGTTGAACACAAACATCACAGAGAAGTTTCTGAGAATGCTTCTGTTTTAGTTCTGTGCGTTTTATCCCGTTTCCAACGAAATCCTCAGAGAGGCCCAAATATCCACTTGCAGATTCCACAGAAAGAGTGATTGGAAACTGCTGTTTGAAAAGGAACCTTCAACTCTGTGAGTTGAATGCAATCATCACAAAGAAGTTTCTGACAATGCTTCTGTTTTAGTTCTGTGCGGTTTATCCCGTTTCCAACGAAATCCTCAGAGAGGACCAAACATCCACTTGCAGTTTCTACAAAAAGAGTGTTTCAAAGCTGCACTATCAAAGAAAGGTTCAGCACTGTGAGTTGAATGCAAACATCACGAAGAGGGCTCTGAGAATTCTTCTGTTTAGTTCTGTGCGGTTTATCCCTTTTCCAACGAAATCCTCAGAGAGGACCAAATATCCACTTGCAGTTTCTACAAAAAGAGTGTTTCAAAGCTGAACTATCGAAGAAAGGCTCAGCACTGTGAGTTGAATGCAAACATCACGAAGAGGGTTCTGAGAATGCTTCTGTCTTCTTTTTATAGGAAGTTATTTCCTTTACTACGGTAGGCCTCAAAGAAGTGCAATTATCCCCTTGCAGTTTCTACAAAAAGAGTGTTTCAAACCTGAACTATCAAAGAAAGGTTCCACACTGTGAGTTGAATGCAGACATCACGAAGAAGGTTCTGAGAATGCTTCTGTTTAGTCAGCTGAAATTATCCCGTTTCCAACGAATTCCTCAGAGAGGTCCAAATATGCACTTGCAGATTCTGCAGAAAGTGTGTTTCTAAACTGCTACATCGCAAGGAATGTTCAGCTCTGTGAGTTCAACTCAATCATCCCAAAGAATTTTCTGAGAAAGCTTCTGTCTAGATGTCGTGTGAAGATATACCCGTTTCGAACGAAGGACACAGAGTGGTCCAAATATCCACTTGTAGATCCTGCAAAAAGAGTGTTTCAAACGTGAACTTTGAAAGGAAAGTTCAACTCTGGGATTTGAATGCAAACATCACAAAGAAGATTCTGAGACTGCTTCTGTATAGTTTTTATGTGAAGATGATTCCGTTTCCAACGAAATCTTCAAAGAGGTCTACATGTCCCCTTGCAGATGCCACAGAAAGGGAGTTTCAAAACTGCGCTCTCAAAAGGAGTGTTCAACTCCGTGAGTTGAATGCAGTCATCACAGAGAAGCTTCTGAGAAAGCTTCTATCTAGTATTTAGGTGAAGATATTTCCTTTTCCACCACAAACCACAAAGCCCTCCAAACGTCCACTTGCAGATTCTAGAAAAAGAGTGTTTCATAGCTGCTCTTTCCAAAGGAAAGTTCAACTCTGGGAGTTGAATACAAACATCACCAAAAAGTTCCTGAGAATGCATCTGTCTAGTTTTTCTATGAAGCTATTCCCTTTACTACCATAGGCCTCAAAGCGCTCCAAATCTCCACTTGCACATTCCACAACAAGAGTGTTTCCAAACTGCTCTATCAATAGGAATGTTCAACTCTGTGAGGTGAATGCAATCATCACAAAGCAGTTTCTGAGAATGCTTCCGTTTAGTTAGGTGCAGTTATCCCGTTTCCAACGAAATCCTCAGAGAGGTCCAAATATCCACTTGTAGATTCTACAAAAAGTGTGTCTCAAACCTGCTCCATCCAAAGGAATGGTCAGCTCTGTGATTTAAACTCAATCATCACAAAGTATTTTCTGAGAATGCTTCTGTCTAGATTTTATGCGAAGATATACCCGTTTCGAACGAAGGCCACAGAGTGGTCCAAATAGCCACTTGCAGATCCTACAGAAAGAGTGTTTCAAACCTGAACTATCAAAGGAAGGTTCAACTCTGGGATTTGAATGCAAACATCACCAAGAAGTTTCTGAGAATGCTTCTGTTTAGTTTTTATGTGAAGATATTCCCGTTTCCAAAGACATCTTCGGAGAGGTCCACATATCCACTTGCAGATTCCACAAAAAGAGAGTTTCAACACTGCTCTATCCATGGGAGGGTTCAACTCTGTGAGTTGAATGCAATCATCACAGAGAAGTTTCTGAGAAGGCTTCTCTCCAGTTTTTATGTGACCATAATTCGTTTTCCACCACAGGCCTGAAAGCGCTCCAAATGTCCACTTGCAGACACTACGAAAAGCATGTTTCAGAACTACTCTATGAAAAGCAACGTGAAACTCTGGGAGTTGAACACAAACATCACAGAGAAGTTTCTGAGAATGCTTCTGTTTTAGTTCTGTGCGTTTTATCCCGTTTCCAACGAAATCCTCAGAGAGGCCCAAATATCCACTTGCAGATTCCACAGAAAGAGTGATTGGAAACTGCTGTTTGAAAAGGAACCTTCAACTCTGTGAGTTGAATGCAATCATCACAAAGAAGTTTCTGACAATGCTTCTGTTTTAGTTCTGTGCGGTTTATCCCGTTTCCAACGAAATCCTCAGAGAGGACCAAACATCCACTTGCAGTTTCTACAAAAAGAGTGTTTCAAAGCTGCACTATCAAAGAAAGGTTCAGCACTGTGAGTTGAATGCAAACATCACGAAGAGGGCTCTGAGAATTCTTCTGTTTAGTTCTGTGCAGTTTATCCCGTTTCCAACGAAATCCTCAGAGAGGACCAAATATCCACTTGCAGTTTCTACAAGAAGAGTGTTTCAAAGCTGAACTATCAAAGAAAGGTTCAGCACTGTGAGTTGAATGCAAACATCACGAAGAGGGTTCTGAGAATGCTTCTGTCTTCTTTCTATAGGAAGTTATTTCCTTTACTACGGTAGGCCTCAAAGAAGTGCAATTATCCCCTTGCAGTTTCTACAAAAAGAGTGTTTCAAACCTGAACTATCAAAGAAAGGTTCCACACTGTGAGTTGAATGCAGACATCACGAAGAAGGTTCTGAGAATGCTTCTGTTTAGTCAGCTGAAATTATCCCGTTTCCAAAGAATTCCTCAGAGAGGTCCAAATATGAACTTGCAGATTCTGCAGAAAGTGTGTTTCTAAACTGCTACATCGCAAGGAATGTTCAGCTCTGTGAGTTCCACTCAATCATCCCAAAGAATTTTCTGAGAAAGCTTCTGTCTAGATGTCATGTGAAGACATACCCGTTTCGAACGAAGGACACAGAGTGGTCCAAATATCCACTTGTAGATCCTGCAAAAAGAGTGTTTCAAACGTGAACTTTGAAACGAAAGTTCAACTCTGGGATTTGAATGCAAACATCACAAAGAAGATTCTGAGACTGCTTCTGTATAGTTTTTATGTGAAGATGATTCCGTTTCCAACGAAATCTTCAAAGAGGTCTACATGTCCCCTTGCAGATGCCACAGAAAGAGAGTTTCAAAACTGCGCTCTCAAAAGGAGTGTTCAACTCCGTGAGTTGAATGCAGTCATCGCAGAGAAGCTTCTGAGAATGCTTCTATCTAGTATTTAGGTGAAGATATTTCCTTTTCCACCACAAACCACAAAGCCCTCCAAACGTCCACTTGCAGATTCTAGAAAAAGAGTGTTTCATAGCTGCTCTTTCCAAAGGAAAGTTCAACTCTGGGAGTTGAATACAAACATCACCAAAAAGTTCCTGAGAATGCATCTGTCTAGTTTTTCTATGAAGCTATTCCCTTTACTACCATAGGCCTCAAAGCGCTCCAAATCTCCACTTGCACATTCCACAACAAGAGTGTTTCCAAACTGCTCTATCAATAGGAATGTTCAACTCTGTGAGGTGAATGCAATCATCACAAAGCAGTTTCTGAGAATGCTTCCGTTTAGTTAGGTGCAGTTATCCCGTTTCCAACGAAATCCTCAGAGAGGTCCAAATATCCACTTGTAGATTCTACAAAAAGTGTGTCTCAAACCTGCTCCATCCAAAGGAATGGTCAGCTCTGTGATTTAAACTCAATCATCACAAAGTATTTTCTGAGAATGCTTCTGTCTAGATTTTATGCGAAGATATACCCGTTTCGAACGAAGGCCACAGAGTGGTCCAAATAGCCACTTGCAGATCCTACAGAAAGAGTGTTTCAAACCTGAACTATCAAAGGAAGGTTCAACTCTGGGATTTGAATGCAAACATCACCAAGAAGTTTCTGAGAATGCTTCTGTTTAGTTTTTATGTGAAGATATTCCCGTTTCCAAAGACATCTTCGGAGAGGTCCACATATCCACTTGCAGGTTCCACAAAAAGAGAGTTTCAACACTGCTCTATCCATAGGAGGGTTCAACTCTGTGAGTTGAATGCAATCATCACAGAGAAGTTTCTGAGAAGGCTTCTCTCCAGTTTTTATGTGACCATAATTCGTTTTCCACCACAGGCCTGAAAGCGCTCCAAATGTCCACTTGCAGACACTACGAAAAGCATGTTTCAGAACTACTCTATGAAAAGCAACGTGAAACTCTGGGAGTTGAACACAAACATCACAGAGAAGTTTCTGAGAATGCTTCTGTTTTAGTTCTGTGCGTTTTATCCCGTTTCCAACGAAATCCTCAGAGAGGCCCAAATATCCACTTGCAGATTCCACAGAAAGAGTGATTGGAAACTGCTGTTTGAAAAGGAACCTTCAACTCTGTGAGTTGAATGCAATCATCACAAAGAAGTTTCTGACAATGCTTCTGTTTTAGTTCTGTGCGGTTTATCCCGTTTCCAACGAAATCCTCAGAGAGGACCAAACATCCACTTGCAGTTTCTACAAAAAGAGTGTTTCAAAGCTGCACTATCAAAGAAAGGTTCAGCACTGTGAGTTGAATGCAAACATCACGAAGAGGGCTCTGAGAATTCTTCTGTTTAGTTCTGTGCGGTTTATCCCGTTTCCAACGAAATCCTCAGAGAGGACCAAATATCCACTTGCAGTTTCTACAAGAAGAGTGTTTCAAAGCTGAACTATCAAAGAAAGGTTCAGCACTGTGAGTTGAATGCAAACATCACGAAGAGGGTTCTGAGAATGCTTCTGTCTTCTTTCTATAGGAAGTTATTTCCTTTACTACGGTAGGCCTCAAAGAAGTGCAATTATCCCCTTGCAGTTTCTACAAAAAGAGTGTTTCAAACCTGAACTATCAAAGAAAGGTTCCACACTGTGAGTTGAATGCAGACATCACGAAGAAGGTTCTGAGAATGCTTCTGTTTAGTCAGCTGAAATTATCCCGTTTCCAACGAATTCCTCACAGAGGTCCAAATATGCACTTGCAGATTCTGCAGAAAGTGTGTTTCTAAACTGCTACATCGCAAGGAATGTTCAGCTCTGTGAGTTCCACTCAATCATCCCAAAGAATTTTCTGAGAAAGCTTCTGTCTAGATGTCGTGTGAAGATATACCCGTTTCGAACGAAGGACACAGAGTGGTCCAAATATCCACTTGTAGATCCTGCAAAAAGAGTGTTTCAAACGTGAACTTTGAAAGGAAAGTTCAACTCTGGGATTTGAATGCAAACATCACAAAGAAGATTCTGAGACTGCTTCTGTATAGTTTTGATGTGAAGATGATTCCGTTTCCAACGAAATCTTCAAAGAGGTCCACATGTCCCCTTGCGGATGCCACAGAAAGAGAGTTTCAAAACTGCGCTCTCAAAAGGAGTGTTCAACTCCCGTGAGTTGAATGCAGTCATCACAGAGAAGCTTCTGAGAATGCTTCTATCTAGTATTTAGGTGAAGATATTTCCTTTTCCACCACAAACCACAAAGCCCTCCAAACGTCCACTTGCAGATTCTAGAAAAAGAGTGTTTCATAGCTGCTCTTTCCAAAGGAAAGTTCAACTCTGGGAGTTGAATACAAACATCACCAAAAAGTTCCTGAGAATGCATCTGTCTAGTTTTTCTATGAAGGTATTCCCTTTACTACCATAGGCCTCAAAGCGCTCCAAATCTCCACTTGCACATTCCACAACAAGAGTGTTTCCAAACTGCTCTATCAATAGGAATGTTCAACTCTGTGAGGTGAATGCAATCATCACAAAGCAGTTTCTGAGAATGCTTCCGTTTAGTTAGGTGCAGTTATCCCGTTTCCAACGAAATCCTCAGAGAGGTCCAAATATCCACTTGTAGATTCTACAAAAAGTGTGTCTCAAACCTGCTCCATCCAAAGGAATGGTCAGCTCTGTGATTTAAACTCAATCATCACAAAGTATTTTCTGAGAATGCTTCTGTCTAGATTTTATGCGAAGATATACCCGTTTCGAACGAAGGCCACAGAGTGGTCCAAATAGCCACTTGCAGATCCTACAGAAAGAGTGTTTCAAACCTGAACTATCAAAGGAAGGTTCAACTCTGGGATTTGAATGCAAACATCACCAAGAAGTTTCTGAGAATGCTTCTGTTTAGTTTTTATGTGAAGATATTCCCGTTTCCAAAGACATCTTCGGAGAGGTCCACATATCCACTTGCAGGTTCCACAAAAAGAGAGTTTCAACACTGCTCTATCCATAGGAGGGTTCAACTCTGTGAGTTGAATGCAATCATCACAGAGAAGTTTCTGAGAAGGCTTCTCTCCAGTTTTTATGTGACCATAATTCGTTTTCCACCACAGGCCTGAAAGCGCTCCAAATGTCCACTTGTAGACACTACGAAAAGCATGTTTCAGAACTACTCTATGAAAAGCAATGTGAAACTCTGGGAGTTGAACACAAACATCACAGAGAAGTTTCTGAGAATGCTTCTGTTTTAGTTCTGTGCGTTTTATCCCGTTTCCAACGAAATCCTCAGAGAGGCCCAAATATCCACTTGCAGATTCCACAGAAAGAGTGATTGGAAACTGCTGTTTGAAAAGGAACCTTCAACTCTGTGAGTTGAATGCAATCATCACAAAGAAGTTTCTGACAATGCTTCTGTTTTAGTTCTGTGCGGTTTATCCCGTTTCCAACGAAATCCTCAGAGAGGACCAAACATCCACTTGCAGTTTCTACAAAAAGAGTGTTTCAAAGCTGCACTATCAAAGAAAGGTTCAGCACTGTGAGTTGAATGCAAACATCACGAAGAGGGCTCTGAGAATGCTTCTGTTTAGTTCTGTGCGGTTTATCCCGTTTCCAACGAAATCCTCAGAGAGGACCAAATATCCACTTGCAGTTTCTACAAGAAGAGTGTTTCAAAGCTGAACTATCAAAGAAAGGTTCAGCACTGTGAGTTGAATGCAAACATCACGAAGAGGGTTCTGAGAATGCTTCTGTCTTCTTTCTATAGGAAGTTATTTCCTTTACTACGGTAGGCCTCAAAGAAGTGCAATTATCCCCTTGCAGTTTCTACAAAAAGAGTGTTTCAAACCTGAACTATCAAAGAAAGGTTCCACACTGTGAGTTGAATGCAGACATCACGAAGAAGGTTCTGAGAATGCTTCTGTTTAGTCAGCTGAAATTATCCCGTTTCCAACGAATTCCTCAGAGAGGTCCAAATATGCACTTGCAGATTCTGCAGAAAGTGTGTTTCTAAACTGCTACATCGCAAGGAATGTTCAGCTCTGTGAGTTCCACTCAATCATCCCAAAGAATTTTCTGAGAAAGCTTCTGTCTAGATGTCGTGTGAAGATATACCCGTTTCGAACGAAGGACACAGAGTGGTCCAAATATCCACTTGTAGATCCTGCAAAAAGAGTGTTTCAAACGTGAACTTTGAAAGGAAAGTTCAACTCTGGGATTTGAATGCAAACATCACAAAGAAGATTCTGAGACTGCTTCTGTATAGTTTTTATGTGAAGATGATTCCGTTTCCAACGAAATCTTCAAAGAGGTCTACATGTCCCCTTGCAGATGCCACAGAAAGAGAGTTTCAAAACTGCGCTCTCAAAAGGAGTGTTCAACTCCGTGAGTTGAATGCAGTCATCACAGAGAAGCTTCTGAGAATGCTTCTATCTAGTATTTAGGTGAAGATATTTCCTTTTCCACCACAAACCACAAAGCCCTCCAAACGTCCACTTGCAGATTCTAGAAAAAGAGTGTTTCATAGCTGCTCTTTCCAAAGGAAAGTTCAACTCTGGGAGTTGAATACAAACATCACCAAAAAGTTCCTGAGAATGCATCTGTCTAGTTTTTCTATGAAGCTATTCCCTTTACTACCATAGGCCTCAAAGCGCTCCAAATCTCCACTTGCACATTCCACAACAAGAGTGTTTCCAAACTGCTCTATCAATAGGAATGTTCAACTCTGTGAGGTGAATGCAATCATCACAAAGCAGTTTCTGAGAATGCTTCCGTTTAGTTAGGTGCAGTTATCCCGTTTCCAACGAAATCCTCAGAGAGGTCCAAATATCCACTTGTAGATTCTACAAAAAGTGTGTCTCAAACCTGCTCCATCCAAAGGAATGTTCAGCTCTGTGAGTTCAACTCAATCATCACAAAGTATTTTCTGAGAATGCTTCTGTCTAGATTTTATGCGAAGATATACCCGTTTCGAACGAAGGCCACAGAGTGGTCCAAATAGCCACTTGCAGATCCTACAAAAAGAGTGTTTCAAACCTGAACTATCAAAGGAAGGTTCACCTCTGGGATTTGAATGCAAACATCACCAAGAAGTTTCTGAGAATGCTTCTGTTTAGTTTTTATGTGAAGATATTCCCGTTTCCAAAGACATCTTCGGAGAGCTCCACATATCCACTTGCAGATTCCACAAAAAGAGAGTTTCAACACTGCTCTATCCATAGGAGGGTTCAACTCTGTGAGTTGAATGCAATCATCACAGAGAAGTTTCTGAGAAGGCTTCTCTCCAGTTTTTATGTGACC
The DNA here is from genome assembly GCF_000001405.40 of Homo sapiens. Lineage (NCBI taxonomy): Eukaryota > Metazoa > Chordata > Mammalia > Primates > Hominidae > Homo > Homo sapiens. The sequence continues at coordinate 24,785,108 of NC_000017.11, read as the reverse complement.
ATAATTCGTTTTCCACCACAGGCCTGAAAGCGCTCCAAATGTCCACTTGCAGACACTACGAAAAGCATGTTTCAGAACTACTCTATGAAAAGCAACGTGAAACTCTGGGAGTTGAACACAAACATCACAGAGAAGTTTCTGAGAATGCTTCTGTTTAGCTTTTCTGTGAAGATTCTCCCGTTTCCAACGAAATCTTCAAAGAGGTCGAAATATCCACTTGCAGATTCCACAGAAAGAGTGATTGGAAACTGCTGTTTGAAAAGGAACCTTCAACTCTGTGAGTTGAATGCAATCATCACAAAGAAGTTTCTGACAATGCTTCTATCTAGCTTTTACGGGAAGATGATTCCTTTTCCTCCACAGGCCTCAAAGCTCCCCAAATGTCCACTTGCACATTCTGGAAAAAGAGTGTTTCAAAGCTTCTCTCTCGAAAGGAAAGTTCAACTCTGTGAGTTGAATGCAAGCATCACAAAGAAGTTTCTGAGAATGCTACTGTCTAGCTTTTATATGAAGCTATTTCCTTTACTACCATAGGCCTCAAAGCGGTCCATATCTCCACTTGCAGATTCTACACAAAGAGAGTTTCCAAACTGCTCTGTCAAAGGGAATGTTCAACTCTGTGACTTGAATGCAATCATCACAAAGTAGTTTCTGAGAATGCTTCTGTTTAGTTCTGTGCGGTTTATCCCGTTTCCAACGAAATCCTCAGAGAGGCCTAAATATCCACTTGCACATTCTACAAATAGTGTGTTTCAAAACTGCTCCATCCAAAGGAATGTTCAGCTCTGTGAGTTAAACTCAGTCGTCACCAAGAGTTTTCTGTGAATGCTTCTGTTTTAGTTCTGTGCGGGTTATCCCGTTTCCAACGAAATCCTCAGAGAGGTCCAAATATCTACTTGCAGTTTCTACAGAAAGACCGTTTCAAACCTGAACTATCAAAGAAAGGTTCAACACTGTGAGTTGAATGCAAACATCACGAAGAAGGTTCTCAGAATGCTTCTGTTTAGTTCTGTGCAGTTTATCCCGTTTCCAACGAAATGCTCAGAGAGGACCAAATATCCACTTGCAGTTTCTACAAAAAGAGTGTTTCAAAGCTGAACTATCAAAGAAAGGTTCAGCACTGTGAGTTGAATGCAAACATCACGAAGAGGGTTCTGAGAATGCTTCTGTCTTCTTTTTATAGGAAGTTATTTCCTTTACTACGGTACTCCTCAAAGAGTGCAATTATCCCCTTGCAGTTTCTACAGAAAGAGTGTTTCAAACCTGAACTATCAAAGAAAGGTTCCACACTGTGAGTTGAATGCAGACATCACGAAGAAGGTTCTGAGAATGCTTCTGTTTAGTCAGCTGAAATTATCCCGTTTCCAACGAATTCCTCACAGAGGTCCAAATATGCACTTGCAGATTCTGCAGAAAGTGTGTTTCTAAACTGCTACATCGCAAGGAATGCTCAGCTCTGTGAGTTCAACTCAATCATCCCAAAGAATTTTCTGAGAAAGCTTCTGTCTAGATGTCATGTGAAGATATACCCGTTTCGAACGAAGGACACAGAGTGGTCCAAATATCCACTTGTAGATCCTGCAAAAAGAGTGTTTCAAACGTGAACTTTGAAAGGAAAGTTCAACTCGGGGATTTGAATGCAAACATCACAAAGAAGATTCTGAGACTGCTTCTGTATAGTTTTTATGTGAAGATGATTCCGTTTCCAACGAAATCTTCAAAGAGGTCTACATGTCCCCTTGCAGATGCCACAGAAAGAGAGTTTCAAAACTGCGCTCTCAAAAGGAGTGTTCAACTCCGTGAGTTGAATGCAGTCATCACAGAGAAGCTTCTGAGGATGCTTCTATCTAGTATTTAGGTGAAGATATTTCCTTTTCCACCACAAACCACAAAGCCCTCCAAACGTCCACTTGCAGATTCTAGAAAAACAGTGTTTCATAGCTGCTCTTTCCAAAGGAAAGTTCAACTCTGGGAGTTGAATACAAACATCACCAAAAAGTTCCTGAGAATGCATCTGTCTAGTTTTTCTATGAAGCTATTCCCTTTACTACCATAGGCCTCAAAGCGCTCCAAATCTCCACTTGCACATTCCACAACAAGAGTGTTTCCAAACTGCTCTATCAATAGGAATGTTCAACTCTGTGAGGTGAATGCAATCATCACAAAGCAGTTTCTGAGAATGCTTCCGTTTAGTTAGGTGCAGTTATCCCGTTTCCAACGAAATCCTCAGAGAGGTCCAAATATCCACTTGTAGATTCTACAAAAGGTGTGTCTCAAACCTGCTCCATCCAAAGGAATGTTCAGCTCTGTGAGTTAAACTCAATCATCACAAAGTATTTTCTGAGAATGCTTCTGTCTAGATTTTATGCGAAGATGTACCCGTTTCGAACGAAGGCCACAGAGTGGTCCAAATATCCACTTGCAGATCCTACAAAAAGAGTGTTTCAAACCTGAACTCTCAAAAGAAGGTTCAACTTTGGGATTTGAATGCAAACATCACCAAGAAGTTTCTGAGAATGCTTCTGTTTAGTTTTTATGTGAAGATAGTCCCGTTTCCAAAGACATCTTCGGAGAGGTCCACATATACACTTGCAGATTCCACAAAAAGAGAGTTTCAACACTGCTCTATCCATAGGAGGGTTCAACTCTGTGAGTTGAATGCAATCATCACAGAGAAGTTTCTGAGAAGGCTTCTCTCCAGTTTTTATGTGACCATAATTCGTTTTCCACCACAGGCCTGAAAGCGCTCCAAATGTCCCCTTGCAGGCACTACGAAAAGCATGTTTCAGAACTACTCTATGAGAAGCAATGTGACACTCTGGGAGTTGAACACAAACATCACAGAGAAGTTTCTGAGAATGCTTCTGTTTAGCTTTTCTGTGAAGATTCTCCCGTTTCCAACGAAATCTTCAAAGAGGTCCAAATATCCACTTGCAGATTCCACAGAAAGAGTGTTTGGAAACTGCTGTTTGTAAAGGAACCTTCATCTCTGTGAGTTGAATGCAATCATCACAAAGAAGTTTCTGACAATGCTTCTATCTAGCTTTTACGGGAAGATAATTCCTTTTCCACCACAGGCCTCAAAGCCCTCCAAATGTCCACTTGCAGATTCTGGAAAAAGAGTGTTTCAAAGCTTCTCTCTCGAAAGGAAAGTTCAACTCTGTGAGTTGAATGCAAGCATCACAAAGAAGTTTGCTGAGAATGCTACTGTCTAGCTTTTATATGAAGCTATTTCCTTTACTACCATAGGCCTCAAAGCGGTCCATATCTCCACTTGCAGATTCTACACAAAGAGAGTTTCCAAACTGCTCTGTCAAAGGGAATGTTCAACTCTGTGACTTGAATGCAATCATCACAAAGTAGTTTCTGAGAATGCTTCTGTTTTAGTTCTGTGCGGTTTATCCCGTTTCCAACGAAATCCTCAGAGAGGCCCAAATATCCACTTGCAGATTCTACAAATAGTGTGTTTCGAAACTGCTCCATCCAAAGGAATGTTCAGCTCTGTGAGTTAAACTCAGTCGTCACCAAGAGTTTTCTGTGAATGCTTCTGTTTTAGTTCTGTGCGGGTTATCCCGTTTCCAACGAAATCCTCAGAGAGGTCCAAATATCTACTTGCAGTTTCTACAGAAAGACCGTTTCAAACCTGAACTATCAAAGAAAGGTTCAACACTGTGAGTTGAATGCAAACATCACGAAGAAGGTTCCTGAGAATGCTTCTGTTTAGTTCTGTGCGGTTTATCCCGTTTCCAACGAAATCCTCAGAGAGGACCAAATATCCACTTGCAGTTTCTACAAGAAGAGTGTTTCAAAGCTGAACTATCAAAGAAAGGTTCAGCACTGTGAGTTGAATGCAAACATCACGAAGAGGGTTCTGAGAATGCTTCTGTCTTCTTTCTATAGGAAGTTATTTCCTTTACTACGGTAGGCCTCAAAGAAGTGCAATTATCCCCTTGCAGTTTCTACAAAAAGAGTGTTTCAAACCTGAACTATCAAAGAAAGGTTCCACACTGTGAGTTGAATGCAGACATCACGAAGAAGGTTCTGAGAATGCTTCTGTTTAGTCAGCTGAAATTATCCCGTTTCCAACGAATTCCTCAGAGAGGTCCAAATATGCACTTGCAGATTCTGCAGAAAGTGTGTTTCTAAACTGCTACATCGCAAGGAATGTTCAGCTCTGTGAGTTCCACTCAATCATCCCAAAGAATTTTCTGAGAAAGCTTCTGTCTAGATGTCATGTGAAGATATACCCGTTTCGAACGAAGGACACAGAGTGGTCCAAATATCCACTTGTAGATCCTGCAAAAAGAGTGTTTCAAACGTGAACTTTGAAAGGCAAGTTCAACTCTGGGATTTGAATGCAAACATCACAAAGAAGATTCTGAGACTGCTTCTGTATAGTTTTTATGTGAAGATGATTCCGTTTCCAACGAAATCTTCAAAGAGGTCTACATGTCCCCTTGCAGATGCCACAGAAAGAGAGTTTCAAAACTGCGCTCTCAAAAGGAGTGTTCAACTCCGTGAGTTGAATGCAGTCATCACAGAGAAGCTTCTGAGAATGCTTCTATCTAGTATTTAGGTGAAGATATTTCCTTTTCCACCACAAACCACAAAGCCCTCCAAACGTCCACTTGAAGATTCTAGAAAAAGAGTGTTTCATAGCTGCTCTTTCCAAAGGAAAGTTCAACTCTGGGAGTTGAATACAAACATCACCAAAAAGTTCCTGAGAATGCATCTGTCTAGTTTTTCTATGAAGCTATTCCCTTTACTACCATAGGCCTCAAAGCGCTCCAAATCTCCACTTGCACATTCCACAACAAGAGTGTTTCCAAACTGCTCTATCAATAGGAATGTTCAACTCTGTGAGGTGAATGCAATCATCACAAAGCAGTTTCTGAGAATGCTTCCGTTTAGTTAGGTGCAGTTATCCCGTTTCCAACGAAATCCTCAGAGAGGTCCAAATATCCACTTGTAGATTCTACAAAAAGTGTGTCTCAAACCTGCTCCATCCAAAGGAATGTTCAGCTCTGTGAGTTCAACTCAATCATCACAAAGTATTTTCTGAGAATGCTTCTGTCTAGATTTTATGCGAAGATATACCCGTTTCGAACGAAGGCCACAGAGTGGTCCAAATAGCCACTTGCAGATCCTACAAAAAGAGTGTTTCAAACCTGAACTATCAAAGGAAGGTTCAACTCTGGGATTTGAATGCAAACATCACCAAGAAGTTTCTGAGAATGCTTCTGTTTAGTTTTTATGTGAAGATATTCCCGTTTCCAAAGACATCTTCGGAGAGGTCCACATATCCACTTGCAGATTCCACAAAAAGAGAGTTTCAACACTGCTCTGTCCATAGGAGGGTTCAACTCTGTGAGTTGAATGCAATCATCACAGAGAAGTTTCTGAGAAGGCTTCTCTCCAGTTTTTATGTGACCATAATTCGTTTTCCACCACAGGCCTGAAAGCTCTCCAAATGTCCACTTGCAGACACTACGAAAAGCATGTTTCAGAACTACTCTATGAAAAGCAATGTGAAACTCTGGGAGTTGAACACAAACATCACAGAGAAGTTTCTGAGAATGCTTCTGTTTAGCTTTTCTGTGAAGATTCTCCCGTTTCCAACGAAATCTTCAAAGCGGTCCAAATATCCACCTGCAGATTCCACAGAAAGAGTGATTGGAAACTGCTGTTTGAAAAGGAACCTTCAACTCTGTGAGTTGAATGCAATCATCACAAAGAAGTTTCTGACAATGCTTCTATCTAGCTTTTACGGGAAGATAATTCCTTTTCCACCACAGGCCTCAAAGCCCTCCAAATGTCCACTTGCAGATTCTGGAAAAAGAGTGTTTCAAAGCTTCTCTCTCGAAAGGAAAGTTCAACTCTGTGAGTTGAATGCAAGCATCACAAAGAAGTTTCTGAGAATGCTACTGTCTAGCTTTTATATGAAGCTATTTCCTTTACTACCATAGGCCTCAACGCGGTCCATATCTCCACTTGCAGATTCTACACAAAGAGAGTTTCCAAACTGCTCTCTCAAAGGGAATGTTCAACTCTGTGACTTGAATGCAATCATCACAAAGTAGTTTCTGAGAATGCTTCTGTTTAGTTCTGTGCGGTTTATCCCGTTTCCAACGAAATCCTCAGAGAGGCCCAAATATCCACTTGCACATTCTACAAATAGTGTGTTTCAAAACTGCTCCATCCAAAGGAATGTTCAGCTCTGTGAGTTAAACTCAGTCGTCACCAAGAGTTTTCTGTGAATGCTTCTGTTTTAGTTCTGTGCGGGTTATCCCGTTTCCAACGAAATCCTCAGAGAGGTCCAAATATCTACTTGCAGTTTCTACAGAAAGACCGTTTCAAACCTGAACTATCAAAGAAAGGTTCAACACTGTGAGTTGAATGCAAACATCACGAAGAAGGTTCCTGAGAATGCTTCTGTTTAGTTCTGTGCGGTTTTTCCCGTTTCCAACGAAATCCTCAGAGAGGACCAAATATCCACTTGCAGTTTCTACAAGAAGAGTGTTTCAAAGCTGAACTATCAAAGAAAGGTTCAGCACTGTGAGTTGAATGCAAACATCACGACGAGGGTTCTGAGAATGCTTCTGTCTTCTTTCTATAGGAAGTTATTTCCTTTACTACGGTAGGCCTCAAAGAAGTGCAATTATCCCCTTGCAGTTTCTACAAAAAGAGTGTTTCAAACCTGAACTATCAAAGAAAGGTTCCACACTGTGAGTTGAATGCAGACATCACGAAGAAGGTTCTGAGAATGCTTCTGTTTAGTCAGCTGAAATTATCCCGTTTCCAACGAATTCCTCAGAGAGGTCCAAATATGCACTTGCAGATTCTGCAGAAAGTGTGTTTCTAAACTGCTACATCGCAAGGAATGTTCAGCTCTGTGAGTTCAACTCAATCATCCCAAAGAATTTTCTGAGAAAGCTTCTGTCTAGATGTCATGTGAAGATATACCCGTTTCGAACGAAGGACACAGAGTGGTCCAAATATCCACTTGTAGATCCTGCAAAAAGAGTGTTTCAAACGTGAACTTTGAAAGGAAAGTTCAACTCTGTGATTTGAATGCAAACATCACAAAGAAGATTCTGAGACTGCTTCCGTGTAATTTTTATGTGAAGATGATTCTGTTTCCAACGAAACCTTCAAAGAGGTCTACATGTCCCCTTGCAGATTCCACAGAAAGAGAGTTTCAAAACTGCGCTCTCAAAAGGAGTGTTCAACTCTGTGAGTTGAATGCAGTCATCACAGAAAAGTTTCTGAGAATGCTTCTGTCTAGTATTTAGGTGAAGATATTTCCTTTTCCACCACAAACCACAAAGCCCTCCAAACGTCCGCTTGCAGATTCTAGAAAAAGAGTGTTTCATAGCTGCTCTTTCCAAAGGAAAGTTCAACTGTGGGAGTTGAATACAAACATCACCAAAAAGTTCCTGAGAATGCATCTGTCTAGTTTTTCTATGAAGCTATTCCCTTTACTACCATAGGCCTCAAAGCGCTCCAAATCTCCACTTGCACATTCCACAACAAGAGTGTTTCCAAACTGCTCTATCAATAGGAATGTTCAACTCTGTGAGGTGAATGCAATCATCACAAAGCAGTTTCTGAGAATGCTTCCGTTTAGTTAAGTGCAGTTATCCCGTTTCCAACGAAATCCTCAGAGAGGTCCAAATATCCACTTGTAGATTCTACAAAAAGTGTGTCTCAAACCTGCTCCATCCAAAGGAATGTTCAGCTCTGTGAGTTCAACTCAATCATCACAAAGTATTTTCTGAGAATGCTTCTGTCTAGATTTTATGCGAAGATATACCCGTTTCGAACGAAGGCCACAGAGTGGTCCAAATAGCCAATTGCAGATCCTACAAAAAGAGTGTTTCAAACCTGAACTATCAAAGGAAGGTTCAACTCTGGGATTTGAATGCAAACATCACCAAGAAGTTTCTGAGAATGCTTCTGTTTAGTTTTTATGTGAAGATAGTCCCGTTTCCAAACACATCTTCGGAGAGGTCCACATATCCACTTGCAGATTCCACAAAAAGAGAGTTTCAACACTGCTCTATCCATAGGAGGGTTCAACTCTGTGAGTTGAATGCAATCATCACAGAGAAGTTTCTGAGAAGGCTTCTGTCCAGTTTTTATGTGACCATAATTCGTTTTCCACCACAGGCCTGAAAGCGCTCCAAATGTCCACTTGCAGACACTACGAAAAGCATGTTTCAGAACTACTCTATGAGAAGCAATGTGACACTCTGGGAGTTGAACACAAACATCACAGAGAAGTTTCTGAGAATGCTTCTGTTTAGCTTTTCTGTGAAGGTTATCCCGTTTCCAACGAAATCTTCAAAGAGGTCCAAACATCCACTTGCAGATTCCACAGAAAGAGTGTTTGGAAACTGCTGTTTGAAAAGGAACCTTCAACTCTGTGAGTTGAATGCAATCATCACAAAGAAGTTTCTGACAATGCTTCTATCCAGCTTTTACGGGAAGATAATTCCTTTTCCACCACAGGCCTCAAAGCCCTCCAAATGTCCACTTGCAGATTCTGGAAAAAGAGTGTTTCAAAGCTTCTCTCTCGAAAGGAAAGTTCAACTCTGTGAGTTGAATGCAAGCATCACAAAGAAGTTTCTGAGAATGCTACTGTCTAGCTTTTATATGAAGCTATTTCCTTTACTACCATAGTCCTCAAAGCATTCCATATCTCCACTTGCAGATTCTACACAAAGAGAGTTTCCTAACTGCTCTGTCAAAGGGAATGTTCAGCTCTGTGACTTGAATGCAATCATCACAAAGTAGTTTCTCAGAATGCTTTTGTTTTAGTTCTGTGCGGTTTATCCCATTTCCAACGAAATCCTTAGAGAGGCCCAAATATCCACTTGCAGATTCTACAAAGAGTGTGTTTCGAAACTGCTCCATCCAAAGGAATGTTCAGCTCTGTGAGTTAAACTCAGTCGTCACCAAGAGTTTTCTGTGAATGCTTCTGTTTAGTTCTGTGCGGTTTATCACGTTTCCAACGAAATCCTCAGAGAGGACCAAATATCCACTTGCAGTTTCTACAAAAAGAGTGTTTCAAAGCTGAACTATCAAAGAAAAGGTTCAGCACTGTGTGTTGAATGCAAACATCACGAAGAGGGTTCTGAGAATGCTTCTATCTTCTTTGTATAGGAAGTTATTTCCTTTACTACGGTAGGCCTCAAAGAAGTGCAATTATCCCCTTGCAGTTTCTACAAAAAGAGTGTTTCAAACCTGAACTATCAAAGAAAGGTGCCACACTGTGAGTTGAATGCAGACATCACGAAGAAGATTCTGAGAATGCTTCTGTTTAGTCAGCTGAAATTATCCCGTTTCCAACGAATTCCTCAGAGAGGTCCAAATATGCACTTGCAGATTCTGCAGAAAGTGTGTTTCTAAACTGCTCCATCGCAAGGAATGTTCAGCTCTGTGAGTTCAACTCAATCATCCCAAAGAATTTTCTGAGAAAGCTTCTGTCTAGATGTCATGTGAAGATATACCCGTTTCGAACGAAGGACACAGAGTGGTCCAAATATCCACTTGTAGATCCTGCAAAAAGAGTGTTTCAAACGTGAACTTTGAAAGGAAAGTTCAACTCTGGGATTTGAATGCAAACATCACAAAGAAGATTCTGAGACTGCTTCTGTATAGTTTTTATGTGAAGATGATTCCGTTTCCAACGAAATCTTCAAAGAGGTCCACATGTCCCCTTGCGGATGCCACAGAAAGAGAGTTTCAAAACTGCGCTCTCAAAAGGAGTGTTCAACTCCGTGAGTTGAATGCAGTCATCACAGAGAAGCTTCTGAGAATGCTTCTATCTAGTATTTAGGTGAAGATATTTCCTTTTCCACCACAAACCACAAAGCCCTCCAAACGTCCACTTGCAGATTCTAGAAAAAGAGTGTTTCATAGCTGCTCTTTCCAAAGGAAAGTTCAACTCTGGGAGTTGAATACAAACATCACCAAAAAGTTCCTGAGAATGCATCTGTCTAGTTTTTCTATGAAGCTATTCCCTTTACTACCATAGGCCTCAAAGCGCTCCAAATCTCCACTTGCACATTCCACAAGAAGAGTGTTTCCAAACTGCTCTATCAATAGGAATGTTCAACTCTGTGAGGTGAATGCAATCATCACAAAGCAGTTTCTGAGAATGCTTCCGTTTAGTTAGGTGCAGTTATCCCGTTTCCAACGAAATCCTCAGAGAGGTCCAAATATCCCCTTGTAGATTCTACAAAAAGTGTGTCTCAAACCTGCTCCATCCAAAGGAATGTTCAACTCTGTGAGTTCAACTCAATCATCACAAAGTATTTTCTGAGAATGCTTCTGTCTAGATTTTATGCGAAGATGTACCCGTTTCGAACGAAGGCCACAGAGTGGTCCAAATATCCACTTGCAGATCCTACAAAAAGAGTGTTTCAAACCTGAACTCTCAAAGGAAGGTTCAACTCTGGGATTTGAATGCAAACATCACCAAGAAGTTTCTGAGAATGCTTCTGTTTAGTTTTTAGGTGAAGATATTCCCGTTTCCAAAGACATCTTCGGAGAGGTCCACATATCCACTTGCAGATTCCACAAAAAGAGAGTTTCAACACTGTTCTATCCATAGGAGGGTTCAAATCTGTGAGTTGAATGCAATCATCACAGAGAAGGTTCTGAGAAGTCTTCTCTCCAGTTTTTATGGGACCATAATTCGTTTTCCACCACAGGCCTGAAAGCGCTCCAAATGTCCACTTGCAGACACTACGAAAAGCATGTTTCAGAACTACTCTATGAAAAGCAATGTGAAACTCTGGGAGTTGAACACAAACATCACAGAGAAGTTTCTGAGAATGCTTCTGTTTAGCTTTTCTGTGAAGATTCTCCCGTTTCCAACGAAATCTTCAAAGAGGTCCAAATATCCACTTGCAGATTCCACAGAAAGAGTGTTTGGAAACTGCTGTTTGTAAAGGAACCTTCATCTCTGTGAGTTGAATGCAATCATCACAAAGAAGTTTCTGACAATGCTTCTATCTAGCTTTTACGGGAAGTTAATTCCTTTTCCACCACAGGCCTCAAAGCCCTCCAAATGTCCACTTGCAGATTCTGGAAAAAGAGTGTTTCAAAGCTTCTCTCTCGAAAGGAAAGTTCAACTCTGTGAGTTGAATGCAAGCATCACAAAGAAGTTTCTGAGAATGCTACTGTCTAGCTTTCATATGAAGCTATTACCTTTACTACCATAGGCCTCAAAGCGGTCCATATCTCCACTTGCAGATTCTACACAAAGAGAGTTTCCAAACTGCTCTGTCAAAGGGAATGTTCAACTCTGTGACTTGAATGCAATCGTCACAAAGTAGTTTCTGAGAATGCTTCTGTTTTAGTTCTGTGCGGTTTATCCCGTTTCCAACGAAATCCTCAGAGAGGCCCAAATATCCACTTGCACATTCTACAAAGAGTGTGTTTCGAAACTGCTCCATCCAAAGGAATGTTCAGCTCTGTGAGTTAAACACAGTCGTCACCAAGTGTTTTCTGTGAATGCTTCTGTTTAGTTCTGTGCGGTTTATGCCGTTTCCAACGAAATCCTCAGAGAGGATCAAATATCCACTTGCAGTTTCTACAAAAAGAGTGTTTCAAAGCTGAACTATCAAAGAAAGGTTCAGCACTGTGAGTTGAATGCAAACATCACGAAGAGGGTTCTGAGAATGCTTCTGTCTTCTTTTTATAGGAAGTTATTTCCATTACTACGGTGGGCCTCAAAGAAGTGCAATTATCCCCTTGCAGTTTCCACAAAAAGAGTGTTTCAAACCTGAACTATCAAAGAAAGGTTCCACACTGTGAGTTGCATGCAGACATCACGAAGAAGGTACTGAGAATGCTTCTGTTTAGTCAGCTGAAATTAACCCGTTTCCAACGAATTCCTCAGAGAGGTCCAAATATGCACTTGCAGATTCTGCAGAAAGTGTGTTTCTAACTGCTCCATCGCAAGGAATGTTCAGCTCTGTGAGTTCAACTCAATCATCCCAAAGAATTTTCTGAGAAAGCTTCTGTCTAGATGTCATGTGAAGATATACCCGTTTCGAACGAAGGACACAGAGTGGTCCAAATATCCACTTGTAGATCCTGCAAAAAGAGTGTTTCAAACGTGAACTTTGAAAGGAAAGTTCAACTCTGGGATTTGAATGCAAACATCACAAAGAAGATTCTGAGACTGCTTCTGTATAGTTTTTATGTGAAGATGATTCCGTTTCCAACGAAATCTTCAAAGAGGTCTACATGTCCCCTTGCAGATGCCACAGAAAGAGAGTTTCAAAACTGCGCTCCCAAAAGGAGTGTTCAACCCCGTGAGTTGAATGCAGTCATCACAGAGAAGCTTCTGAGAATGCTTCTCTCTAGTATTTAGGTGAAGATATTTCCTTTTCCACCACAAACCACAAAGCCCTCCAAACGTCCACTTGCAGATTCTAGAAAAAGAGTGTTTCATAGCTGCTCTTTCCAAAGGAAAGTTCAACTCTGGGAGTTGAATACAAACATCACCAAAAAGTTCCTGAGAATGCATCTGTCTAGTTTTTCTATGAAGCTATTCCCTTTACTACCATAGGCCTCAAAGCGCTCCAAATCTCCACTTGCACATTCCACAACAAGAGTGTTTCCAAACTGCTCTATCAATAGGAATGTTCAACTCTGTGAGGTGAATGCAATCATCACAAAGCAGTTTCTGAGAATGCTTCCGTTTAGTTAGGTGCAGTTATCCCGTTTCCAACGAAATCCTCAGAGAGGTCCAAATATCCACTTGTAGATTCTACAAAAAGTGTGTCTCAAACCTGCTCCATCCAAAGGAATGTTCAGCTGCTGTGAGTTAAACTCAATCATCACAAAGTATTTTCTGAGAATGCTTCTGTCTAGATTTTATGCGAAGATATACCCGTTTCGAACGAAGGCCACAGAGTGGTCCAAATATCCACTTGCAGATCCTACAAAAAGAGTGTTTCAAACCTGAACTATCAAAGGAAGGTTCAACTCTGGGATTTGAATGCAAACATCACCAAGAAGTTTCTGAGAATGCTTCTGTTTAGTTTTTATGTGAAGATATTCCCGTTTCCAAAGACATCTTCGGAGAGGTCCACGTATCCACTTGCAGATTCCACAAAAAGAGAGTTTCAACACTGCTCTATCCATAGGAGGGTTCAACTCTGTGAGTTGAATGCAATCATCACAGAGAAGTTTCTGAGAAGGCTTCTCTCCAGTTTTTATGTGACCATAATTCGTTTTCCACCACAGGCCTGAAAGCGCTCCAAATGTCCACTTGTAGACACTACGAAAAGCATGTTTCAGAACTACTCTATGAAAAGCAATGTGAAACTCTGGGAGTTGAACACAAACATCACAGAGAAGTTTCTGAGAATGCTTCTGTTTAGCTTTCCTGTGAAGATTCTCCCGTTTCCAACGAAATCTTCAAAATAGGTCCGAATATCCACTTGCAGATTCCACACAAAGAGTGATTGGAAACTGCTCTTTGAAAAGGAACCTTCAACTCTGTGAGTTGAATGCAATCATCACAAAGAAGTTTCTGACAATGCTTCTATCTAGCTTTTACGGGAAGATAATTCCTTTTCCACCACAGGCCTCAAAGCCCTCCAAATGTCCACTTGCAGATTCTGGAAAAAGAGTGTTTCAAAGCTTCTCTCTCGAAAGGAAAGTTCAACTCTGTGAGTTGAATGCAAGCATCACAAAGAAGTTTCTGAGAATGCTACTGTCTAGCTTTTATATGAAGCTATTTCCTTTACTACCATAGGCCTCAAAGCGGTCCATATCTCCACTTGCAGATTCTACACAAAGAGAGTTTCCAAACTGCTCTGTCAAAGGGAATGTTCAACTCTGTGACTTGAATGCAATCATCACAAAGTAGTTTCTGAGAATGCTTCTGTTTAGTTCTGTGCGGTTTATCCCGTTTCCAACGAAATCCTCAGAGAGGCCCAAATATCCACTTGCACATTCTACAAATAGTGTGTTTCGAAACTGCTCCATCCAAAGGAATGTTCAGCTCTGTGAGTTAAACTCAGTCGTCACCAAGAGTTTTCTGTGAATGCTTCTGTTTTAGTTCTGTGCGGGTTATCCCGTTTCCAACGAAATCCTCAGAGAGGTCCAAATATCTACTTGCAGTTTCTACAGAAAGACCGTTTCAAACCTGAACTATCAAAGAAAGGTTCCACACTGTGAGTTGAATGCAAACATCACGAAGAAGGTTCTGAGAATGCTTCTGTTTAGTTCTGTGCAGTTTATCCCGTTTCCAACGAAATGCTCAGAGAGGACCAAATATCCACTTGCAGTTTCTACAAAAAGAGTGTTTCAAAGCTGAACTATCAAAGAAAGGTTCAGCACTGTGAGTTGAATGCAAACATCACGAAGAGGGTTCTGAGAATGCTTCTGTCTTCTTTTTATAGGAAGTTATTTCCTTTACTACGGTACTCCTCAAAGAGTGCAATTATCCCCTTGCAGTTTCTACAGAAAGAGTGTTTCAAACCTGAACTATCAAAGAAAGGTTCCACACTGTGAGTTGAATGCAGACATCACGAAGAAGGTTCTGAGAATGCTTCTGTTTAGTCAGCTGAAATTATCCCGTTTCCAACGAATTCCTCACAGAGGTCCAAATATGCACTTGCAGATTCTGCAGAAAGTGTGTTTCTAAACTGCTACATCGCAAGGAATGCTCAGCTCTGTGAGTTCAACTCAATCATCCCAAAGAATTTTCTGAGAAAGCTTCTGTCTAGATGTCATGTGAAGATATACCCGTTTCGAACGAAGGACACAGAGTGGTCCAAATATCCACTTGTAGATCCAGCAAAAAGAGTGTTTCAAACGTGAACTTTGAAAGGAAAGTTCAACTCTGGGATTTGAATGCAAACATCACAAAGAAGATTCTGAGACTGCTTCTGTATAGTTTTTATGTGAAGATGATTCCGTTTCCAACGAAATCTTCAAAGAGGTCTACATGTCCCCTTGCAGATGCCACAGAAAGAGAATTTCAAAACTGCGCTCTCAAAAGGAGTGTTCAACTCCGTGAGTTGAATGCAGTCATCACAGAGAAGCTTCTGAGAATGCTTCTATCTAGTATTTAGGTGAAGATATTTCCTTTTCCACCACAAACCACAAAGCCCTCCAAACGTCCACTTGCAGATTCTAGAAAAAGAGTGTTTCATAGCTGCTCTTTCCAAAGGAAAGTTCAACTCTGGGAGTTGAATACAAACATCACCAAAAAGTTCCTGAGAATGCATCTGTCTAGTTTTTCTATGAAGCTATTCCCTTTACTACCATAGGCCTCAAAGCGCTCCAAATCTCCACTTGCACATTCCACAACAAGAGTGTTTCCAAACTGCTCTATCAATAGGAATGTTCAACTCTGTGAGGTGAATGCAATCATCACAAAGCAGTTTCTGAGAATGCTTCCGTTTAGTTAGGTGCAGTTATCCCGTTTCCAACGAAATCCTCAGAGAGGTCCAAATATCCACTTGTAGATTCTACAAAAAGTGTGTCTCAAACCTGCTCCATCCAAAGGAATGGTCAGCTCTGTGATTTAAACTCAATCATCACAAAGTATTTTCTGAGAATGCTTCTGTCTAGATTTTATGCGAAGATATACCCGTTTCGAACGAAGGCCACAGAGTGGTCCAAATAGCCACTTGCAGATCCTACAGAAAGAGTGTTTCAAACCTGAACTATCAAAGGAAGGTTCAACTCTGGGATTTGAATGCAAACATCACCAAGAAGTTTCTGAGAATGCTTCTGTTTAGTTTTTATGTGAAGATATTCCCGTTTCCAAAGACATCTTCGGAGAGGTCCACATATCCACTTGCAGATTCCACAAAAAGAGAGTTTCAACACTGCTCTATCCATAGGAGGGTTCAACTCTGTGAGTTGAATGCAATCATCACAGAGAAGTTTCTGAGAAGGCTTCTCTCCAGTTTTTATGTGACCATAATTCGTTTTCCACCACAGGCCTGAAAGCGCTCCAAATGTCCACTTGCAGACACTACGAAAAGCATGTTTCAGAACTACTCTATGAAAAGCAACGTGAAACTCTGGGAGTTGAACACAAACATCACAGAGAAGTTTCTGAGAATGCTTCTGTTTTAGTTCTGTGCGTTTTATCCCGTTTCCAACGAAATCCTCAGAGAGGCCCAAATATCCACTTGCAGATTCCACAGAAAGAGTGATTGGAAACTGCTGTTTGAAAAGGAACCTTCAACTCTGTGAGTTGAATGCAATCATCACAAAGAAGTTTCTGACAATGCTTCTGTTTTAGTTCTGTGCGGTTTATCCCGTTTCCAACGAAATCCTCAGAGAGGACCAAACATCCACTTGCAGTTTCTACAAAAAGAGTGTTTCAAAGCTGCACTATCAAAGAAAGGTTCAGCACTGTGAGTTGAATGCAAACATCACGAAGAGGGCTCTGAGAATTCTTCTGTTTAGTTCTGTGCGGTTTATCCCGTTTCCAACGAAATCCTCAGAGAGGACCAAATATCCACTTGCAGTTTCTACAAGAAGAGTGTTTCAAAGCTGAACTATCAAAGAAAGGTTCAGCACTGTGAGTTGAATGCAAACATCACGAAGAGGGTTCTGAGAATGCTTCTGTCTTCTTTCTATAGGAAGTTATTTCCTTTACTACGGTAGGCCTCAAAGAAGTGCAATTATCCCCTTGCAGTTTCTACAAAAAGAGTGTTTCAAACCTGAACTATCAAAGAAAGGTTCCACACTGTGAGTTGAATGCAGACATCACGAAGAAGGTTCTGAGAATGCTTCTGTTTAGTCAGCTGAAATTATCCCGTTTCCAACGAATTCCTCAGAGAGGTCCAAATATGCACTTGCAGATTCTGCAGAAAGTGTGTTTCTAAACTGCTACATCGCAAGGAATGTTCAGCTCTGTGAGTTCCACTCAATCATCCCAAAGAATTTTCTGAGAAAGCTTCTGTCTAGATGTCGTGTGAAGATATACCCGTTTCGAACGAAGGACACAGAGTGGTCCAAATATCCACTTGTAGATCCTGCAAAAAGAGTGTTTCAAACGTGAACTTTGAAAGGAAAGTTCAACTCTGGGATTTGAATGCAAACATCACAAAGAAGATTCTGAGACTGCTTCTGTATAGTTTTTATGTGAAGATGATTCCGTTTCCAACGAAATCTTCAAAGAGGTCTACATGTCCCCTTGCAGATGCCACAGAAAGAGAGTTTCAAAACTGCGCTCTCAAAAGGAGTGTTCAACTCCGTGAGTTGAATGCAGTCATCACAGAGAAGCTTCTGAGAATGCTTCTATCTAGTATTTAGGTGAAGATATTTCCTTTTCCACCACAAACCACAAAGCCCTCCAAACGTCCACTTGCAGATTCTAGAAAAAGAGTGTTTCATAGCTGCTCTTTCCAAAGGAAAGTTCAACTCTGGGAGTTGAATACAAACATCACCAAAAGGTTCCTGAGAATGCATCTGTCTAGTTTTTCTATGAAGCTATTCCCTTTACTACCATAGGCCTCAAAGCGCTCCAAATCTCCACTTGCACATTCCACAACAAGAGTGTTTCCAAACTGCTCTATCAATAGGAATGTTCAACTCTGTGAGGTGAATGCAATCATCACAAAGCAGTTTCTGAGAATGCTTCCGTTTAGTTAGGTGCAGTTATCCCGTTTCCAACGAAATCCTCAGAGAGGTCCAAATATCCACTTGTAGATTCTACAAAAAGTGTGTCTCAAACCTGCTCCATCCAAAGGAATGGTCAGCTCTGTGATTTAAACTCAATCATCACAAAGTATTTTCTGAGAATGCTTCTGTCTAGATTTTATGCGAAGATATACCCATTTCGAACGAAGGCCACAGAGTGGTCCAAATAGCCACTTGCAGATCCTACAGAAAGAGTGTTTCAAACCTGAACTATCAAAGGAAGGTTCAACTCTGGGATTTGAATGCAAACATCACCAAGAAGTTTCTGAGAATGCTTCTGTTTAGTTTTTATGTGAAGATATTCCCGTTTCCAAAGACATCTTCGGAGAGGTCCACATATCCACTTGCAGATTCCACAAAAAGAGAGTTTCAACACTGCTCTATCCATAGGAGGGTTCAACTCTGTGAGTTGAATGCAATCATCACAGAGAAGTTTCTGAGAAGGCTTCTCTCCAGTTTTTATGTGACCATAATTCGTTTTCCACCACAGGCCTGAAAGCGCTCCAAATGTCCACTTGCAGACACTACGAAAAGCATGTTTCAGAACTACTCTATGAAAAGCAACGTGAAACTCTGGGAGTTGAACACAAACATCACAGAGAAGTTTCTGAGAATGCTTCTGTTTTAGTTCTGTGCGTTTTATCCCGTTTCCAACGAAATCCTCAGAGAGGCCCAAATATCCACTTGCAGATTCCACAGAAAGAGTGATTGGAAACTGCTGTTTGAAAAGGAACCTTCAACTCTGTGAGTTGAATGCAATCATCACAAAGAAGTTTCTGACAATGCTTCTATCTAGCTTTTACGGGAAGATAATTCCTTTTCCACCACAGGCCTCAAAGCCCTCCAAATGTCCACTTGCAGATTCTGGAAAAAGAGTGTTTCAAGGCTTCTCTCTCGAAAGGAAAGTTCAACTCTGTGAGTTGAATGCAAGCATCACAACGAAGTTTCTGAGAATGCTACTGTCTAGCTTTTATATGAAGCTATTTCCTTTACTACCATAGGCCTCAAAGCGGTCCATATCTCCACTTGCAGATTCTACACAAAGAGAGTTTCCAAACTGCTCTGTCAAAGGGAATGTTCAACTCTGTGACTTGAATGCAATCATCACAAAGTAGTTTCTGAGAATGCTTCTGTTTAGTTCTGTGCGGTTTATCCCGTTTCCAACGAAATCCTCAGAGAGGCCCAAATATCCACTTGCACATCCTACAAATAGTGTGTTTCGAAACTGCTCCATCCAAAGGAATGTTCAGCTCTGTGAGTTAAACTCAGTCGTCACCAAGAGTTTTCTGTGAATGCTTCTGTTTTAGTTCTGTGCGGGTTATCCCGTTTCCAACGAAATCCTCAGAGAGGTCCAAATATCTACTTGCAGTTTCTACAGAAAGACCGTTTCAAACCTGAACTATCAAAGAAAGGTTCAACACTGTGAGTTGAATGCAAACATCACGAAGAAGGTTCTGAGAATGCTTCTGTTTAGTTCTGTGCGGTTTATCCCGTTTCCAACGAAATCCTCAGAGAGGACCAAATATCCACTTGCAGTTTCTACAAGAAGAGTGTTTCAAAGCTGAACTATCAAAGAAAGATTCAGCACTGTGAGTTGAATGCAAACATCACGAAGAGGGTTCTGAGAATGCTTCTGTCTTCTTTTTATAGGAAGTTATTTCCTTTACTACGGTAGACCTGAAAGAAGTGCAATTATCCCCTTGCAGTTTCTACAAAAAGAGTGTTTCAAACCTGAACTATCAAAGAAAAGTTCCACACTGTGAGTTGAATGCAGACATCACGAAGAAGGTTCTGAGAATGCTTCTGTTTAGTCAGCTGAAATTATCCCGTTTCCAACGAATTCCTCAGAGAAGTCCAAATATGCACTTGCAGATTCTGCAGAAAGTGTGTTTCTAAACTGCTACATCGCAAGGAATGTTCAGCTCTGTGAGTTCAACTCAATCATCCCAAAGAATTTTCTGAGAAAGCTTCTGTCTAGATGTCATGTGAAGATATACCCGTTTCGAACGAAGGACACAGAGTGGTCCAAATATCCACTTGTAGATCCTGCAAAAAGAGTGTTTCAAACGTGAACTTTGAAAGGAAAGTTCAACTCTGGGATTTGAATGCAAACATCACAAAGAAGATTCTGAGACTGCTTCTGTATAGTTTTTATGTGAAGATGATTCCGTTTCCAACGAAATCTTCAAAGAGGTCTACATGTCCCCTTGCAGATGCCACAGAAAGAGAGTTTCAAAACTGCGCTCTCAAAAGGAGTGTTCAACTCCGTGAGTTGAATGCAGTCATCACAGAGAAGCTTCTGAGAATGCTTCTATCTAGTATTTAGGTGAAGATATTTCCTTTTGCACCACAAACCACAAAGCCCTCCAAACGTCCACTTGCAGATTCTAGAAAAAGAGTGTTTCATAGCTGCTCTTTCCAAAGGAAAGTTCAACTCTGGGAGTTGAATACAAACATCACCAAAAAGTTCCTGAGAATGCATCTGTCTAGTTTTTCTATGAAGCTATTCCCTTTACTACCACAGGCCTCAAAGCGCTCCAAATCTCCACTTGCACATTCCACAACAAGAGTGTTTCCAAACTGCTCTATCAATAGGAATGTTCAACTCTGTGAGGTGAATGCAATCATCACAAAGCAGTTTCTGAGAATGCTTCCGTTTAGTTAGGTGCAGTTATCCCGTTTCCAACGAAATCCTCAGAGAGGTCCAAATATCCACTTGTAGATTCTACAAAAAGTGTGTCTCAAACCTGCTCCATCCAAAGGAATGGTCAGCTCTGTGATTTAAACTCAATCATCACAAAGTATTTTCTGAGAATGCTTCTGTCTAGATTTTATGCGAAGATATACCCGTTTCGAACGAAGGCCACAGAGTGGTCCAAATAGCCACTTGCAGATCCTACAGAAAGAGTGTTTCAAACCTGAACTATCAAAGGAAGGTTCAACTCTGGGATTTGAATGCAAACATCACCAAGAAGTTTCTGAGAATGCTTCTGTTTAGTTTTTATGTGAAGATATTCCCGTTTCCAAAGACATCTTCGGAGAGGTCCACATATCCACTTGCAGATTCCACAAAAAGAGAGTTTCAACACTGCTCTACCCATAGGAGGGTTCAACTCTGTGAGTTGAATGCAATCATCACAGAGAAGTTTCTGAGAAGGCTTCTCTCCAGTTTTTATGTGACCATAATTCGTTTTCCACCACAGGCCTGAAAGCGCTCCAAATGTCCACTTGCAGACACTACGAAAAGCATGTTTCAGAACTACTCTATGAAAAGCAACGTGAAACTCTGGGAGTTGAACACAAACATCACAGAGAAGTTTCTGAGAATGCTTCTGTTTTAGTTCTGTGCGTTTTATCCCGTTTCCAACGAAATCCTCAGAGAGGCCCAAATATCCACTTGCAGATTCCACAGAAAGAGTGATTGGAAACTGCTGTTTGAAAAGGAACCTTCAACTCTGTGAGTTGAATGCAATCATCACAAAGAAGTTTCTGACAATGCTTCTGTTTTAGTTCTGTGCGGTTTATCCCGTTTCCAACGAAATCCTCAGAGAGGACCAAACATCCACTTGCAGTTTCTACAAAAAGAGTGTTTCAAAGCTGCACTATCAAAGAAAGGTTCAGCACTGTGAGTTGAATGCAAACATCACGAAGAGGGCTCTGAGAATTCTTCTGTTTAGTTCTGTGCGGTTTATCCCGTTTCCAACGAAATCCTCAGAGAGGACCAAATATCCACTTGCAGTTTCTACAAGAAGAGTGTTTCAAAGCTGAACTATCAAAGAAAGGTTCAGCACTGTGAGTTGAATGCAAACATCACGAAGAGGGTTCTGAGAATGCTTCTGTCTTCTTTCTATAGGAAGTTATTTCCTTTACTACGGTAGGCCTCAAAGAAGTGCAATTATCCCCTTGCAGTTTCTACAAAAAGAGTGTTTCAAACCTGAACTATCAAAGAAAGGTTCCACACTGTGAGTTGAATGCAGACATCACGAAGAAGGTTCTGAGAATGCTTCTGTTTAGTCAGCTGAAATTATCCCGTTTCCAACGAATTCCTCAGAGAGGTCCAAATATGCACTTGCAGATTCTGCAGAAAGTGTGTTTCTAAACTGCTCCATCGCAAGGAATGTTCAGCTCTGTGAGTTCCACTCAATCATCCCAAAGAATTTTCTGAGAAAGCTTCTGTCTAGATGTCGTGTGAAGATATACCCGTTTCGAACGAAGGACACAGAGTGGTCCAAATATCCACTTGTAGATCCTGCAAAAAGAGTGTTTCAAACGTGAACTTTGAAAGGAAAGTTCAACTCTGGGATTTGAATGCAAACATCACAAAGAAGATTCTGAGACTGCTTCTGTATAGTTTTTATGTGAAGATGATTCCGTTTCCAACGAAATCTTCAAAGAGGTCTACATGTCCCCTTGCAGATGCCACAGAAAGAGAGTTTCAAAACTGCGCTCTCAAAAGGAGTGTTCAACTCCGTGAGTTGAATGCAGTCATCACAGAGAAGCTTCTGAGAATGCTTCTATCTAGTATTTAGGTGAAGATATTTCCTTTTCCACCACAAACCACAAAGCCCTCCAAACGTCCACTTGCAGATTCTAGAAAAAGAGTGTTTCATAGCTGCTCTTTCCAAAGGAAAGTTCAACTCTGGGAGTTGAATACAAACATCACCAAAAGGTTCCTGAGAATGCATCTGTCTAGTTTTTCTATGAAGCTATTCCCTTTACTACCATAGGCCTCAAAGCGCTCCAAATCTCCACTTGCACATTCCACAACAAGAGTGTTTCCAAACTGCTCTATCAATAGGAATGTTCAACTCTGTGAGGTGAATGCAATCATCACAAAGCAGTTTCTGAGAATGCTTCCGTTTAGTTAGGTGCAGTTATCCCGTTTCCAACGAAATCCTCAGAGAGGTCCAAATATCCACTTGTAGATTCTACAAAAAGTGTGTCTCAAACCTGCTCCATCCAAAGGAATGGTCAGCTCTGTGATTTAAACTCAATCATCACAAAGTATTTTCTGAGAATGCTTCTGTCTAGATTTTATGCGAAGATGTACCCGTTTCGAACGAAGGCCACAGAGTGGTCCAAATATCCACTTGCAGATCCTACAAAAAGAGTGTTTCAAACCTGAACTACCAAAGGAAGGTTCAACTCTGGGATTTGAATGCAAACATCACCAAGAAGTTTCTGAGAATGCTTCTGTTTAGTTTTTATGTGAAGATATTCCCGTTTCCAAAGACATCTTCGGAGAGGTCCACATATCCACTTGCAGATTCCACAAAAAGAGAGTTTCAACACTGCTCTATCCATAGGAGGGTTCAACTCTGTGAGTTGAATGCAATCATCACAGAGAAGTTTCTGAGAAGGCTCTCTCCAGTTTTTATGTGACCATAATTCGTTTTCCACCACAGGCCTGAAAGCGCTCCAAATGTCCACTTGCAGACACTACGAAAAGCATGTTTCAGAACTACTCTATGAAAAGCAACGTGAAACTCTGGGAGTTGAACACAAACATCACAGAGAAGTTTCTGAGAATGCTTCTGTTTTAGTTCTGTGCGTTTTATCCCGTTTCCAACGAAATCCTCAGAGAGGCCCAAATATCCACTTGCAGATTCCACAGAAAGAGTGATTGGAAACTGCTGTTTGAAAAGGAACCTTCAACTCTGTGAGTTGAATGCAATCATCACAAAGAAGTTTCTGACAATGCTTCTGTTTTAGTTCTGTGCGGTTTATCCCGTTTCCAACGAAATCCTCAGAGAGGACCAAACATCCACTTGCAGTTTCTACAAAAAGAGTGTTTCAAAGCTGCACTATCAAAGAAAGGTTCAGCACTGTGAGTTGAATGCAAACATCACGAAGAGGGCTCTGAGAATTCTTCTGTTTAGTTCTGTGCGGTTTATCCCGTTTCCAACGAAATCCTCAGAGAGGACCAAATATCCACTTGCAGTTTCTACAAGAAGAGTGTTTCAAAGCTGAACTATCAAAGAAAGGTTCAGCACTGTGAGTTGAATGCAAACATCACGAAGAGGGTTCTGAGAATGCTTCTGTCTTCTTTCTATAGGAAGTTATTTCCTTTACTACGGTAGGCCTCAAAGAAGTGCAATTATCCCCTTGCAGTTTCTACAAAAAGAGTGTTTCAAACCTGAACTATCAAAGAAAGGTTCCACACTGTGAGTTGAATGCAGACATCACGAAGAAGGTTCTGAGAATGCTTCTGTTTAGTCAGCTGAAATTATCCCGTTTCCAACGAATTCCTCAGAGAGGTCCAAATATGCACTTGCAGATTCTGCAGAAAGTGTGTTTCTAAACTGCTACATCGCAAGGAATGTTCAGCTCTGTGAGTTCCACTCAATCATCCCAAAGAATTTTCTGAGAAAGCTTCTGTCTAGATGTCATGTGAAGATATACCCGTTTCGAACGAAGGACACAGAGTGGTCCAAATATCCACTTGTAGATCCTGCAAAAAGAGTGTTTCAAACGTGAACTTTAAAGTAAAGTTCAATTCTGGGATTTGAATGCAAACATCACAAAGAAGATTCTGAGACTGCTTCTGTATAGTTTTTATGTGAAGATGATTCCGTTTCCAACGAAATCTTCAAAGAGGTCTACATGTCCCCTTGCGGATGCCACAGAAAGAGAGTTTCAAAACTGCGCTCTCAAAAGGAGTGTTCAACTCCGTGAGTTGAATGCAGTCATCACAGAGAAGCTTCTGAGAATGCTTCTCTCTAGTATTTAGGTGAAGATATTTCCTTTTCCACCACAAACCACAAAGCCCTCCAAACGTCCACTTGCAGATTCTAGAAAAAGAGTGTTTCATAGCTGCTCTTTCCAAAGGAAAGTTCAACTCTGGGAGTTGAATACAAACATCACCAAAAAGTTCCTGAGAATGCATCTGTCTAGTTTTTCTATGAAGCTATTCCCTTTACTACCATAGGCCTCAAAGCGCTCCAAATCTCCACTTGCACATTCCACAACAAGAGTGTTTCCAAACTGCTCTATCAATAGGAATGTTCAACTCTGTGAGGTGAATGCAATCATCACAAAGCAGTTTCTGAGAATGCTTCCGTTTAGTTAGGTGCAGTTATCCCGTTTCCAACAAAATCCTCAGAGAGGTCCAAATATCCACTTGTAGATTCTACAAAAAGTGTGTCTCAAACCTGCTCCATTCAAAGGAATGTTCAGCTCTGTGAGTTAAACTCAATCATCACAAAGTATTTTCTGAGAATGCTTCTGTCTAGATTTTATGCGAAGATGTACCCGTTTCGAACGAAGGCCACAGAGTGGTCCAAATATCCACTTGCAGATCCTACAAAAAGAGTGTTTCAAACCTGAACTATCAAAGGAAGGTTCAACTCTGGGATTTGAATGCAAACATCACCAAGAAGTTTCTGAGAATGCTTCTGTTTAGTTTTTATGTGAAGATATTCCCGTTTCCAAAGACATCTTCGGAGAGGTCCACATATCCGCTTGCAGATTCCACAAAAAGAGAGTTTCAACACTTCTCTATCCATAGGAGGGTTCAACTCTGTGAGTTGAATGCAATCATCACAGAGAAGTTTCTGAGAAGGCTTCTCTCCAGTTTTTATGTGACCATAATTCGTTTTCCACCACAGGCCTGAAAGCGCTCCAAATGTCCACTTGCAGACCCTACGAAAAGCATGTTTCAGAACTACTCTATGAAAAGCAATGTGAAACTCTGGGAGTTGAACACAAACATCACAGAGAAGTTTCTGAGAATGCTTCTGTTTAGCTTTTCTGTGAAGATTATCCCGTTTCCAACGAAATCTTCAAACTAGGTCCAAATATCCACTTGCAGATTCCACAGAAAGAGTGATTGGAAACTGCTGTTTGAAAAGGAACCTTCAACTCTGTGAGTTGAATGCAATCATCACAAAGAAGTTTCTGACAATGCTTCCATCTAGCTTTTACGGGAAGATGATTCCTTTTCCACCACAGGCCTCAAAGCCCTCCAAATCTCCACTTGCACATTCTGGAAAAAGAGTGTTTCAAAGCTTCTCTCTCGAAAGGAAAGTTCAACTCTGTGAGTTGAATGCAAGCATCACAAAGAAGTTTCTGAGAATGCTACTGTCTAGCTTTTATATGAAGCTATTTCCTTTACTACCATAGGCCTCAAAGCGGTCCATATCTCCACTTGCAGATTCTACACAAAGAGAGTTTCCAAACTGCTCTGTCAAAGGGAATGTTCAACTCTGTGACTTGAATGCAATCATCACAAAGTAGTTTCTGAGAATGCTTCTGTTTTAGTTCTGTGCGGTTTATCCCGTTTCCAACGAAATCCTCAGAGAGGCCCACATATCCACTTGCAGATTCTACAAATAGTGTGTTTTGAAACTGCTCCATCCAAAGGAATGTTCAGCTCTGTGAGTTAAACTCAGTCGTCACCAAGAGTTTTCTGTGAATGCTTCTGTTTAGTTCTGGGCGTTTTATCCCTTTTCCAACGAAATCCTCAGAGAGGACCAAATATCCATTTGCAGTTTCTACAAAAAGAGTGTTTCAAAGCTGAACTATCAAAGAAAGGTTCAGCACTGTGAGTTGAATGCAAACATCACGAAGAGGGTTCTGAGAATGCTTCTGTCTTCTTTTTATAGGAAGTTATTTCCTTTACTACGGTACTCCTCAAAGAGTGCAATTATCCCCTTGCAGTTTCTACAAAAAGAGTGTTTCAAACCTGAACTATCAAAGAAAGGTTCCACACTGTGAGTTGAATGCAGACATCACGAAGAAGGTTCTGAGAATGCTTCTGTTTAGTCAGCTGAAATTATCCCGTTTCCAACGAATTCCTCAGAGAGGTCCAAATATGCACTTGCAGATTCTGCAGAAAGTGTGTTTCTAAACTGCTACATCGCAAGGAATGCTCAGCTCTGTGAGTTCAAATCAATCATCCCAAACAATTTTCTGAGAAAGCTTCTGTCTAGATGTCATGTGAAGATATACCCGTTTCGAACGAAGGACACAGAGTGGTCCAAATATCCACTTGTAGATCCTGCAAAAAGAGTGTTTCAAACGTGAACTTTGAAAGGAAAGTTCAACTCTGGGATTTGAATGCAAACATCACAAAGAAGATTCTGAGACTGCTTCTGTATAGTTTTTATGTGAAGATGATTCGTTTCCAACGAAATCTTCAAAGAGGTCTACATGTCCCCTTGCAGATGCCACAGAAAGAGAGTTTCAAAACTGCGCTCTCAAAAGGAGTGTTCAACTCCGTGAGTTGAATGCAGTCATCACAGAGAAGCTTCTGAGAATGCTTCTATCTAGTATTTAGGTGAAGATATTTCCTTTTCCACCACAAACCACAAAGCCCTCCAAACGTCCACTTGCAGATTCTAGAAAAAGAGTGTTTCATAGCTGCTCTTTCCAAAGGAAAGTTCAACTCTGGGAGTTGAATACAAACATCACCAAAAAGTTCCTGAGAATGCATCTGTCTAGTTTTTCTATGAAGCTATTCCCTTTACTACCATAGGCCTCAAAGCGCTCCAAATCTCCACTTGCACATTCCACAACAAGAGGGTGTCCAAACTGCTCTATCAATAGGAATGTTCAACTCTGTGAGGTGAATGCAATCATCACAAAGCAGTTTCTGAGAATGCTTCCGTTTAGTTAGGTGCAGTTATCGCGTTTCCAACGAAATCCTCAGAGAGGTCCAAATATCCACTTGTAGATTCTACAAATGTGTGTCTCAAACCTGCTCCATCCAAAGGAACGTTCAGCTCTGTGAGTTAAACTCAATCATCACAAAGTATTTTCTGAGAGTGCTTCTGTCTGGATTTTATGCGAAGATATACCCGTTTCGAACGAAGGCCACAGAGTGGTCCAAATATCCACTTGCAGATCCTACAAAAAGAGTGTTTCAAACCTGAACTATCAAAGGAAGGTTCAACTCTGGGATTTGAATGCAAACATCACCAAGAAGTTTCTGAGAATGCTTCTGTTTAGTTTTTATGTGAAGATATTCCCGTTTCCAAAGACATCTTCGGAGAGGTCCACATATCCACTTGCAGATTCCACAAAAAGAGAGTTTCAACACTGCTCTATCCATAGGAGGGTTCAACTCTGTGAGTTGAATGCAATCATCACAGAGAAGTTTCTGAGAAGGCTTCTCTCCAGTTTTTATGTGACCATAATTCGTTTTCCACCACAGGCCTGAAAGCGCTCCAAATGTCCACTTGCAGACACTACGAAAAGCATGTTTCAGAAGTACTCTATGAAAAGCAACGTGAAACTCTGGGAGTTGAACACAAACATCACAGAGAAGTTTCTGAGAATGCTTCTGTTTTAGTTCTGTGCGTTTTATCCCGTTTCCAACGAAATCCTCAGAGAGGCCCAAATATCCACTTGCAGATTCCACAGAAAGAGTGATTGGAAACTGCTGTTTGAAAAGGAACCTTCAACTCTGTGAGTTGAATGCAATCATCACAAAGAAGTTTCTGACAATGCTTCTGTTTTAGTTCTGTGCGGTTTATCCCGTTTCCAACGAAATCCTCAGAGAGGACCAAACATCCACTTGCAGTTTCTACAAAAAGAGTGTTTCAAAGCTGCACTATCAAAGAAAGGTTCAGCACTGTGAGTTGAATGCAAACATCACGAAGAGGGCTCTGAGAATTCTTCTGTCTTCTTTCTATAGGAAGTTATTTCCTTTACTACGGTAGGCCTCAAAGAAGTGCAATTATCCCCTTGCAGTTTCTACAAAAAGAGTGTTTCAAACCTGAACTATCAAAGAAAGGTTCCACACTGTGAGTTGAATGCAGACATCACGAAGAAGTTCTGAGAATGCTTCTGTTTAGTCAGCTGAAATTATCCCGTTTCCAACGAATTCCTCAGAGAGGTCCAAATATGCACTTGCAGATTCTGCAGAAAGTGTGTTTCTAAACTGCTACATCGCAAGGAATGTTCAGCTCTGTGAGTTCCACTCAATCATCCCAAAGAATTTTCTGAGAAAGCTTCTGTCTAGATGTCGTGTGAAGATATACCCGTTTCGAACGAAGGACACAGAGTGGTCCAAATATCCACTTGTAGATCCTGCAAAAAGAGTGTTTCAAACGTGAACTTTGAAAGGAAAGTTCAACTCTGGGATTTGAATGCAAACATCACAAAGAAGATTCTGAGACTGCTTCTGTATAGTTTTTATGTGAAGATGATTCCGTTTCCAACGAAATCTTCAAAGAGGTCTACATGTCCCCTTGCAGATGCCACAGAAAGAGAGTTTCAAAACTGCGCTCTCAAAAGGAGTGTTCAACTCCGTGAGTTGAATGCAGTCATCACAGAGAAGCTTCTGAGAATGCTTCTATCTAGTATTTAGGTGAAGATATTTCCTTTTCCACCACAAACCACAAAGCCCTCCAAACGTCCACTTGCAGATTCTAGAAAAAGAGTGTTTCATAGCTGCTCTTTCCAAAGGAAAGTTCAACTCTGGGAGTTGAATACAAACATCACCAAAAGGTTCCTGAGAATGCATCTGTCTAGTTTTTCTATGAAGCTATTCCCTTTACTACCATAGGCCTCAAAGCGCTCCAAATCTCCACTTGCACATTCCACAACAAGAGTGTTTCCAAACTGCTCTATCAATAGGAATGTTCAACTCTGTGAGGTGAATGCAATCATCACAAAGCAGTTTCTGAGAATGCTTCCGTTTAGTTAGGTGCAGTTATCCCGTTTCCAACGAAATCCTCAGAGAGGTCCAAATATCCACTTGTAGATTCTACAAAAAGTGTGTCTCAAACCTGCTCCATCCAAAGGAATGGTCAGCTCTGTGATTTAAACTCAATCATCACAAAGTATTTTCTGAGAATGCTTCTGTCTAGATTTTATGCGAAGATATACCCGTTTCGAACGAAGGCCACAGAGTGGTCCAAATAGCCACTTGCAGATCCTACAGAAAGAGTGTTTCAAACCTGAACTATCAAAGGAAGGTTCAACTCTGGGATTTGAATGCAAACATCACCAAGAAGTTTCTGAGAATGCTTCTGTTTAGTTTTTATGTGAAGATATTCCTGTTTCCAAAGACATCTTCGGAGAGGTCCACATGTCCACTTGCAGATTCCACAAAAAGAGAGTTTCAACACTGCTCTATCCATAGGAGGGTTCAACTCTGTGAGTTGAATGCAATCATCACAGAGAAGTTTCTGAGAAGGCTTCTCTCCAGTTTTTATGTGACCCTAATTCGTTTTCCACCACAGGCCTGAAAGCGCTCCAAATGTCCACTTGCAGACACTACGAAAAGCATGTTTCAGAACTACTCTATGAAAAGCAACGTGAAACTCTGGGAGTTGAACACAAACATCACAGAGAAGTTTCTGAGAATGCTTCTGTTTAGCTTTTCTGTGAAGATTCTCCCGTTTCCAACGAAATCTTCAAAGAGGTCGAAATACCCACTTGCAGATTCCACAGAAAGAGTGATTGGAAACTGCTGTTTGAAATGGAACCTTCAACTCTGTGAGTTGAATGCAATCATCACAAAGAAGTTTCTGACAATGCTTCTATCTAGCTTTTACGAGAAGATAATTCCTTTTCCACCACAGGCCTCAAAGCCCTCCAAATGTCCACTTGCAGATTCCGGAAAAAGAGTGTTTCAAAGCTTCTCTCTCGAAAGGAAAGTTCAACTCTGTGAGTTGAATGCAAGCATCACAAAGAAGTTTCTGAGAATGCTACTGTCTAGCTTTTATATGAAGCTATTTCCTTTACTACCATAGGCCTCAAAGCGGTCCATATCTCCACTTGCAGATTCTACACAAAGAGAGTTTCCAAACTGCTCTGTCAAAGGGAATGTTCAACTCTGTGACTTGAATGCAATCATCACAAAGTAGTTTCTGAGAATGCTTCTGATTTAGTTCTGTGCGTTTTATCCCGTTTCCAACGAAATCCTGAGAGAGGCCCAAATATCCACTTGCACATTCTACAAATAGTGTGTTTCGAAACTGCTCCATCCAAAGGAATGTTCAGCTCTGTGAGTTAAACTCAGTCGTCACCAAGAGTTTTCTGTGAATGCTTCTGTTTTAGTTCTGTGCGGTTTATCCCATTTCCAACGAAATCCTCAGAGAGGACCAAATATCCACTTGCAGTTTCTACAAAAAGAGTGTTTCAAAGCTGCACTATCAAAGAAAGGTTCAGCACTGTGAGTTGAATGCAAACATCACGAAGAGGGCTCTGAGAATGCTTCTGTTTAGTTCTGTGCAGTTTATCCCGTTTCCAACGAAATCCTCAGAGAGGACCAAATATCCACTTGCAGTTTCTACAAGAAGAGTGTTTCAAAGCTGAACTATCAAAGAAAGGTTCAGCACTGTGAGTTGAATGCAAACATCACGAAGAGGGTTCTGAGAATGCTTCTGTCTTCTTTCTATAGGAAGTTATTTCCTTTACTACGGTAGGCCTCAAAGAAGTGCAATTATCCCCTTGCACTTTCTACAAAAAGAGTGTTTCAAACCTGAACTATCAAAGAAAGGTTCCACACTGTGAGTTGAATGCAGACATCACGAAGAAGGTTCTGAGAATGCTTCTGTTTAGTCAGCTGAAATTA
This sequence comes from Homo sapiens, assembly GCF_000001405.40. NCBI lineage: Eukaryota > Metazoa > Chordata > Mammalia > Primates > Hominidae > Homo > Homo sapiens. Next base: position 24,753,889 of record NC_000017.11, on the reverse strand, counting down.
TCCCGTTTCCAACGAATTCCTCAGAGAGGTCCAAATATGCACTTGCAGATTCTGCAGAAACTGTGTTTCTAAACTGCTACATCGCAAGGAATGTTCAGCTCTGTGAGTTCCACTCACTCATCCCAAAGAATTTTCTGAGAAAGCTTCTGTCTAGATGTCATGTGAAGATATACCCGTTTCGAACGAAGGACACAGAGTGGTCCAAATATCCACTTGTAGATCCTGCAAAAAGAGTGTTTCAAACGTGAACTTTGAAAGGAAAGTTCAACTCTGGGATTTGAATGCAAACATCACAAAGAAGATTCTGAGAATGCTTCTGTATAGTTTTTATGTGAAGATGATTCCGTTTCCAACGAAATCTTCAAAGAGGTCTACATGTCCCCTTGCAGATGCCACAGAAAGAGAGTTTCAAAACTGCGCTCTCAAAAGGAGTGTTCAACTCCGTGAGTTGAATGCAGTCATCACAGAGAAGCTTCTGAGAATGCTTCTATCTAGTATTTAGGTGAAGATATTTCCTTTTCCACCACAAACCACAAAGCCCTCCAAACGTCCACTTGCAGATTCTAGAAAAAGAGTGTTTCATAGCTGCTCTTTCCAAAGGAAAGTTCAACTCTGGGAGTTGAATACAAACATCACCAAAAAGTTCCTGAGAATGCATCTGTCTAGTTTTTCTATGAAGCTATTCCCTTTACTACCACAGGCCTCAAAGCGCTCCAAATCTCCACTTGCACATTCCGCAACAAGAGTGTTTCCAAACTGCTCTATCAATAGGAATGTTCAACTCTGTGAGGTGAATGCAATCATCACAAAGCAGTTTCTGAGAATGCTTCCGTTTAGTTAGGTGCAGTTATCCCGTTTCCAACGAAATCCTCAGAGAGGTCCAAATATCCACTTGTAGATTCTACAAAAAGTGTGTCTCAAACCTGCTCCATCCAAAGGAATGGTCAGCTCTGTGATTTAAACTCAATCATCACAAAGTATTTTCTGAGAATGCTTCTGTCTAGATTTTATGCGAAGATATACCCGTTTCGAACGAAGGCCACAGAGTGGTCCAAATAGCCACTTGCAGATCCTACAGAAAGAGTGTTTCAAACCTGAACTATCAAAGGAAGGTTCAACTCTGGGATTTGAATGCAAACATCACCAAGAAGTTTCTGAGAATGCTTCTGTTTAGTTTTTATGTGAAGATATTCCCGTTTCCAAAGACATCTTCGGAGAGGTCCACATATCCACTTGCAGATTCCACAAAAAGAGAGTTTCAACACTGCTCTATCCATAGGAGGGTTCAACTCTGTGAGTTGAATGCAATCATCACAGAGAAGTTTCTGAGAAGGCTTCTCTCCAGTTTTTATGTGACCATAATTCGTTTTCCACCACAGGCCTGAAAGCGCTCCAAATGTCCACTTGCAGACACTACGAAAAGCATGTTTCAGAACTACTCTATGAAAAGCAACGTGAAACTCTGGGAGTTGAACACAAACATCACAGAGAAGTTTCTGAGAATGCTTCTGTTTTAGTTCTGTGCGTTTTATCCCGTTTCCAACGAAATCCTCAGAGAGGCCCAAATATCCACTTGCAGATTCCACAGAAAGAGTGATTGGAAACTGCTGTTTGAAAAGGAACCTTCAACTCTGTGAGTTGAATGCAATCATCACAAAGAAGTTTCTGACAATGCTTCTGTTTTAGTTCTGTGCGGTTTATCCCGTTTCCAACGAAATCCTCAGAGAGGACCAAACATCCACTTGCAGTTTCTACAAAAAGAGTGTTTCAAAGCTGCACTATCAAAGAAAGGTTCAGCACTGTGAGTTGAATGCAAACATCACGAAGAGGGCTCTGAGAATGCTTCTGTTTTAGTTCTGTGCGGTTTATCCCGTTTCCAACGAAATCCTCAGAGAGGACCAAATATCCACTTGCAGTTTCTACAAGAAGAGTGTTTCAAAGCTGAACTATCAAAGAAAGGTTCAGCACTGTGAGTTGAATGCAAACATCACGAACAGGGTTCTGAGAATGCTTCTGTCTTCTTTCTATAGGAAGTTATTTCCTTTACTACGGTAGGCCTCAAAGAAGTGCAATTATCCCCTTGCAGTTTCTACAAAAAGAGTGTTTCAAACCTGAACTATCAAAGAAAGGTTCCACACTGTGAGTTGAATGCAGACATCACGAAGAAGGTTCTGAGAATGCTTCTGTTTAGTCAGCTGAAATTATCCCGTTTCCAACGAATTCCTCAGAGAGGTCCAAATATGCACTTGCAGATTCTGCAGAAAGTGTGTTTCTAAACTGCTCCATCGCAAGGAATGTTCAGCTCTGTGAGTTCCACTCAATCATCCCAAAGAATTTTCTGAGAAAGCTTCTGTCTAGATGTCGTGTGAAGATATACCCGTTTCGAACGAAGGACACAGAGTGGTCCAAATATCCACTTGTAGATCCTGCAAAAAGAGTGTTTCAAACGTGAACTTTGAAAGGAAAGTTCAACTCTGGGATTTGAATGCAAACATCACAAAGAAGATTCTGAGACTGCTTCTGTATAGTTTTTATGTGAAGATGATTCCGTTTCCAACGAAATCTTCAAAGAGGTCTACATGTCCCCTTGCAGATGCCACAGAAAGAGAGTTTCAAAACTGCGCTCTCAAAAGGAGTGTTCAACTCCGTGAGTTGAATGCAGTCATCACAGAGAAGCTTCTGAGAATGCTTCTATCTAGTATTTAGGTGAAGATATTTCCTTTTCCACCACAAACCACAAAGCCCTCCAAACGTCC